>NC_000011.10:122626970-122930000 GCF_000001405.40 Homo sapiens | reverse complement strand
CTGACCTCTGTCCCCTGCCATAGAGCGTTCCTTCTCCCCATCCCGCTGAAATTGCTCTGTTCAGGCCACCAATAAACTTTTAGTCACCAAATCCTGTGGGCACTTTTTTCTTGACCTTTTTATTTTCAAGTTATTTCAAACTTACAGAAAAATTGCTAGTATGGACAACTCTAAAGGATTCTTATCCAGATTGAACAATTTTAAACATTTGGTCACATTTCATCATTTTCTCTGTCACTCCACACATAAACAAACAAATATACATCTATCTACATATATGTAATTATTATTGTTTGTATTTTTGGTATTTAGTCTTTTCAAGTCATGGAGCCTTCCATATACATGAGTTGCATGTGTAATGTCCCTTGCACGGCACCTCACTGCTGGGTACCTGCTTAGATTGCGAACAATCTCTTCTCCAGTCTGAGTCCTGGGATGCGTGAGGCAGACAGCAGCCCTTACCAACTATGTCAACTTTTCCCTCCCTAGACCATACAAATAGCAGCCAGAGCTGTCATGGTTCCTCGTTCCTCCTCCCACTTTCACACCTTTGCCCGGATTTGTCCTTCTAGGGGCAGCTGAGATACTGACTCCTATGGGGGTTATTTCTCCGTCTTCTTAGGGCAGAATTAGTTGCTCTTTTAGTTCCACTGCATTTTGTACCCAGGTCCATATTACTGCATTATAATGATTACATAATGATTCCCACTAAAGTGTTGAACTCCTAGAGGGGAGGTACTGCTTTAAAAAAAAAAAAAAACAAAAAACAACCTTGGCCAGGCGTGGTGGCTCACACCTGTAATCCCAGCACTTTGGGAGGCCAAGGCAGGCAGATCACCTGAGGTCAGGAGTTCGAGGCCAGCCTGACCAACATGAAGAAACCCCATCTCTACTGAAAATACAAAATTAGCGAGGCGTGGTGGCACATGCCTGTAATCCCAGCTACTTGGGAGGCTTGAACCTGGTAGGCAGAGGTTGTGGTAAGCCGAGATTGTGCCATTGCACTCCAGCCTGGGTAACGAGAGTGAAACTCAGCCTTAAAAAGAAAAAATGGGCCAGGCGTGTTGGCTCACGCCTGTAATCCTGGCACTTTGGGAGGCCGAGGCGGGCGGATCACGAGGTCAGGAGATCAAGACCATCCTGGCTAACACGGTGAAACCCCGTCTCTACTAAAAATACAAAAAATTAGCCGGGCGTGGTGGCGGGTGCCTATAGTCCCAGCTACTCAGGAAGCTGAGGCAGGAGAATGGCTTGAACCCGGGAGACGGAGCTTGCAGTGAGCCGAGATTGTGCCACTGCACTCCAGCCTGGGCAACAGAGTGAGACTCGGTCTCAAAAACAACAACAACAAAAAACCAACAACTACAAAAAACAACCTTTCTTCAAGTTTTATTTATTGTTTTAAAGAATTTTTGTTGTTGTTTGTTTGCTTGTTTTTTTTTTTTTTCCCCGTATCTTTTGGGCCAGGCACCTAATCCACAGTGCCTGGAATGCAGTAGATACTCAATAAATATTTGTTGTGTGAAATATTTTGATTTTGCACAAAGATATTTCACATTAGTGAAGGTTATTGTTGTTAGGGTAGGTTTATGAAACTCTGAAAGTCATTTTTCAAGAAAAAATTTTCAAATGAGGTCCATTTTCTCCTGGAGATACACTAAATAATCTTTTTATCTGCATTTTGTATTTTTTAGAGACAGGGTCTTGCTCTATTGCCCAGGCTGGAGTACAGTGGCACCTGTAACATCGAATTCCTGGCCTCTAGCAGTCCTCCCTCCTTGGCCTCCAAAAAAGCAATAGGATTATAGGCATGAGCCACTGTGCCTGGCCCATGATCTTTAAATGTTTCTTTAATCAGTCAGTAAATATTTACTGAGCATCAGCCTTGGGCAAAGCACTGTGGTAGGGGATGTAGAGAAAAATACAATCGGTACCTTAAAAGATCTTGTAGTGTAGTGGGTACAAAAGAAACACAGGCACAGTGGCTCACGCCTGTAATCCTAGCACTTTGGGAGGCCCAGGCGGGCAGATCACCTGAGGTCAGGAGTTCGAGACCAGCCTGGCCAACATGGTGAAACCCCATCTCTACTAAAAATACAAAAATTAGCTGGGCGTGGTGGTGGGTGCCTGTAATCCCAGCTACTCAGGAGGCTGAGACAGGAGAATCGCTTGAACCCAGGAGGCGGAGGTTACAGTGAGCCAAGATCCTACCATTGCACTCCAGCCTAGGCAACAAGAACAAAACTCCGTCTCAAAAAAAAAAAAAAGAAAAAAGAAAAGAAAAGAAAAAGAAACACAGGCAGCAGTTAATGAGACACGGCCCAATATGGCAGGCCCTGAGCCAGTGGCCCAGACTACAGACACAGCAGGAGCTGAGGGCAGAGGAGCAGGGTGGGAGAGGCTGGGAATCTCCATGCAGAGGTGGCCCTTGAGGAGGCACTAAAAAGAAGGCATTGGACTTGGGTAGTTGAAGAGGAAAAAGAAAGGCAGCCTAAAGTGTCTGTGTCCCAGAGTGCTGGGCTGGTGTGTAGCATGCAGTGGGCAGTCCACAAATCCTTTCCACCTAAAGAATGGGAAACATCCCTTAGGCCATTTGTGGTTATTGTCATTTTAGGTCAATAACACTTTTTAGATGTTTTGCTCCACAATTTCTTCATTCAGGAATGGGTTATAAGAGCATTAATTACAGTACACGCAGGGAATAAAAAGCATTCTTTTGGTTTTCTTCTGATTTTCTTCCATACAAAAGTTTTACTGCTTCTGTCAAAGGTCATGCCATAAATCAAGCACTGCGATTTTACCTTGATTATTATCATTTTTTCTTCAGTCTCCATAGAGACTATCCAAAATTGCCAATGCCGACTATATTTCAAGTCATCATGGTGGGTATTAGGAAAAGTTTTCAGTTAGCAATAATTGCACCCTGTATAAACCTCACTGGTTATGATGTTGCCACTGGGCAAAGCTTTTTACCTCGATCATTTTATCATTAGCTGAGAATCCTATGGCTTTCCTTAGTGACAATTATGAAAGCTACAGGTTGCGATAATCTTACATGCTTCAAATGTATTTTTCTATAATAATTTAAATAACTAGAAATGCATGGTCATAGAATTCTAGCATTTTGCAGCTGAGATGGACCTTGAAGGTCATTTAGACTAATCCTTCATTTAATAAAGAAGAAATTTAAGGTTTTGAAAAAGCTGAGATTTGCCCAGTCATGAATCAAGTAAATGGCAGGCTGAGGCCCAGAAATTCATCTCTCGTGACCCAGTCCATTACCCATAATGCATGGCAAATCTTAAGGTATTTCCTTTGTCCCTGGTTCCTGTTGACCAAGCTCCCCTGGCTCTCTATCACATCTGGTAGTGGATCCTGTCCTCCACATCCCACAGCCATGAGACATTTCAGTCGCCATCCTCTCAACTTCTAGGTATGGCCTCACTGGCATCAACTTTCAGGAAGCTCTGGGTGAATGACTTTTTATTTCTTTTTTTGCAACTCTTAAGAGAGGCCTGGAGTCCACTGGAGAGGAAAAGAGATGATTCGGGCTGTCCCTTCTTTCTAACCTCTCTGAAGCTCAGGTAAAACTCATTATTATTTTTACTATGTTTATCACTGTATATAGTTTTAACTGATGTCAACAGGCTCTATAGGTTCAGTAATTTTCAAAGGACTCATCTCTTCTTAGGCAGGGATAAAGCCTGGTCCAAGGGTCCACATACACGGGTCAAGAAAAACCTGAGCTTCTAGTGCTTTTTCTATTTTCTTTTTCTTTTTCTTTTTCTTTTTTCTTTTTTTTTTTTTTTTTTTGAGATGGAGTCTTGCTCTGTCACCTAGGCTGCAGTGCAGTGGCACAATCTTGGCTCACTGCAACTTCCACCTCCCAAGTTCAAGGAAATCTCCTGCCTCAGCTTCCCTAGTAGCTGGGACTACAGGTGAGCACCATCATGCCTGGCTAATCTTTTTTTTTTTTTCTTTTTTGATACGGAGTCTTGCTCTGTCACCCAGGCTGGAACGCAGTGGCATGATCTTGGCTCACTGCAACCTTCGCCTTCCAGGTTCAAGTGATTCTCCTGCCTCAGCCTCCTGAATAGCTGGAACTATAGGCGCCTGCCACCAGACCCAGCTAATTTTTGTAATTTTTAGTAGAGATGGGGTTTCACCATATTGGCCGGGCTGGTCTCGAACTCCTGACCTTGTGATTCACCCACCTCGGCCTCCCAAAATGCTGGGATGACAGGCATGAGCCAACGGGCCTGACCTAATCTTTGTATTTTTAGTAGAGACAGGGTTTCACTATGTTGGCCAAGCTGGTCTCAAACTCCTGACCTCAGGTGATCCACCCATCTTGGTCTCCCAAATTGCTGGGATTACAGGTGTGAGCCATTGTGTCTGACCTTTTTCTGTTTCTTCTAGAAAAACAGTGTGGAGAATTTCAGAAAAATCTTCCCTGAAATCACATTTATGATTTCAAAGTAGTAAACCCAAGGCCAGAAAGGATGTCATCACGCTAAATGACCAGTTGGTAAGCTTTTATATTCTGAAAATGAGGGTTTGGTGAGGCTCTGGGAATTCCCATCCAGTTTTCAGGAATAGTGTCCCCATTGTCTAGGAATAATAAGTAACTGCCAACTCCAAAAGGAATCAGATTTGGGAGCAGCACAGAGTTGGACAATTCTCTGGAACTGTGATTTTTCCTGCATGTCTTTCCATGCCTTCCTTCTGTGTGGGGTTCTAACTCAGTATGTTGGAAGTGTGATATGATTATTTTCTTCCAGCAAACAGAACCCTTGGAAAAACAGGTAGGGTTGGCTGGCTGAGCAGGCAATGGCTCCTCTGAGCAGAAGCCAGTCTTACCCATAGGAAAGTGGGTAATTATTCTCAGGCATAAAAATAAACCCTTAAGTGATAAGAACTCAGTCACGATCATTACTTATATTCAGCAGTATCGCTTGAAACACACTTAAAATGCAATCTAGCAGGTAACCTTTAGCTGTTGTGCTCTTTGATGCCATTTATCTTCAGGATCGATGGCAGCATTTTCCATTTCCTTGGCATTCTGAATAGACGTCTTGTCTGTTACTCTGACGGGGTAGGAGATCTAGGTAGGTAAAACACATACAGCATGTTAACTGGATTCATTTTAGTCTTAGAGCCATGGGACTCAAGTCTGTGCACTCTAGAAAACGGTCCTGCTGGGCTAGGTTTTATTTTCAGTTAATTTCAAGGATTCATCTCATCAGTCCTCAGGGACCTGATTGTTCTTAAGGAGAATGGGAATAAACAATGTTTTCTCTTGCAGACACGAAGAGAAAACTGGTGCGTTAAGGTCAAACTATTACTTACTTTACATGCTCAATACATACTCAGGGGACCCAATTTTAGAACAGTTATCTGAACTGGATGCAGCAAGTAACGTTTGATCACACCAATAGAAACACTATGAAATAACACTATACGCCAAGATGATGACGACAACAGAAATAACAATGTTTTCTACACATGGAATGCTCGCGGTGTGCCAGCATCTGTCCTAGGCCCTTAGTTCTCAGGTAATCCTCACAACCACCTTATTAGGTATGCATATGTTATTACCCCCTTTTTGCAAATGAGAAAACAAAGGTACAGAGAGGTTAAGTAATTTGCCCAGGATCAACAGCTAGTAAGTAGTAGAGCTGGGTGGTCTATCTCCGGAGCCTGCACATGCAACAATGTTGCTAACTCACTTATTAGAAATATCCTAGACCTGCACAATTAGTAGTTTTGGTACTCAGAGAATTTGAATAATGTAAAGTCAGTGGTTCTCAACTTTAGTTAGATATTAGAAAAACCGAGGAAATTAAAAAAAATACTAATGCCCTGATCCCACCTCAAAACCATTAAATCATAAGCTCTGGGGGTGGCCCCAGATATCAATATATTTTAAAAGTTACCTATCTACTATTTAAAAAAATTTAAAAAGTCCAGGCGCAGTGGCTCACACCTATAATCCCGGCACTTTGGGAAGCCAAGGTGGGTGGATCACGAGGGCAGGAGTTCAAGACTAGCCTGGCCAAGATGGCGAAACCCTATCTCTACTAAAAATACAAAAAAAAAAAAAAAAAAAAAAAAAAATTAGCCAGGCGTGGTGACTGGGGTCTGTAATCCCAGCTACTCGGAAGGCTGAGGCAGATAACTGCTTAAACCTGGGAGGCGGAGGTTGCTGTCAGCTGAGATCATGCCACTGCACTCCAGCCTGGGCGACAGAGTGAGCCTCCGTCTCAAAATAAATAAATAAATATAAATAGATAAATAAATAAATAAAAAGCTCCCCAGGTGGGTCTAATCTGCAGGCAGGTTTGGGAACCATGAATGAAGGCAGCTATGCAGGATTTAGGTTCCTAAGTTATTTAAGGGCCCTTCATTGCCTCCATTAGTTACCTGTTTTAAATCAAGAAATTAGTGTCTGTGTCATGTGGAATTCCAGCCATCAGGATGTACTGCAGGAAGCAAACTTAAAGTTATGCAATCTTAATGCTGGAAAAGATTCTGGAGATAATCCAGTTCTCCAGTACATCCACACCATCCCTGGTAGATGTTTACTCGCTGTCTGCCTAAATTCATGCCCCATTTCCTGGCAAGACTTACCTGTTTGTCAGTATTAGTATATGTTTAAAGATCTTCTACGGGTTGAGGAGGAGAAAAGAAATCTGTTTCATGCATGATAAACATATTGCTCCCTAACTGAGCAACCTGAATGCCAGAAAGCTTTTCTTTATATGAGCAGATATATGTCTCTGTATTTTCTATCCCTCTGCCCTCTGGAATAACACAGAACAGACTAACTCCTTCTTCAGACAACAGCTCTGCGCAGCTAGAAGCTGACCCTGCTCTCCTGTGAGCCTGCTCTTATTTAGAGGACCGACTGTCTCATTCCCCTGTGCTGCAGTACTCAGGTCAGCCTCCTCTGCCCACTCTCTGCTCCACTGCCTAGAAATGCTGTCAAGTCTGTCCCTTCTGAACTGACGTAATTAGTTTTAAAATTTAGATTTAGGACTTTACATGCGTTTTGTTACATTTCCTCTGGTGGGCTGTGTAGTGGAGAAGCAGCAAAGTGTATGACTAGAAAGAACTTGGGTTTTGGGATCTGTCCTGTTTGTGTTCAGATCTCCCCTCTGCTGGTTTTTTTTTTTTTTTTTTTTTTTTTTTGAGACGGAGTCTCGCTCTGTTGCCCAGGCTGGAGTGCAGTGGCACAATCTCGGCTCACTGCAAGCTCCGCCTCCCGGGTTCACGCCATTCTCCTGCCTCAGCCTCCTGAGTAGCTGGGACTACAGGCACCTGCCACCACCCCCGGCTAATTTTTTGTATTTTTAGTAGAGACGGGGTTTCACCGTGTTAGCCAGGATGGTCTCTATCTCCTGACCTCGTGATCCGCCCACCTCGGCCTCCAAAGTGCTGGGATTACAGGCGTGAGCCACCGTGCCCAGCCTCCCCTCTGCTGTTTACCTTGACTTCAGACTTGTATTCAATAAGAAAGAGGTAAGATATTTGTTAAATATTAAGTGATAAGTAAATGTTTGACAATGAAGATACCCTCATTCCTGACCACTCAATGTGCCTTCCCTGGACAAAACACAACATTTTCTTTCTTTTATTTCAGGTGTAACCTTACTTCTACCTGAGCTATCTCTATTAACTTTACTAAAGTAACTATCACAATTACTGTACTTATATATAGAGAGATAGGGCAGATAGATGGTGTGAATGTTTGAATACTTAAAGGTTGATCTGAAAGTGGGAAAAAATAAAAACTTTTTAACATTTTTGTGCTTGAATTTTCATTCCTAAAACACGAAACAAAAATGGACTGTTTGATCATGAAATTCTTCTGATTACAAATAGAAGTAATCACCAGGTTTTGAATGATTAACCTACATGGCAAATGGAAAACTTCACATCATGAAACAATTCAACTTGTGCTAAAATGAAAAGCTTAGAACTATAAATGAGCTATTTCTCTTCTTTCTCTCTCTTTTTTTTTTCCAGATCTTGCTCTGTGGTCCAGGCTGGAGCGCAGTGGCATGATCTTGGCTTACAACCTCCGCCTCCTGGGCTCGAGCGGTTCTCCTGCCTCAGCCTTCCAAGTTGCTGGGACTACAGGCATGTGCCACCACACCCAGCTAATTTTTGTATTTTTAGTGGAGACAGGGTTTCACCATGTTGCCCAGGTTGGTCTCAGACTAATGGACTCAAGTGATCGGCCTGCCTCCCAAAGTGCTGGGATTACAGGCATGAGCCACCAAGGCCAGCTATTTATCATATTTTCTATCTCAGTCCCTCTCACAGTGCTAGTTCAAGATGAAACACTAGATCCTTATAAAAGTATTAGATTTCACAGCTTTTATCAACGTTATAGCAAAGGTTTCAATCCCATATAACCATGATGTTCAACAGAAACATGACTCATTTAAAAGAAAAATCAACTCTATCTTGGAGGAGAAATGAAGGTCAAGAGTAAAAAAACTAACTAAGCTGACTTAGCAGGCAAGGAAATCATCCTTTTCAAACCTCAAAGTGGGGATGACTGAGAGAAACTGTCGTCTGGAGCCTGGGAAAAAAGGAAGTTGAACTCTTTCATAGATCTGCCATGAGGATGCTGA
The DNA here is from genome assembly GCF_000001405.40 of Homo sapiens. Taxonomy (NCBI): domain Eukaryota; kingdom Metazoa; phylum Chordata; class Mammalia; order Primates; family Hominidae; genus Homo; species Homo sapiens. The sequence goes on along the minus strand of NC_000011.10, from coordinate 122,921,358 downwards.
TTCCCTGACTTTTGTAAGTGTCTAAGAAATAAAGGGGACTTAGTTTAGTTAATTCAGGTTATTACTGTTGATACTGTTTGATTGACAATGATGGAATCTCTTACATAGCACTGGTGAAAAGTTTACAAATTAAAAATACAGTGTCCCACGCTTCCTATTCCAGAAAATGTAGGATATACATTATTTCCCTCCACAGGCTGTTTTGGTAGAACACAGTGGCTGAATCACCCCAGTGAGATCCCTGGGCAAGTAAAGCATACTTCTACATTATCTCTTTCAAAGTGGAATGGGACACAACCTCTGCCAGCTATTTTTTTTTTTTTGTGAACCATTCTATTAATACCAATCAAATCGAGAAAATGATCAAATGAAATTGCATTTTGAGCATCATAAGCTGTGTAATGTCTATTCTGTTAAATTGGGGCCTATAATTGCTTCTCTACTGAAAAGATACAACAAAGACAGCAATCATGGCTTGTCATTATCCCAGACTAGAAAACCGGCCTTTGCAGGGAGGACTTCAAAGGCTTGTGGTTCTCGAATTGCATTTGGCTGCTATTGTTGAAGCGCAGGCAATCTTGATGAGGTGTTTACACTGAGGTAAGGCGCAGAGCAGAGCGGCTGAGTGCCTGGGTCTAGAGCCATTAAAAAATTGTACATTATGTTCCTTGCTTTGAAGTGAGGGTTTGTAGGTAGGAAAGCAACTCAGATTGAGTACAGCTGAGCTAGATTGGGCTGCTACTTCTTGCTCAAAGAAACTCATCAGGTTCTTAGAGAATCAGACAGCACTACAAAAAAAGTTGATGCTTTACCAAGAGCTGTATGTGAGTCAGTGAATCCGCGTAAAGACACACTGAAACATGTTTAAATAAGGATGTTACCGTTAAGTTCTGCAATCACTGGAGGTTTTGCCTTTTTTCCTTTATATTCTGTTTTTAATACTGACCTTATGTTTAGATGTTGTGGGGAGCCCCACATTAATTTATTGGGTTCTTTGTTACTCTCATTCTTTGATAGTATTGACAACTAGCACATATCCAAATTAAATAGAGTTGATTTTTTAAGTAGTATTAGCTTACCATCATTCCAACACCTATTATTCAATTCCTTGCTTCCAGGCATAATACTGGATTCAGTGAGCATTTCTCCATTAACTTGGCTAAGGAGTGAGCTGAAGTATTTATTTCTTTACCCTATTTCTAATATACCTTGCTGTGTGTCGATTCACACCTGCTCACGCCAGCACTGCTGCTGCCTGTGTTTAGACACAGCCAGCAAAAGAGGTGGAGACACAATGATAGAAATTGTCTGCCAGTCTGCCATTGTGAGGCTGCAACCCTGATATTTAGCACAGCTGTTTCAATTATCCAAAGGTTTGTATTATTCAGCTGTTTAGAGGCAAAAGACATGAAATATTTTGTCTCTGCTGTTGGCCATAGTCTCCATTCCTATAGATTACCTCATAATGTATTTAGCATGCACATACATGTTCAGTGAGAATTGGGTGACACTGAAACGTTTTTTTTTATTTTTCATATTTTTAGTATAGACGGGGTTTCGCCATGTTAGCCAAGCTGGTCTTGAACTCCTGATCTCAGGTGATCCGCCCACCTCAGCCTCCCAAAGTGCTGGGATTACAGGCGTGAGCCGCCGTGCCTGGCCACGAAACTTTTGAATATATTTTTTTCTACATTCATTTTCAGCTTAAGATACTTGAACTTTAAAAAGCCCCAAGCTAATGGTCAGTCACCTACTTAAAAACCCTTCAATACTTTTCCATTACCCTCCATCTTCAAAGATTTATAAGGCCCTGTGGCCTCGGGTTCCTGTCTACTTCTTCAGCTGTGGCCCCTTGCTCCCTTCCTGCTGTACCTTTCAGTTTCGCTGATGCGCCAGGGGCACCATTGTCTCTAGGTCTTTGCATAGGCCATTCTTTGCCTGGAAATTCACTTGTTTAGGGAATTTCTTTGCCCCTTCACTTCTTTTTTTTTTTTTTTTTTTTTTTTGAGACAGAGTCTCTCTCTGTTGCCCAGGCTGGAGTGCAGTGGCATAATCTTGGCTCACTGCAACCTCCGCCTCCCAGGTTCAAGTGATTCTCCTGCCTCAGTACCCCGAGTAGCTGGGATTACAGGCGTGCACCACCATGCCTGGCTAATTTTTTGTAATTTTAGTAGAGACGGGGTTTCACCCTGTTAGCCAGGCTGGTCCCGAACTTCTGACCTCAAGTGATCCGCCACCTGAGCCTTCCAAAGTGCTGGGATTACAGGCGTGACCCACTGTGCCTGGCCCACTTCACTTATTCTGACCCATCCCATCCACTGTTCAGCCTTGGCTGAAATATAACTTTTTCCAGAAAGCCTTCCCTGCCACCCCAGAGGCAGCTACAATAGCTGCATCTGAGCGCATGGCCTTAGTACTCTGTACTTTGCTTTTGTAACAAGTATCACCCTGGTAACTGCTTTTTCTTCCCCCCTTCTGGACTGTAAATTCCAGGAAGGCAGGAAAAAGGACGGACCATGTGCAGGGCTGTCTTGCTGTATAGCTCTACGGGTACTACTCACCTGTGCTATGCTCTGAATGTGCCTGGCATCTAGATGGTCAATAAATACGACGGCATGAAAATATCAATCTGGGTTGCTCACTGAACTTGCATTTATATCAGAATACATATAATCTACTTGTTTATCTGGTTAGATGTGTGGTTTATTTTAAAGCCAGGTAGCCGGCTGTTGACAAAATAAGGTGGAAACTAGAACTTCATCTTCCATTCCACTCTCCCTTGTTCCCATCTTCAGTCCCTGAAATTTGCATTTGCTACTCCCTCTTCCAGAAATCCTCTTTCTCCAAATATTCGCATGGCGTGCCCTCTCACCTCCTCCATATCTTCTCAGGGAGACTCTGCCTCATGGCCCATTTAACGTTGTGATTTCCCAACACCTCAGCAATCCTTAGCAGTTCTGCCAGCCTTATTATTTGTCTCCTTACCTCCTTAAAATATAAAACTTATCATGCACCAATGCACTAATTTATCTATTTTGTCTGTTGCCCATCTCCTTCCTCAGGAGGCCTGGGATTTTTGTCTGTTTTTTTTCAGGGATGTATCCCAAGCACCTATGACAATGTCTGACATATAATCATCTCTCAATAAATGTATGCTAGGCTGGACACAGTGGCTCACACCTGTAATCCCAGCAGTTTGGGAGGCTGAGGCAGGCAGATCACTTGAAACCAGGAGTTCGAGACCAGCCTGGCCAATATGGCAAAACCCTGTCTCTACTAAAAATACAAAAATTAGCTGGGTGTGGTGGCTCATGCCTGTAATCCCAGCTACTTGGGAGACTGAGGCATGACAGTCGTTTGGACCCGGGAGGCAGAGGTTGCAGTGAGCTGAGATGGCGCCACTGCATTCCAACCTGGGTGACAGAGTGAGACTGTGTCTCCAAAATAAATAAATAAGTAAAATAAAATAAATAAATATATGCTAAATGAATAATGGCCATTTTTAAGAATGTGAAAGAGATTTTTAGGAATATCTCATATAACTTACAGAAAGACTGATTATCCAGCAATCTGAACTCTCCATAACTAACTAAGAATATGTAAGTGTGACCTCTGAATGGACACATTAGAGATAAAAACAAAAAAATCACAAAGCTCACACATTGCACTGAAATTGCTCCACTACTAAAATTCTTCAATGAATTCAGATGACTTAGAGGAAAGGCCTAACATTTTAACATAGGGGTTTTAAAATTTGAGCATGTATCAAAATCACTTGGAAGGCCTGTTAAAACACAGATTGCTGGACCTCACCCCAGAGTTTCTGACTCAGGAGGTCTGGCATGGGGCCCAAGAATTTCCACTTGTGTTAAGTTCCCAGGTGATGATGATGCTCCTGGTCCAAGGAACACAATATGAGAGCTTCTGCTTTAAAATGACATACAAGGGACTGCATGAAAGACGTCTGCCAATTTCTCTAACCTAAATATCCATATTCTCATCCTCACAATCTAGCCACATACAACTACAGCACTATCCACCTTCTCCTTAACTAACTCACTGGATGAAGTGACATTTTCTAGTCTTGAAGATATCCTGAGGCCATAGCTAAATGCTTACGGCTGCTAGGCTCTCTCTAGTACACCTTGGTACTTCTACTTCCACTTGTTGAGTTGTATGTTTACCAAGAGTCTTTTCCATTTGTTCCCAAACCTGTTTATTCCTATTGTACCTGTTGTTAAAATTAGGAAATGTATTTAAAGATTAGATAATCTGAAGAAATCTGAGCATGAATAGAGAGTTGTTATATTCATGAAAACTTAGTTAAATGATTTAGAATGACCCAATAAAGCAAATGGCAAAATAACATGTTGGGGGTGGGGGGAACTATAAAAGATTAGGGGAAGCATTCACAAAAACCTAGCGATTATGGCCAGGTGCAGTAGCTCATGCCTGTATCTCAGCACTTTGGGAGGCTGACGTGGGAGCATCACTTGAGGCCAGGAGTTTGAAAGCAGCCGGGCGAAACCCTATCTCTACTAAAAATACAAAATTTAGCTGGGCGTCATGGCAGGCGCCTGTAATCCCAGCTACTCGGTGGCTGAGCCATGAGAATTACTTGAACCTGGGAGGTGGAGGCTGCAGTGAGCCAAGATCATGCCACGGCGCTCTAGCCTGGTTGACAGAGGGAGACTACATCTCAAAAACAAACAACAACAACAAAAAACAAACAACAAAAAACAAAAAACCAAAACACACCTAGAAATTATGTTCTTAAATTGTTTCTTAAGGTTTTTTAAGTTTGTACTTTGCTATCAAGAAATCAAAACTGCAAATCATAGATGCTCTCAAACTGATGCAAGAAAAACAATGAAACTCTAACCAATAGAATCTGCACTGGTAGAAAAGACCTTGGCCCCTTGGTAAAAAAACTGGTGAATTAGTGTATATTTATATACGTTAAGTGAAAGTCAAGTAATTACGGTATATAGTTATCATTTTTCATACCTGCTTTAACCAATTTAAAACAAAATTGTATTAATATATAATGTTTGTACATATTTATGGGGTATATGTGATATTTTGTTATATGTACAGAATGTGTATTGAACAAGATATGTGGGGTATCCATCACCTCGAGTATTTATCATTTCTTTGTGTTGGGAACATCTCAAATGCTCTCTGCTAGCTATTTTGAAATATACAACACATTTTTACTAACTACAGTCACCTAACTTTGCTATGGAATATTAGAATTTATTCATTCTATCTAACTGTATGTTTTTACCAACTGACCAACCTCTCTTCATCTTCCCTACCCCCGAGACCCTTCCCAGCCTCTGGTAACTATCATTCTGCCTTTTACCTCCATGAAATCTTTGATTTAATTGACCAACTACCAGTTCTTGACCAGCAGTATAGAAGTTCTTTCTGTACTGACAGCTTTCTACTTAGTGTTCTTTCACGACTTCATGCCATTGCCCCTGCCCCCTTTGCCTGCAGTGCCCTAACTACCCACTTCCACCTGTTAACTTCTTCTTTTTAGGGCTGGGTGCTGTGGCTCACACCTGTAATCCCATCACTTCGGGAGGCTGAGGCGGGTGGATCACTTGAAGTCAGGAGTTCAAGACCAGCCTGGCCAACATGGTGAAACCCCTGCCTCTACTAAAAATATGAAACTTAGCCAGGCATGGTGGCGGGTACCTCTAATCCCAGCTACTTGGGAGGCTGACGCAGGAGAATCGCTTGAACCCAGGAGGCAGAGGTTGCAGTGAACTGAGATGGTGCCACTGCACTCCAGCCTGGATGACAGGGCGAGACTCTGTCTCAAAAAACACAAACAAAAATAAAAACAAAAAAAATACCCTTTTTCATTTTAAAGAATGAGTTCCATGATTGCCTCTTGTGTGAGGCCCCCTCTGACTTCCCTGGACAGTCAGGCACCTTTTCTTCCGGGTTTCTTGGGGACCTTATCTGATACTAGCATAGCAGTTTTCACTTGGTATTGACTGTTTACATGTCTGCTTCCCATTCTGCCATAAGCTCCTTAAGAGCAGATACAGACAGCAGCAGAAAATGACCGCGGGCTCATAGCAGTCTGGGTCATTTAACAAAGAGGCAAAGAAGCGATCACATTGCCATAGCTTTTTACTTTACTACAGAACGGTGCAATATGACCTGTGTAAGTCAGCATAGAATTATCAGGTATGCCAGGTACATTCTGAAAACTATCCTTAAAAATGATAGAAATTTATGTTAAATTTCTGGTTTTCAAAGGGGCATGCTTTGGTTATGTGGAAAATTTTTTTTTCTTATGGATCCCTCTTCAATAATGTCAAATTAATGAAGTGTCACTCTATAGATCATACAAATTGGTAGTTTAAGCAGCTAAGTGTTGAACAGTGCACACAAGAAAGAGGCCTTAAAAATGGCTCGTATTGAAAAAAATCATAAAGTTCAACTGAAATTATGCTGTCATAAGTAAGTGCTCTTGTAGTAATAGCAGAGGGCAAAATAAGAAAATGTATCAATCGATGAACATCTATAGAGTTCCTACTCTGTAGAAGAATAATTCTTACAAGTATAATAGGATAGGTGGGACTCAAAAGCACCACCAGGCCGGGTGTGGTGGCTCACACCTGTAATCCAAGCACTTTGGGAGGCTGAGGCGGGCAGATCATGAGGTCAGGAGTTCGAGACCAGCCTGACCAACATGGTGAACCCTCATCTCTACTAAAAATAGAAAAATTAGCCGGGCGTGGTGGTAGACGCCTATAATCCCAGCTACTCAGGAGGCTGAGGCAGGAGAATCGCTTGAACCAGGGAAGCGGAAGTTGCAGTGAGCGGAGATCGCATCACTGCACTCCAGCCTGGGCTACAGAGCGAGACTCTGTCTCAAAAAAACAAACAAAAAAAACAAAAAAACAAAACAAAACAAAAACACCACCCATCTGAAGAATCCTATAAGAAGATAATTCTATGTTTCTAACCAAATATAATTACAAAAAAATGACCATAACTTAAATAAAGGTAAAGCTTAATCTTATAGACAACCAAAAGTTTCACTAAATTTAAAACTATGAAAAAGAGCAATATATCCTTTAGGTGGCAACCTTCCACATTAGGAGACGTAAATTTAAACCAAACATTCAATAATAAATATAACTTATATTTATATAAGGCTGTAAGATTATAAAAAGCTTTCACATTGCATATCTCATTTGATCATCTCAATAATTCTGAGTCTGTGATATAAGGCAAACATTTGTAATTTTACTTTAATGAGGAAGAAGAAGACTCAGTAAGAGTTTGTGATTTGCCAAAATAATAAATGGCTCCAAATGGGACTCAAATCAGGTCTTTTGACTTCAAATTCCAGTGTTTAACAGCACAAGTTCTTGTTAATCCCCCTCCGCTTTTTTATTTTTTCATTTTGAAAACAATGAAATTTTGAACCAAAGGAAAAGTATTTAAAAATTACATTTCTTCATCAAATATTTAGCTAGTGCTTGCTGTATGCCAGGATCTGGGAATTCAAAGATGAACAAGTTCATGATCTTAAGGAGTAGACAGTCATCTTTACATGATGCAGACAGTGCAGTGTGGGGTTACGGGTTCTGCAGGAGATGTTCAGGAATGAGGGAGGTACTGGAAGGAGGATCTTCAGAAAGCCTTTACAAAGGCAGAGACATATGAGCTGAATCTCAAAAGGAGGATAAGGTTTTCCTAAGCAAACAAGCCAGGGCAAGAGTAGCCCATGAGCATGAACAAGGAAGGGGCTAGAGGAAATGCCGGGTCTGGGCTCTGTGAGTTCCTGGAGTATGGCCAGGCATTTGACACAAGTAGGGATTGATGAAGGATGAGGCTACAGGAGCAGGAAGGAGCCAGGTCAGGAAGGGCCTTTCGTACCACTCAGAGTTTGAGTTTTATTTTGAAGGTAACATGGCGTCACATTAAGCAATGTTGAAAGAATTACCCTATGAAATTGTACTTCAAAACTAAAGTACCAAATACATGATCCCGAGTTATTAATAAATTCCTTATTTTAAAGTGTAAATATTTGAAACAGTATCTGAGACCACATGCAATTGTTAAATACTGTCAACTAGTTGCATACAAGATTGTAGCGTTCTGTAATCCCTAGGACAGTGTTTGATTGACCGGGGACCCTCAAGAGAGCATGGCGAGTGTGGGGTGTGCCTGGATAGGCCCCCTTTGCAGGCAGTCTTTTGAGAGTCTCACCATCGAATGGCCTCCTAGGGCGTGTGAACGTTATTGTTTTGCCTACACTTTGTTCTTACTCTGTCTGAAGTTATATCTCTTTCATTTTGAGGCAATGCAGCCTTAAAAAAAGAGAGAGCTGGTTAGAAGGGCCTCTTCCCTGGGTGGAATCTTCTCCCTGGTGTAAGGAGTGCCTAGTGGTAACGATAGCTTCTCTTCACTGAGTGTCTGCCCCGAGTCCGTAGCTTGGTATAAATTCTTCAAATAGCCCTCCGAAGCAGAAATATATATATATGATATATATTTATATTCCTTGTTTGCTTCCTCCATATATAGATGAGGAAGGTGAGGTGAGGTTTATTTTTATTTATTCTTAATCTTAATTCTTTTCTCTTTTTTTGGGACAGAGTCTTACTCTGTTATCCAGGATGGAGTGCAGTGGTGAGATCCACTCACTGCAGCCTCGGCCTCCCGGCTCAAGTGATCCTTCTGTCTCAGCCTCTGGAGTAGCTGGGACTACAGGCGTGCCCCATCATGGCCAGCTAACTTTTGCATTTTTTGGTGGAGACGAGGTTGAGCTAATACGGGCTATGCTGAAGAGCCAGGATTTAATCCATGATTGACTCTCAAATCAGTATTTTGTTTTGGTTTTAGTTTTTCTCCAATATTTCGTTGTTCCCTAGCAAAAATGCTGCTACCAGGGATGGGGCCAACCAAAGCTCTTCCTCTAGATCTTGCATACTTTTCTCTTTCTTATCCATTCGCACCTCCACTTGAATGATACGTCCTCAGAGAGACCTTCCCCAAGCACCTGGCTAGACATCCCAGTTTAACCTTTTTTTTTTTTTTTTTGAGATGGAGTCTCACTCTGTCACCTAGGCTGGAGTGCAGTGGCGAGATCTCGGCTCACTGCAACCTCCGCCTCCCAGGTTCAAGTGATTCTCCTGCCTCAGCCTCTTGAGTAGGTGGGATTACAGGTGCGCACCACGAGGCCCAGCTAAGTTTTGTATTTTTAGTATAGACGGGGTTTCACCATGTTGTCCAGGCTGGTCTCCAACTCCTGACTTCAGGTGATCCGCCCACCCCAGCCTCCCAAAGTGCTGGGATTACAGGCATGAGCCACCATGCCCAACCCCCAGTTTACTTATTAAAGTCATCACTTTATTAAATAAAGGACTTTATTCTCTCTCATTACTTTGTCTCTTTTTTTTTTTTTTTTTTTTTTTTTTTTTTGAGACAGAGTTTCGCTCTTCTTGCCCTGGCTGGAGTGTAATGGCGCAATCTCAGTTCACCATAACCTCCACCTCCCGGGTTCAAGCGTATCTCCTGCCTCAGCCTCCTGAGTAGCTGGGATGACAGTCATGCACCACCACGCTCAGCTAATTTTGTATTTTTAGTAGAGATGGGGTTTCTCCATGTTGGTCAGGCTGGTCTCGAACTTCTGACCTCAGGTGATCTGCCTGCCTTGGCCTCCCAAAGTGCTAGGGTTATAGGAGTGAGCCACCACGCTCAGTCTCATCACTTTCTTAAATACAGTTTATTCAGTCTCTTTTGAGGTATTATCAGTATCTGAAATTATTTTGTTACATGGTTCTTATCTTTGCCGTATGACTGGAATGTAAACTCCTTCAAGATAGGTGCTCTGCCTCTCTTGTTTTCTGTTAATATCCCAGCATTGAGAGGAGTACCTCATATTTAATACATATTTGGTGCTCAATAAATATCTGTTGGCTGACTGACCTGCTGTCTCAGCAACAGCCACAAAGATGTGTTAATTGAAGGTAGGACTGTGAACTGTTTGTGACTTTATATTGTCTTGACTATAGGCCATTCAATAACCATATCACATTTGTAAACTATCTGTAATTTCTTTCCAAGAAATTACAAGGAAAAAGTCAAATAACATGTATAGAGCATTTCTAACTCTTTTCTGAACCCATACTAAATTTCACCTTCATCAGTCTTTAAAGTAACATTAGAATCAAGATAGAAAGGTAGTTGATTTTTCAAAACACAGTTTCCTTTAACGGTGGATTACAAATGGACTCAAAGTGGAATGAGTTTCAGACAAATACTTTAGGCTAGTGAACAAATCATGAATAAAAGTAAGAACTGATTATTCACCAGCAAAGTTACTGCCTGACCGTGATACTTAGGTGCCCTCTAGTGTGTGTTGGTTTTTACATCGGTTCCTCGCTTCACACATCATGTGATTAAGATTTTGTCATGTATTCAAAGGTGATTTTTCCAATGTATGTTAATGTACAATCAGCAGATCTATGCAAAATGGCAAAAAGACTATAGAACAATTGACTTTAAAAATCAATAGTTCTACCCTAAGCCATTAATTACAAGCATAAAATGCAATTTAGGAGGTTAGCAATCAGGGGTGTGAAGTTATAAGGGTTACTACAAAATTTATACTATAAATGTCTCCTCCTATTTTTGTTGCTATTTTTCCATTTTAATTTTTAAAAGATAATACATAAGTATGGTTCAAAATTAAGAGATTTGAAAAGGTACACAGTAAAAAGTTGTGCTCCCGCCCATTCCCCCTCCACCTCTTGCAATTAACTGCTTTTGTAGCCGTCCACAATTTCTTATGCGTGCCATGAAAATACAATATATATTTTTATTCCTTTCCACTGTTTTTTGGTTTTTTTTTTTGGAGACAAGAATCTCACTCTGTCGCCCAGGCTGGAGTGCAGTGGTGCGATCTTGGCTCACGGAAACCCTGCCTCCCGAGCTCAGACAATTCTCATGGGCTTCCCGAGTAGCTGGGATTAGAGGCACCCGTCACGATGCCCGGCTAATTTTTGTATTTTTTAGTAGAGACAGGGTTTCACATGTTGGTCAGGCGGGTCTCAAACTTGTGACCTCAAGTGATCCACCTGCCTTGGCCTCCCAAAGTCCTGGGATTACAGGCATGAGCCACCACACCTGGCCCCTCTCCACTTTTAACATACTGCACCTTGAATTTCTTTCTTAATAAGAAATCCTGGTAAGTTATCCCTCATAGTTCATGGAAAGTGTCCTTATTTTTTTTTTAACAGCTGCAGTGTACTCTACCGTATGGATGTACCATAACTTATTTACTCCCCAAATGACAGATATTTGGGTGGCTTCCAATCTTTTGCTATTACAAATAAGGCTGAAATGAACAATTTTGTACAGATGTGATTTCAAAACTGCACACGAATATCTAGGATAAATTACTAGGTGCAAAATGTGTTGGGTCAAATAAAAATAATGTCAAACACTTTTATACTTATATGTATACCTATATACTTGCTATGGGCCAGTCACTGATCTTAGCACGCTCTATACATTTATTTATTTATTTATTTAATTTATTTTTTTGAGATGGAGTCTTGCTCTGTCACCCAGGCTGGAGTGCAGTGGCGCAATCTTGGCTCACTGCAACCTCTGCCTCCTGGGTTCAAATGATTCTCCTGCCTTGGCCTCCCAAGTAGGTGGGATTACAGGCACACACCACCATGCTCGGCTAATTTTTGTATTTTTAATATACATGGGTTTCACAATGTTGGCCAGACTGGTCACAAACTCCTGACCTCAAATGATCTGCCCGCTTTGGCCTCCCAAAATGCTGAGTTTACGTGGCCTAACTCATTTATTTAATCTTCTTAATAAGCCTATGAGGAAAGTCCTATTACTGTCCTCATTTTAAAGATGAGGAGACTGAGGCACAGAGAGGTTTAGTAATTTGCAGAGCGTCACCGAGCTGGCAGGTGGCAGTGCCAACCAACCTGGCTCCAGAGTCCATACTCTTGGCCATTATGTTTTACTTTCTCAAGGAGTATATTTGTGTTTTAAGTAGATATTAACAAATTGTCCTCCGTACTGGTTATACTAATTTATTCTCTCACCAGCTTGACCGTATTTTTTGCCCACAGGGTCATTAAACTTAAAGAATTTTGATAGTTTAATTGTAGTTGAAAAATGGAATCCCGTTATAGTATTAATTTGCATTTCTCTAATAGGCTGAGACTGAGTAACCTCTTATATGTGTAATAGCCATATATATTAACTTTTCTTTGTTAACTTTTATTAACAAGGAAAAATACACAAAAAGTATAAATGAACAATCTGTGAATAAGCAAGGATAATAAAGAAAGCTCTGGAAATTAAGAGTAATGAGAGGAACAGTCTGTGAATTGTTCATTTATACTTTTTGTGTATTCTTCCTTGGAATTTGGTCTTTTTCTTACTGATTTCTAGGATTTCCTGAAATCTCTACCAAAAAATACAAAAATTAGCCAGGTGTGGTGGCGGGTGCCTGTAATCCCAGCTGCTCTGGAGGCTGAGGCAGGAGAATCGCTTGAACCTGGGAGGCGGAGGCTGCAATGAGCTGAGATAGTGCCACTGCACTTCAGCCTGGGCGACAGAGTGAGACCCTGTCTCAAACAAAAACCAAAACAAAACAAACCAAGAGCCTCCACACTCGGTACCCAAGCTTCCCGCCTCCTACCCACAAATCAACTGAATAATCCTATCAGCCATGGAAAACATCAATGCTCTGTAGATAATGACTTATTCAACTCTGACTTTTAGATTTTGATAAAACCTTTGTGTTCTCTGTTCTAGCCCCTTGCTCATCAAAGTGAGGTCCATGGACCACCAGCCTTGCATCTCCTGGGAACTTGTCAGAAATGCACACTCTGCATCTCACCCCAGACCTACTGGATCACAATCTGTATTTTCACAAGCATCTAAAGTGGTTCATAAGCACTTTAAATTGTGAGAAGGAAAAGATCAGTGGTTCTCAAAGTGTAGGCCTGATGGCAGCAGCAGTAACACCTTGGGCCATGCAGAAAATTCAGATCCCTGGGTCCCACCCTACACCTGCTGAATCAGAAATTTGGGGGGATGAGGTCCATCAAGCTTTTTAAATAAGCCCTCCAGATGATTCTGGTGCACTCTAATGTTTAGGAACCACTGCTCTAGATCGGTGATTCTCAATCTTGGCTAAATATTAGAATCACCTGGGGAGTGTGGCGGACTCCCCATATTTAGAGTGCAACCCAGATGAGCTGAACTGGAATTTCAGTGGTTCATCTAGGGAATCAATACTTTTTAAATTCTCCAGTTGATTCCAATGTGAAACCAAGGCTGAGAACCACTGCTCTATTCTGGAACAATGCTTCTCAAACCTGGCTTCACATTAGAAATACTCAAGGAGTTTTATAAAAAAAACAAAAAAGAAAAACTGTTGCTCAGGTTCTCAGAGATTTAAATTGGTCTGAGTGAAGCAAAAAAAAAAATCACCTTTTTTTTTTTTTTTTTTGAGATAGAGTTTCACTCTTGTTGCCCAGGCTGGAGTGCAATGGTGCAATCTCGGCTCACCGCCCTGGGTTCGAGCGATTCTCCTGCCTCAGCCTCCCGAGTAGCTGGGATTACAGGCATGCTCCACCATGCCAGGCTAATTTCGTATTTTTAATAGAGACGGGTTTTCTCCATGATGGTCAGGCTGGTCTCGAACTCCCAACTTCAGGGGATCTGCCCGCCTTGGCCTCCCAAAGTGCTAGGATTACAGGCGTGAGCCACCGCACCTGGTCAAAAAAATCACTTTTAAAAATTCTCAGGTGATTCTGATATCTAGCCAGGTTAGCAAACTACTGCTCTAGAAATGCCATTCCCCCCATATAAACTTCAAGTTATAATAAAGAGTAGACAGTTTGGAGGTGATGGAAGAGATACATTTTTAATTTCCCTTATGTTTACTCAGCCTTTTCAGTGTCTTAGGCTAGTGACTATGAAGATTAAAAATGAGCACAAACCCTAGCTCCTACCCATAGGGAACATATAATCTGTATCGGGAGGAGAGACACACACACGTCTACATATGAATAACGGTTCAAAAAAAAAAACACATCAGTTTATGCTACTGACTAGAATTCACTAAGTTACACATATCATTATGTCACTGTTAGGTCAAACTCATCTCTATTCTTTTTAAAGTAATAGGAAGCCAGGTCAGTGATGCACACCTATAGTCCCAGTCACTCAGGTGTCTAAGGCAAGAGGATCACTTGAGCCCAGGAGTTCAAGGCTGCAGTGTGTGATGATCGAATCCTGCATAGCAACTACACTCCAGCAACATAGCAAGATCCCGTCTCAAAAAAATAATAGGAGTCATCTCTTAAAAAAATAATAGGAGCAAGAAGAAGTACATATATATTGGAAAATGGTAAAGGAACAATTTTAAATACAATTAGCCTTTAGATATTTGAACTTGGAGAAAGTGGTGGGAAAAGTCAATGGCCCCTTCAGAGAGTAATATAAGAGCTTAAAGAAAGTTTCCTCCATGGCACAAAGAAAAGAAAATTCAGCTGTGGAATCACTGACAATCAATACACCCTAAAATTGTTTAGTAAATTAACTTATAACTACTAACAAAAATAGCGATTAATAAATCAACAATTAAAGAGTTCATAATAAATATTTTTCCCTTTTATTATTGGAAATAAAACTATTTCTTTTGACCTCAGACTAAAAAGAGAGTTTCTGAATGAAGAAAACCCCCAAATGTTCTCCTTCCGGATCAGCTTCTTTTGAGAACACTTTTTAATAATGAAAAATATTGTCCTAGTTTGAGATAAATTACTGGCTATAAACATTTTTCAGGCTGGGCATGGTGACTCATGCCTGTAATCCCAACACTTTGGGAGCCAAGGTAGAAGGATCATTTGAGCCCAGGAGTCTGAGGTCAGCCTGGGCAACATGATGAGACCCCCATCTCTATAAAGACATTTAAAAACAAATTTAGCTAGATGTGGTGGTGCATGCCTGTGTTCCCAGCTACTCGCCGAGGCTGAGGCAGGAGGATTGCTTGAGCCCAGGAGGTCGAGGTTATAGTGAGCTATGATCGTGCGATTGCATTCCAGCTTGGGTGAAAGGCCAGACCCTGACTCAAAAGAAATTTTTTTTCAAAGATATTGGACTGTTGAATTTATTTTCATTTTTAAATGAGCAATCAAGCAAAATTCAAAATTTCATGTAAGTTTTATGGAACAAGAGTATACTAACATCTAAAATTGGGTAAAAATACTAAAAACTGCTTGAATTCACCTAGTTTTTTAAATACTTCAGCTATATATACTACACCTATTTCATTTAATTATTAGTTACAGTGGCAAAGATGTGACATAATTCTTTTTTTGAATTTTATTTATTTTTATTTTTAAATTAAAATATTTTTAGGCCCAAATTTCACCAGACATCATTCTTTTTTTATTTTTATTTATTTATTTTGAGACAGAGTCTCACTCTATAACCCAGGCTGGAGTGTAGTGGCGCCATCTCGGCTCACTGCAACCTCTGCCTCCCGTGTTCAAGCGATTCTTGTGCCTCAGCCTCCCGAGTAGCTGGGATTACAGGTGTGCATCACCACACCCGGCTAATTTTTGTATTTTTGGTATAGATGGGTTTCACCATGTTGGCCAGGCTGGTCTTGAACTCGTGGCCTCAAGTGATCCTCCCACCTCGACCTCCCAAAGTGCTGGGATTACAGGCATGAGCCAACGTGCCACCAGACGTAATTCTTTAAGACAAAAAAGGGAGTCTCTGAAGAAAAGCCACAAATGTTCATCCACCTCATCTATTTTGTTCCATTAGAAAATGCTTAGAGGTTAGAACAGGTTAGAATATGTTAAAAAAAAATACCAGTTGGGATTTGGAATAGGTCTAAGGGCAACCACATTTAACATAATAACCTCTCCTTTGTATTTGAAAATGACCTCACATTAGCAGGTGATAAATCTCAAGCTCTTTCCAGTAAGAGTGGTGGACTCTACCATTCTAACCCCACTCTTGTCCTGTATCCCTGGACATGTCCATAGGAGGTGGGCAGGAAGGTCTTTATGTGCACCTGTGAAATGGAACTAAGTTTACTGGCTCCAAAAGGTTTTGAATCCATCACGTGGGAGAGAATTTACTCTCAAAATGACCTGATGAGGAAGAGAAGGCATTTATTACTGTCCCAATTTTACAAATAAAGAGACTAATGTTTAATCATATCATATCATTTACACAGGACAATAACAAATGATGTGATTTTCAATGGGGTTTATAGAAACATCTGAAGATTGAAAAAAAAAACCCACCTTATGTTGTACCCTACCCACTCCCCGACCGCCCAATATGTATACAGAATCTGAGTTGAGAATCGCTTCTGTATGTGAGCTGGGGCATGTTCCATGTCACCCACAATGTGCTGGGGCATTTAACAGGGTTGAAAACCTCTGCTATGGTGGTAACAAAGGAAATCAACACAGGGAATCAAATGCTTAAGTTCTATATTTTATCATTTGGAAAACACAGTTTTAAAAAGTTCCAGATTTCTTTGAATGGAGAATTTCGGATATAATAACTGACATAACAATGGACTTATAATTACTTATAGCAATTATAGCAATTTTGGATATAATAATTGACTTATAGCAATAATCGACTTGTAGCAATTACACTGTAAACCATTGGTGGCTTTTATTTTGGTCATAAGAATTTATGGAATAAACATAAACATACAGGATAGCCTATGGAAGCGTTTGTTTTACCCAGCTAGGTGGCTGCTATGACATCGTCATCTTAAAGGAAGCGATATCTAGACACTGCAAACAAACGCAAATTCTGGTTTAATGTTTCAGAAGACATTTTAAAGTAGCCACTACGTACCTGTTCTGGATGAGATTCCCCTCTTTTTTTATTGTGAAGTTGAAGATAAGAGTCCGTTTTCGGGGTGGGTAATCCCAAAGTGAGCTTGTTTTTTTCCACAAAATGTTGTTTGGATTTCCTTCGCCGAGGGCCACGTGATCCCGGCAGGAAAACCTCGTTATGTGAACTTGAGCTCTTCACGTACGGAGAAAGGCTGCTCGACTTCTCCTCCAGGTCACTGTCGCTCAGCTCTGAAAACGGCTTGCTGCGACGGGCACCATGCTCATAGTTTGGGCTTAAAAATTCACTACCAAGTAAAGAAGCTGCACTCTGTGGACTCTCTTTCTGCTCGCCTTTTCCCCCGGAGAGTTCCATTGACGTCTCCTGGGAAGGGTAGAGGGGAGCCAAAGGCAGATTTTCTAAAGAGCTGTCCGTGGACTCCGGCAACGCTTCCACAGACAGCAGCTGCCCTTCCTCCTTCTTACTCTTCCAGTTCGGGTCATAGCGGAGGTCTGAATATTTGTCTTCTATTGGTTGTTGCCTGCCCAAAGCAGAAGAGAAATGCCAAGTCCTTAGTTGAAATAAATTCACTCATTATAGTCAGTTGAACATTTTATTTGAAATCAATCTCAGTCTTTCTCCTATAGTTTTCCTTTTATTATCTGTATGCTAAACACAAATCCCAGCAGCGTGCAGTGGCTCATACCTGTAATCCCAACACTTTGGGAAGCCGAGGCAGGAGGATCGCTTGAAGCAAGGAGTTCAAAACCAGCCTGGGCAACACAGCGAGACTCCATCTTTACAACAAATTTTTTTAAAAAATTAGCTGGGTATGGTGTCGTACCTGTAGTCCCAGCTACTCAGGAGGCTGAGGTGGGAGGATTGCTTGAGCTAAGGAGTTAGAGGCTACAGTGAGCTATAATCACGACACTGCACTCCAGCCTGGGAGACAGCGTGAGACCTTGTCTCTTAAAATAAATAAATTAATTGATTAATAAACATAAAGACAGATCCCAGGCCCAAATTAGACCCACACACTACACATAAGGGCGAAAGGCCTTAATTATCCAAGTTCATTGAAATATGGAATAAAAATGGGGGACAATTAATTTCTAAGTGTCAGAAGACAACTGAAAAACAGATATCTATAATGTTAAACAAATAATCACTGTGGTTCAATGAATGCGATTACTTACGTACACCAACAATGACTCAGTATTTCAGCTGGTGAAGATAAAACTATGTTTCACACTTTGGCTGGTAATACATTTCATACACTGACTAACAATGTTCTGGTCAAGGACAAGCCACATATACGACTGAGGTCCTACAATATTGTAATGGAGCTGAAAAATTCCTGTCACCTAGTGACGCTGTAGCCCTTGGAATATCATAGTACAATGTGTTGCTCATATGTTTGTGGTGCTGCTGGTATAAACAAACCTACTGCACTGCCAGTCCTATAAAAGTATAGCACACACAATTATATACAGCATATAATCCTTGATAATGATAATCAACAACTATGTTACTGACTTTTGTATTTACTGTATGATATGGTTTGGATCTGTGTCCCCACCCAAATCTCATGTCGAACTGTAATCCCCAATGTTGGAGGTAGGGCCTGGTGGGAGGTGACTGGATCATGGGGACAGAGTTCTCATGAATGGCTTAGCAAGCACCATCCACCCTTGGTTCTGAGTAGTGAGTGAGTTATGGTGAGATCTGGTTGTTCAAGAGTGCATAGCAGCTCCCCACCCTCTCTCTTGGTCCTGCTCTGCCGTAAGAGGCCTGCTCCCCCTTTGCCTTTGCCATGATTGTAAGTTTCCCGAGGTTTCCTTAGAAACCAAGCAGATGCCAGAATCATACTTCCTGTAGAGCCTGTGGAACTGTGAGCCAGTTACACTTCTTTTTTTAAATAAATTACCCAGTCTCACTCAGGTATTTCTTTGCAGCAATGCAAGAACAGGCTAATACACTATACTATACTTTTTTTTTTTTTGAGACAAGTCTTGCTCTATCACTCAGGCTGGAGTGCAGTGGTGTGACCTTGGCTCACTGCAACCTCTGCCTCCCAGGTTCAAGTGATTCTCATGCCTCAGCCTCCTGAGTACCTGGGATTACAAGTATGTTTTAACATGTCGGGCTAATTTTTTTTTTTTTTAATTTTTAGTAGAGACAGGGTTTTGCCATGTTGGCCAGGCTGATCTTGACCTCCTGGCCTCCTGTGATCCACTCGCTTCAGCCTCCCAAAGTTTCGGGATTACAGGTGCAAGCCACCGTCCCCAGCCACTACACCATATTTTTTATCATTATTTTAGAGTGCACTCCTACTTATTTTTTAAAAAGTTAACTGTGAAACAGCCTCAGGCAGGTCCTTCAGGAGGGATTCCAGAAGAAGGCCTTGTTATCCTAGGAGATGACAGCTCCGTATGTGTTACTGCCCCTGAAGACCTTCCAGTGAGACACGGTATGGACGTGGAAGACAGTGATATTGATGATTCGAACCCTGTGTGGGCCTAGACTAATGTGTGTGTTTGTGTCTCAGTTTTTAACAAAAAAGTTTAAAAAATAAAAATTTTTTTTTTTTTTTGAGACAGAGTCTCGCTCTTTCGCCCAGGCTGGAGTGCAGTGGCGCTATCTTGGTTAACTGCAAGCTCTGCCTCCTGGGTTCACACCATTCTCCTGCCTCAGCCTCCCGAGTAGCTGGGACTACAGGCACCTGCCACCGCGCCTGGCTAATTTTTTGTATTTTTAGTAGAGACAGGGTTTCACCGTGTTAGCCAGGATGGTCTCGATCTCCTGACCTCGTGATCTGCCTGCCTCAGCCTCCAAAAGTGCTGGGATTACAGGCGTGAGCCACCGCGCCCAGCCAAAAAAAATTTTTTAATAGAAAAAAGCTTACTTACAGAATAAGGATATAAAGAATTTTTATACAGCTGTACAATGTATTTGTGTTTTAAGCTGTGTTATTACAAAAGAGTTAAAAAGTAAAAAAAAAAATTAAAAGTATATAAAATAAAAAAGTTACAGTAGCTAAGGTCAATTTATTAATGAAGAAATATTTTTAAAAATAAATTTAGAGGAGTCTAAGTGTACAGTGTTTCTGAAGTCCACAGTAGCTTACAGTAATGTCCTAGGCCTTGAAATTCACTCCTGCTCACGCACTGCCTCACCCAGAGAAATGTACAGTCCTACAACCTCCATTCATGGTGAGTGCCTATATAGGTGTACCATTTAAAAAACTTTTATGCTTTATTTTTACTGTACCTTTTCTATGTTTAGATGCACAAATACTTACCAAGGTATTATAATTCCCTACAGTGTTTAGTATAGTAACACATTGCACAAATTGTGTGTAGTAGGCTGTACTATCTAGGTTTGTGTAAGTGCACTCTATGATGTTCCCACAATGATGAAATCACCTAACCAAAAATTTCTCAGAACGTACCCCTGTCATCAGGCAATGCATGACTGTATAGACATCTGCTGTTTAGAAAGAGAACTGTGAATTGTTGCCTAGACAACATTTGCTTCAGACTGCTCCTTTTTGGGGGAAAGCACGGTTTTATCTTGACTGCATACCTACGTAGATTCATTCTTCTTTTCAGTGATTTTGCTTTTCACTTCATTTTGTCTTTGTAGCGTGTATCTAATGTACTACAGAAAGATCCCCGAGGCTTCAAATCAGACCAGATCACGGCTCACTGAAAGGTTCATAGCCTCTTGGCTGTCAGCTATGCACACGAAGCTCAGTCGATAGGTCAGAATGTACTTGACACTGCAGGAGGGGCCTATTTGAATAAAAGGTTAAGCATACGGTCCTGCCTGAGAAAAACAAACTAACCTATAATCAGTTCATGTGACCCAATATAAAGTCTCCCTTTTCCCCATGACAATCTCAATTTGTAAAGCACCCCCAGTCTTAACCAAAAAAAAAAAAAAAAAAAAAAAGCTGGTAGTATGGCATATTTAATGGCCTCTTTGATCTTCAAAAGCTAAATGGGAGAGATTTTCCTTCCTTGAGTACAGTAGATGCAACCCTCTAATCAAAAAGAAAATGTAAATCACCCGGGCTTTTTATGCTATTTGATATTCCCGTTTACAGAGGACATAATTGTATGCTGGGTAAACAAACTAATGGTCCCCCTAATGTTAATTTACTTTTCTTAATGTGGACCCAGGTTTCTTTGATTTGATGTAAAGCAACAACTGGAGCAAAAAGCCAAAACTGTCACGCCTTGCTGAATTGTCATTTTGAATTTTTTAGTTCACATATTATGATGAGGAACTTCTTGAAATAAGTCGCACCTCCTTTTCCAACAAGAGAAGAGAGATGCTCCTCTTCTTCAGCAAAATGGGAATGGTCTACATTTGTTAGAAAATGGGATGCCTAAAACCTCGCTGCACTGCAGGGTCACCTGCCTCTGGGGCTTTGACGGGGAGGTTTCTCCCAAGTGATGCACTGTCCTAGGAACTCACAGTGTTTCCTGTCCCTGCCTTTCACTTGACCCTTAAGCATCATGGGGCAGGGATATGGGACATGGGGTCCAGCAGTGTCCGGCAGGGCACAGACCTGGGCTCACGTTCTCCATCTGTCACTACCTGTTCTGCATTGGTTGGCAAATCAGTCATCTCTGATTCAGTTTTTCTCATCTATAAATCGGGATAAATTCTATTTGTTTTATTTCTCAGGACTGAATGAGGATCAACATGAGAGAATGTGTCTTAAAGTGCTCTATGTTTGTGCTTACTTAATTTTTCACTGTGATAATCTTGTCTCCTCACTAGACAAATTCCCAGGCAGCGGGGACTGCAAGTGATCTTTCGTTTCCTAACTTCTGCCCTAGTATGCTGCACTGTGCTATGGACAGAAGAGTCAATAAATACTTCTTGAATAAATAACTCCTTTTCTAAAAATATTCTAGTCAACACAAATACAGCATAAATATTTATTTTTAAAAATCAATAGTAATAAATTCGAATCTAAACATGTAAAGGCTTCTTGCATTAGACCAAATTAGGGAATGATTTTTAGGGCTTATCTTGTGCTGAATTAAACATAAGTTTCAACTGTGGTTGTTCAGGTGGGGAAGAAAGCTCAATTATTGTCTTCAAGTAAATACAGATTTTTTTTTGTAAAGAAAGGTGCTATTTTCCCATATTTATGCTGTGATGAAAGAAAAAAACTGAATTTAACTTTCTTAATTCAATTTGCTCATTCATTGATTCAGCAGGTATTTATTTATCGAGCCCTTACGAAGCTACAGGAATAGTGGTAGATGGTGAAGCAGCGGACACACAGCCTAGTAGGGGATACAGACCAGGAAACAGTAATTGACACTTTGGAGTGATCTGTGCTCTGATGAGGAGCACCGGGCCATAGGGACACAGAGGGACATCCAGTCCTATCTTGGGAGGTCAGGGAAAGCCTTCTGGAGGAAGTGCTGGCGTGACTCAGAACTAAGGCTGAGAAGGGCAGGAAGTCTATGCCAGGCTGAGGGAACAGCATGTAAAAAGGAGAGGAGGCAGAGACAATGTGGTGCTTTCATAGAACAAATTCTGTGTGGACAAAATGGAGGGTGAGAGGAGGGCAGGTCGAGGAGCACAGCTCAAGGGCAAGCAAAGGTCAGATCTCGAGGGACGTTGCAAACACTTGAAGCAGCTCGGGCTTAACAAAATTAACCAGAGAGTTAATTAGCAAGCAAAGATTTTAGTAAGATGTAAATACATTTGGACAGCCAAAGTGAGGACTTTCTGGAAGGGATTATCTACAGAGGCTATGAAGTCCTTTTTGGAAAACTTAGAACAAGTAATCCTCTACTTTGTACTGTTTAGAGCAGGGCTGGCCACCTTTCACAGGTGACAACACTGGGGATCACTGTTCTGCTACTCACTCAGGAGTGGGATGTGGAAAGGGAGCACGTGTTACTGTTTGATGATCTAGGGAATGTTTGTTGTGAGTCTTCAGTTTTTTTTCCTTGGAACAATGTTAAGGGAAGTACTATTATTACCCCCATTTAACAGACGAGGAAACTGAGGCTTAGAGGGCTTATGTACATCTCCCAAGGTCACAGAGCCTGGCAGTCTGCTCTGGATCGGGCTCCTGCACATCATGTTGCATTGTACCCTGCAGCTATTCCCATAGGTGACAGTGAAGAAAGTAGGTTGCAGTGTCTGCCTTATGTGAATCAGCGAATGGATCAGTCGGTCAACAGATAAGCATGGAACACCTCCCTACATACAGGCAGAATCTTAGGCACAGAAGATACAGCAGCAAGGAAAACAGAAGCAGGCTGCTGGATCTTACCCTTCAATGAGGAGGACAGGCTTTATGCACCAACAGTAATACAGTAATCAACTAATGAATTCGATGTGTAAAGAAATACAGGACGTTATGGGTATTTAAAACAGGAGGATGTGACTTATCACAAAAATATGTTAGCCTCTTATTTCCACATTCAATTGCTAGATGATATCACAAAGTCCATTCCAACTCCACTGTTCTATGATCCTATGATAGACTCATGAAAGAATGAATAACTGAGTAATGCCCACTATTTTTAAAAATTAGGTAGTCTTCAGTTTAAGGAAATAGATTTTCTGGTTTCCATCTCTGCCGTTATGCTAAGAAAACTGGTGCACTCATACTGGTCGTGGTATTTAACCAGCATCAGCTGATAAGGGCATAGTTTCTACAGTCATGACTACAGACCTCCTTCCATCACATGTAATATTGCGGTGCTTTGTTTCTCTGTATGATAATATGGATTATTTTGGTTCTGAGAAATGGTACAGCAGAGCATCTAAGAACAAGGGTCCTAGACTACCTGCATTCATTTCCTGGTGCCACCAGATTATGTGAATGTGGGCAAGTTATTTAACTTCTGTGCTTCAGTTTCCTCATCAATAAAATGGGGATAATAATAGTACTGGCCAGGTGTGGTAGCTCATGCTTGTAGTCCCAGAATTTTGACAGGTCCAGGCAAGGGGCTCACTTGAGGCCAAGAGTTTGAGAGCAGCCTGAGCAACACAGAGAAACCCCTCGTCTCTACAAAAAACAAAGCAAAACCAATCAGCCAGGTACTGTGGCATGTGCCTGTAGTCCCAGCTACTCAGGAGGCTGGGGCAGGAGGATGGCTTAGCCCAGGAGGTCGAAACTTCAGTGAGCCATGACTGTGCCACTGCACTCCAGCTTGGGCAACACAGCGACACCCTATCTCAATAAAAATAAAAAAGTTAAAAAAATAATAATAGTACCTACCTCATCGTGTTATTGAGAGGACTATGCAAACTAATACATCTAAATTTGGCCAGGTGCGGTGGCTCACGCCTGTAATCCCAGCACTTTGGGAGGCCGAGGCAGGTGGATTATGAGGTCAGGAGTTTGAGATCAGCACGGCCAACATGGTGAAACCCCGTCTCTACTAAAAATACAAAAATTAGCCGGGCATGGCGGCACGTGCCTGTAATCCCAGCTACTCAGGAGGCTGAGGCAGGAGAATTGCTTGAGCCTGGGAGGCAGAGGGTGCAGTGCGCCGAGATCATGCCATTGCACTCCAGCCTGGGCAATAGAGTGAGACTCTGTCTCAAAAAACAAACAAACAAACAAACAAACCATCTAAATGCATAGAACTGTGTCCCTGGCACACAGTAAGGGTTCCATGAGGACTACCTGTGGAAGCACGTGTCAGAGAGCTCCAGCACTAGCCTTGCTTGCTGTACGTCACATTCAGTCCCCGTGACATAACACCGTTGTTGTGTATTGTGCTTCTGGTGATGGATCTCAAGGGATTCTTCTCTCCCCAGGGCTTAACTTATTTCCAGGGCACAAAGTTGTCTTGTGATACACTAAGTGGTTCCCTAATGGCCTGAAAGAATTAACACCCATCTTTAAAAATCCAGTTTTTAATCACGACTTAGGCACGGTGGAGAATGGCCAAACCACAATTTAGGGAATGGGATTAAGAAACGTAAGTACTTTCACATGATGAAACATTTTAACAATTGCTGAAAGATGATGAATAAGGTAAAACTCCAAGAATTAAATTATTTTAGACCTTCTGAAAAAGCTGTAATTTCTAGCCTCAGCAAATTTCCTTTTTTTTTTTTTTTTTTTTTTTGAGACAGAGTCTTCCTCTGTCGCCCAGGCTGGAGTGCAGTGGTGCGATCTCAGCTCACTGCAACCTCAGCCACCTGGGTTCAAGCCAAATTTCCATTCTTAAATGGCTGTAGAAGCAATATCACCCACTACAGAAAAGATTGATGTTTTAAGTGGAACCTAGAAAATACAAAGGGTTTAGAAACACGCCAGACTAAATGAGTTGCTCTGGCTGAGAAAAATGTTTTTGAATCAGAGAAACTCTAAGAATGTGTATATATAAGGGTAGAGCCTGAAGATGTGGCTCTTATAAGAGTTTTAATTACGTTGCACCATTTACACCTGAAAAGACTATCTTAAACATCCCCTTTCTCTCCTTTCTGGATGGAAAACACATGTGGAGACAAATAGGAGGTTATGTTTTGCAAAATCATGAGCCTAGAAAGCTGTAATACTTCACAGGAACAAATCTAATGGTCAAAATAGAACATGATACTGAAGAACCCCATTGTACTGAGCTTGTGTGCTTGGAAGCTCCATTGTGTTTTGTGGTCCAGGTCAACACTGGGACAAAATGAGTGTGAAGTGCCCTTTCATTAGTCATCATCTGCACACAAAACATGCACCTCTTTTCCTCCCCATTTGATAGAAAGGTTACACAGAAAATGAGTACACAACTCTTTTGTTACTGTTCAGACAGCAGATGCAGAGTCTGCTCTTCAGATGCCTAGGTTAGAAACGGAGGCAGAGAGGAAGGGAGTGGGGGACGGTTTCACATGCATATGCCATGATATTTGCTGGCTTTAATGGACCATATTTGAGTACTTATTGTGATAACTTCAAACCAAATAAAATAAAGTCTCCATTTAATGAAGAGCCTCATATTCAATATTGTATTCAATCAAAAAATTACTAAAATTAGAGCATGTTTCTAGTACAATTAACATCCTTTGCACTCACAATAAAATATTCAATAACTGGCCATTTTGCCTGTTGAGGAGGTGAATAAAAGCATTGCTATTAAGCATTTAGCTGTTATTTATTTGTCACTTCATTTTAAGTACGCAGTTAAATTGAAACTGCACATGTTATTATTGATTTAGGTTTAATTTAATCCTTTTAAACAGAATAATTATTCCCAATTTATATGCCATTAAATCTTTTATGCATATGAACAGCAAATTCAATTTTTGTTTAAGTGTAAAGTTTTTAATGCTTCTTTAAGGAACTATAAAACTGATCATTGTTTCCAAGGATTTCTGAATTCTATGCTCACCTTAATCTTCTTATCAATAGCTTTTAAGTAAATAAAATGAAATAAATCCGAAAGATTAAAAATTCACTTCTGTAAATATGAAATAAAATGGTTCCACAAATATGCTGAAATGCTTTGTGAAGGTTATTTGCAATCCAGAAAATTTTATTTAATGCAGGCATTTATTCTGCTAAAAATTTAAGCATTTTAATAGAAAAAAGGATGCTTTAATGAAATGAAGGTCAAAGACTGTCTATAGGAACACACTAAAGAGGCCGGATTGTTATTTAGTGAATTTTATTTATAAAAATACATAATTTGGATAATTCCAACCAAAGTCCTTTTTTTTTCTTTGATAACAGATTTGTGACTGCAGAATACCAGATATTTCTCCTGGGTTCTTAATAGTACCAGTCTTGATTCAAGAACAATCTGTGAGTTAAATGAAAATTATCTAAAGAAGACATGTTTGTAATTGCAATGTAAAATTCTAGTACCTCACTTCTATTAAGATTATGTCATGTGAAACCAAGGCTGCATCTTCACAAGGGAAATGCTGTATGACACAGTATTTAGAAACATAATTCCTCTCATTCAGCGACAGCTTACAGTGCTAATGCCAGACATTTTCCAAGGAAGGCTCGAGTGTTTTTTTCATTCTCCAAAATAATAGCTAAGAGACAGAGACCTAGATTTATAAAATGTGCACAGGTGCTTACACTTTCTTTAGGTAGAGTTTCTTCTTCTTCTTTTACGTGGCTTTTTGTTTTTGTTTTTGTTTGCTTTTTTTTTGTTTTGTTTTTTGAGATGGAGTCTTGCTCTGTCCCCAGGCTGGAGTGCAACGGCGTGATCTTGGCTCACTGCAACTTCCGCCTCCTGGGTTCAAGCGATTCCCATGCCTAAGCCTCCTGAATAGCTGGGATTATGGGCCCGGCTAATTTTTGTATTTTTAGTAGAGACGGGGTTTCACTATGTTGGCCAGGCTGGTCTCGAACTCCTGACCTCAAATGATCCTCCCGCCTCAGCCTCCCAAAGTGCTGGGATTATAAACGTAAGCCACCACGCCTGGCCAAGTTTCTTATATTTTAAGTGCCAGATTTAGCAGCATTAAAATTGTAAGGCAGCTGTGATATCATAAGAAGGCAATGGAGTGGTCTTGACACCTGGGTTCTAGTCCAAGCACTAACCAGCCATGTGAGCTTGGGCAAGTCTTTCCACCACTCTAGGTCTTGGGTTCCTCCTCTGTACAATAAATAAAGGGAATGGGCTGACCTTTGACAGCCCTAACAGCTCTAATAATCCATTACTTTATTAGTTGGATTGGGCCTATCAGGCAAAACCTAGCAATATATGGAAGTGTTGGGAAAATCATTTATTTTTAATTCCATATATTAAAAAAATATATTAAAGTTTTCTATATTTTCAAACTTGTCAGGGAGTAGAAATAAATGAAGAGGCAAAGGTCATGAATTAAAGCATCCCTTTAGTCATTTCATTATGATCTTCTTGATCCTCTTGATAAACTCACAGCGTTGTAGGTCATTTAAATTTAAATAAATCACACTTTATGAGGTTTTGAACTCACTATGTATGTACTTATTTTAACGCAATAATGCATCCCAGTTTTGAAATAACCTAGGAAGGAACTAGTGGTTGTCTCCGGGGGCAACAAGCCTCAGGAGTCACTATGGCTTTAGCATTTCTGGCGGGGACTCAGCCTTTAATAGCTACAATTCATGCCCATGCACACCCTTTACTTCCCTCTATGACTGCTCATCTGTTACGATGGCACCATGCCTGCTCTGAGGAGTGTGTCGGGGTTTAACTAAAGCATAGTTTGTGAGTAAATGAATGAACAGAAAACAGAAATGACTAATACCTGCAACAAAAAGTCACTCCTCTGATATAACTATTCTCATGTGATCAGAAATAAATAAATAAATACTAGTAGCTACTCCCAGAATACTGCATGGAAACCTCTAGAACATGGCAGGTAGTGTAATGTATTGTAAGAGGTTGGCAAAACAATGGCCTTAAATTGAAAATCTAATAAAAGGCAACAGAAAACAACATGGATGAATGTTGCTAGAAATCAATGGGAATGAAAGTTGACTCCTGAAAGCTCCTAGAATGTTCTCAATAGTCCTAGCATATTAGACCTAACTTCAGATGCTTCTTTAATCTCCTAATCAGTACGAAAAAAATCTCTGCACCACCTATGGAGACACAGTAGTCTAGTCTCAGCCTAAATATTCCTGATGCATTCTACAAAACAGCCTGGGAAATTTGGGGGAAATGAAAATCCTGAGTTTTGGTCTTCCCTAAGTCTTTCTCTACCTGTGGTCTCTTTTGGTTATCCAATGTCACTCTTCAAGCCCTAGAAGTCATCATTCAATACTTCACCTGACTCGTATTATTAATCAGAAACAACACACATGAAAGCATCTGAGAGAAACAATTATATACAACAATAAAAATGCAGATTATTGGCCAGGCGCGGTGGCTCATGCCTGTAATCCCAGCACTTTGGGAGGCCGAGGTGGGCAGATCACGAGGTCAGAAGATCAAGACCATCCTGACTAACACGGTGAAACCCTGTCTCTACTAAAAATACAAAAAATTAGCCAGGCATGGTGGCACGCGCCTGTAGTCCCAGTTACTCAGGAGGCTGAGGCAGGAGAATTGCTTGAACCCAGGAGGCGGAGGTTGCAGTGAGCCAAGATCGCCTCACTGCACTCTAGCCTGGGTGACAATGCAAGACTCCATCTCAAAAAAAAAAAAAATGCAGATTATTATGAGTCCCTTTTTTTTTTAACTTGCAGACAATTCTGGATACTCAATTTAACTAGTAATTCCTCATGTGCCTATCTCCCTCCTATTAATTTATAATACAAGGTGGTTTCTTAGACAGAATATGGGCCCTTTTGTGGAGGCTATGGTCAGAAGTGATCAGAAAGGAAAGCACTGCAGACCTCACTGCATGAAAACATTTGTTTCCCAGGACAAGTGCTGAAGAATAATGGCTACTATGACCTCCCAGCCCAAAGGAAAATATAATTCATGTCTATCTACTCTGAGGTCACAGTATCCTCTAAAAATGTTTATTACTTTCCTGAAGTTTATCATTTTACATGCATATTTACTCTGGCCTCAGTTTAATCTATACTGAAATTGTCATAGTTTTAATTTTTACTGGATAGTGAAATAGAATCCTCTATCAGCTCAATCCTTGATTACCTATCTGAATACTTGTAATTAGTGGCTCAGGCTTTAGCGTTTGGAGAGAGGTCAATTTAATTTCTGGCTCTACTATCTAGTAATTACGTATACCTATACAGCTCTCAGATCTGCAGTTCCTTATCTGCAAAATGGGGATAATAATGCCTATCCAAGAGGCTCCTGTAAGGATAAATGAGATTGTATATATAAAGCAAAGAGTTTTACAAATGGTAGCTAATTATATAAATATTCCTGTTAACAAGACCTTATTAAACACATATAAAGTACTGTATGGCTGCTCTCTGATTTTTTTTTTTTTTAATATACAAGGTTTCAGAAGTCCCCAGGACTGAAGAGGTTGTTTCTAATGCTCTAGGAATTACACAGATCTCTTTCTTCGTGAGTGCTGAGTGTCATAAGGCCAGTTCTGGAGTGGGGTTTAAGGATTATCACGTGAAGATCCCCTCTCCACTCTTCATTTATTCACTACAGTCAATGCTGCTCCAAATTCCATTAAGTAAAAGGTTTTCTCTCATCCATATACATTGAACTATGGCTTGACTTTGGTCAGATACAAGGGAATAATTGCTTTGAGGAGGTTCTAGTAACATCAAAACACAAGTGTAGGACTCAAGTGATTTGTCAGGCAGCTTTTAAAATTATTGATTACAAAAGCAAGAAGAAAGAAATTTTCCTTGGTTTTAAGGCAAGCTTTGACAGTTTTGTTTTTGAACTACAATTCCCAGAATGCCATCTACTTTACAGACATAAAAGCCTACTTGAATTTCATATTGAGAGTCTGAGATCAATTTCCTTGTCTATTTCAGGGCTCATAAACTACTCAGATCCCAGCAAGAGTGTGCCTAGGAGAGGCTTCGAAGACTAACATGAGGCAGGGAAAGGGACCAGTAATGAAATGCTTACCTGAATGATATTTTTGAGGCATTATTTACCCAAATGCTTCAGTTCTGTTTTCCTTTTTATTGGAGAACTGGTTATCCTAATTTCAGTGTATGAAGCACTATATAGCCAAACAATGACTAGGGCTATAACCTATTCTAACCCTAGGATTTACAGTTCATCATTAAAAAATGTCCAAGGCAAATCAATCTGAGGAAAACAGCCTTATCTGAGGACCTCTGAATGAGAAAACCAAGGATCTAACCATAATTTTGATTTTTATAAGCATTATTCTTTATTTTGAAACATATTAGATTGTATTTAAACTGTCCTTTGGTAAGAACAAGGGTTAAAGTCAGGTCCCTGAGCACTGGACAAAAGGAGAAAAAAACCCAACAACTGGGAAATGAGGTCACTTCATGGATCCTTACCTTGGTTTCTTCATCTTAAAAATACAGACAAAAATACCTATCCATTGCAACAGATGTTTCCTTTCCAGTGGCCCCATTTCTATAACTAAAACTACTCCCATTTATTACCTAGGAGACTATAAATCTCTTAGAACCAGGATAAAAACAGGGTTTGGGGCCATGGAGTCAGACTGCCTGAGTTTTCTGCTCCACCACTCACTAGATGCAATGAATGGGTATAATATAACTTTTAAAGCTTCATTTGCATCCTTCAAAATGGGATCA
Organism: Homo sapiens; assembly: GCF_000001405.40. Lineage (NCBI taxonomy): Eukaryota > Metazoa > Chordata > Mammalia > Primates > Hominidae > Homo > Homo sapiens. The sequence continues at coordinate 122,890,295 of NC_000011.10, read as the reverse complement.
TGATAGTATCTACCACGGTTGCAATAAAGATTAAATGAGATAATACATGTAAAGTGTTTAGCACAGAAATGGGCTCATGATAAGCATTCTATAAATGCTAGCTGTTGTTACAGGAACCCTAATCTTTGGCTTCTCTTGTTCCTTCAATCCTCATATCTAATCTGTCACCAAACCCTGTCAATTCTTTCATTTATATATATATATAATTTCAGTTAAAGTTTCGTTGGAAAAAAAAAAACAAGAAACTGGGGCCGGGAGTGGTGGTTCACGCCTGTAATCCTAGCACTTTGGGAGGCCGAGGTACACAGATTTCCTGAGCTCAGGAGTTCAAGGACAGCCTGGGCAATGTGGTAAGACCCCATCTCTACTAAAAGTAGAAAAAGTTAGCCGAGCATTGTGGCGCACGCTACTCGGGAGGCTGAAGCACGAGAATCATTTGAACCCGGGAGGCGCAGGTTGCAGTGAGCCAAGATCGTGCCACTTCACTCTAGCCTGGGCAACAGAGCAAGACTCTGTCTCCAAAACAAACAAACAAACTGGGAACATCCCAAAGTCCACCCTTGGGTGACTGAATAAATATATAATGGCACCTCCAGATACTAGAATACTATGTACCATGTACACATGTATTATGAACATATAAGTATAATCATCGCTCAGTTATCTGTGAGGGAGTGTTTCCAGGACTCCCTGCTGATACCAAAATCCAGGGATGGGAAAGTCCCTTTTATAAATTGGGGTAATATTTGTATATAGCCCTGCATGTCCTCCTATATATTTTAAATTATCTGTAGATTATTTATAATACCTAATACAATGTAAATACCATGTAAATAGTTGTTATATTGTTCTGGAATAAAGCCAAGAAAAAAAGTCTCTGTGCATGTTTAGTACAGATTCAACCATCCATTTATTCTCCAAATATTTTTGATCTATGTTTGGTTGGATCCACAGATGCGAAACCATGGATACGGAAAGCCAACTCTATCGAAGGATACCCAAGATACACATGGGTATTTTGTTAAATGAAAATAACCAGTTGCCAAAGAGGATGTCTAAATCCATCTCATTTGGTTAAAACCATGTAAAAAGATTCTCGAGCTCACAAGTTATCAGAGAAAAGTAATTTAAATCTATAATAGGACAGGATTTTATAACCCATCAGAGTGGCAAAAGTTAAAAAGACAGTAATTCTGAGGACTGGTAACTTGCAGGCACTTGTGAGTAAAGTTGAAGATGTCCAGTCGCCCATGAACCACAGTTCCACTCCTGGAGATTTATACCCTAAGGAAAGCCTTGCATGCATACCCAAGGAGGCACACGAGGACATGCACAGAGCATTGTCTGAAATAACGAAAACTGGAAAAAAACTAAATATTCATCAATATTCAACCAAGACCATGTCTTAGTTCAAAAGCATAATTGTAAAATCCCAAAAACATAATGTTGACTGAACAAAATGGGCATCATGCATCCATATATAGATATATATTTATTCACTAATTATAGATCACCTATGAAATAAATGAATGGAAGACTGGTGAGAAGGATGCACACTCACGTAAGAGTATGTATTGATTACCTCTAAGGGGGAAGAAAGGGGAATGAGTTTGAGAAGGGGGTACATGGAAACTTTATCTGTAATACACTATGAATTTTAAAAATAGGTCTGAAACAAATATGGCAGTAAGGGTTATACTGTATTTTTCTCTGTAATTTTCTATAGGTTAGAATTTTTGCATGATTAAAAAAAAAAACAGCATCAGTAACACAACAAGGACATCCTCCAAGCACTATAACCTTAGACGAGTTTCTTCATCTCTGTTAGCCTCATTTTCCTTATCTGTAAAATAGGAAAAGCAGCAACTTCCCTACAGGATTGTGATGGAGAATTGAGTGAAACTAAGATAGGCTTTTAAAAAGTGATGTCATTGTTACTGTCATATCCATCCAGCAGTCTCTTTGCCCATTGTGTGTTTAGTCTCTAATTCAAAATGCACTAGCTTGCATAATAATCTTCCTTAAACGCTGCTGCATCTCACTGCCCTCCCCAAGAACCTGTATTCTCTCTGCCTGGCTTTCCCAGCCTAGTCCTATCAAGGTTGTCTGTCTCTCTGAAGCTGTCCTGCAAGCCTCTTGCGCCTCTAGCACCTTGGTGACAACTCTTATCACTTTTACTGTGACATATCACTAAGACACTTATGAGATTGATTCAACTAGATAGCCCCAGTGAAAAAAAGGGGGGGAAGACGAAAGGAAGGAAGAAGAAAGATAAGAAAGAAAGAAAAGACTCAGGACCGGGCTCTACTTCTCGCTCCCACACGAGCCCTTGCAGTGACTGTATCCCAAGGACAAATCATTTGAGTTCTGTAAGACTCAATATCCTCATCTGTGGTAGGATGGTTACACTTCAAGACCTGAAAATGTATCTTCCAATACCATAAGCACATTTTTAAGGCCCCCTTATAATCAGACCCCTACTCAGTCTATTTTTGCTACACTCAAAACAAATCCTCTGCAATCCAGCTGGGCTCCCTAATGTGCCACAAACATGTCACTCCCATTCTCTTCTGTTATCCAGAACTTAGCTTGTTTTCAAGACCCTGTCCAAGTTCTAGGCCTTCCAATAAACTTTCCTTAATATATTTCAGCCTGAATTAAAAAAAAAAAAAATCGGCCGGGCACAGTGGCTCACGCCTGTAATCCCAACACTTTGGGAGTCCAAGGTGGGCGGATCACAAGATCAAGAGATCGAGACCATCCTGGCCAACATGGTGAAACCCCGTCTCTACTAAAAATGCAAAAATTAGCTGGGCGTGGTGGCACATGCCTGTAGTCCCAGCTACTCGGGAGGCTGAGGCAGGAGAATCACTTGAACCCGGGAGGTGGAGGTTGCAGTGAGCTGAGATTGCGCCACTGCACTCCAGCCTGATGACAGAGCGAGACTCCTCCCCCGTCCCACACACAAAAAAAACTAACACGATATAATTTATAAGGAGCCAGTCACTATTCTAAACAATTTATATGTATTTATTTTAGCCTCATAATAACTGGTTAACTATTATTATTATCCCATTTTTACTGATGAAGAAACTGAGGCACAGAAATATAATTGGACTTGGCCAAGGTTATACAGCTAGTAAGTGGCAGAGCCACTATCTGAACCCAAATGGTCTGCTTCAGACACCATGCACTTCACCACCACACTAAAACCTCCTCCTAATCAATAGCTTTTACCTTCTTCTGTACTCTCATATCCTCAGTGCCTCAATTGTAACAGAGTGATATCACACATTATTTCATATTCCCTTACTTTTTTTTGGTAGCTCATAGCACAAGGTTAAATCCCTTAAATTCTGGTTATTAGATTAAATCTTTATATGATCATACAAGCCCTGAGAGGTAGACCTCTACTAGCTTTGAATGGGCCAAGTAAGATTCTACCCCCAATTATTTGTACTTTATTGACATTCATAGCAATCCTGTGAGATAGGCAAGTCAGGTTATTTGACAGACGAGAAAAAGTGAGCCAAAAAAAGAATTAAGTGGGTCAGGCATGGTGGCTTATGCCTGTAATCATAGCACTTTGGGAGGCTGAAGTGGAAGGATTGCTTGAGGCTAGGAGTTCAAGACCAACCTGGCCAACATAATGAGCTCCCATCTCTATTGTAAATATTTAATACTACATAAAATTTTTAAAAAAATAAAAAAAAGAGTTAAGTGATTTATTCCAGATTATACACTAAACAGCAACGCCTGGACCAAATCAAGTCCACCTGACTCCACATCCTTTTCCATACCCGGCTTTCTGGAATTTCTCCCAGGTGAGGTCCTAGTGCGGAGACACTTGGAATATGGACAGGAAGTAAATGGTATGAGAAATGCGAATTGCCCTTATTAATACCCATTGCACTTTTTAATTAAAAAAAATCTGAATATGGAAAAAACATGGTGCCCAGCTATCCTTGGCTGCTTGGAGACCTGTCTCACACACGGCGCTCATTAGGGCAGCTTGCCCTTACTCTAATTTGGAATGACGACAGTAATTATCTAATGATACATTTTAGAGCCCATTATTATCTTACACAAGCCAATTCCTTACCTGTTATTGGCGCCCTGGTCCCAGGTATGGTGGTTTTGCTCGCGAGCCATCTGAGCTGCTTTTCCACTTGCTTCCTCTTCCATCTCGTGCAGGCTTCCCCATCGAGGGCTTTCCTCCTCGTCTAAGCTGTCGGGCTCCATACCGTTGCCCCGGATTCGATCATCAAACTCAGAATGGCACATAATCTCTTGCGTGAGGCTTTCTGAATCAGATTCCAAGGAGTCTTTTGAAATCCGATGTAAGTCTTCTTTCTTCAAAGGTGGGTGTGTGGACTGGACATTTAAGTTGGTATGAAGGACAGGAGATTGAATAGAGAGCTTGGGAATTAGTTTACGTTTACTCATCTTGAAAAATGCAAAAAATTAACAGGGGATACTCGTGTTGATAGGAGCAGCTGGCTGATATTTAAAGTTGTGGTTCACAAAAGCGTTACCTGAAAAAAAATATATTTATGTTACTCTGCGACCACTAAAATCTCAATACTGTCAACGTTAATCAAATATTTAAATGAGTAAGAGAACCTTGTTATATTATCTGCAGGCTTTTGTATGCACCCTTTTGTGTGTATAAGAAAGGTCTATTAGAAAAACAATTGTTTTTCTCTCTGCAGAAACACATCTGATGTAGCGCTCATAAGCAGCCTGAGTAATCGAATGCAGTTTTATTGATGAAATAAATGGCTGCTTGGAAGTGGATTCCTATTTCTAGCTTCCAAGGGCTTGTTACAGACAAGCCTGGACTAAGACAAATGGTTAATTATGGACAGTACTTTGATAGCCTTATTTCAAATGCCCAAATAACTATGGGCAATATAAATATGGTCCGTAGTTATTCATGGATAGAGTAAAACAGGTTCAGGGGCTATGTTTTGGAAAGTAAAGTAAGAAGAAAGAAGAGTGTAGTTTTCCATAGTTGGAACTGTAAATGGGGAAGCTGTTTTGTTCCTAGACCTATATGGGCTGGCAACATCATTTGGAAAAGACTTTCTGATAGCCAGGTTGTGACTAGATAGGAACATATAATTTAGGTGGACATAAATGGAGATCAACCTCATCCGGTATTTTTTAAAACCCATAATAACGATTAAAACTGTTCAACAATCACGCCTGTAATACCAGCACTTTGGGAGGCCAAGGTGGGCAGATCGCTTAAGTCCAGGAGTTCAAGACCACCCCGGGCAACATGGCAAAACCCCATCTCTACAAAAAAAAAAAAAAAATACAAAAAATTAGTGGGCATGGTGGGATGGGCCTGTAGTCCCAGCTACTCGGGAGACTGCGGTGGGAGGAGGGTCACTCGAGCCGGGCAGGCAGAGGCTGCAGTGAGCTGGAGTGCCACTGCACTCCAGCCTGGGTAACAGAACGTGACCCTATCAGAAAAAATAAATAAAACTGTTCAACAAAAGATTTAGTGGTCTTGTGAATTCTGCCACTGAGCGATCCAAAGCAGAGCCTGGAGGTCTACATTACCGAACGGGATGCTATCCTGGGGAAAGTTGAGTGGGTGGGAGATTGGCCTGAATTACAGCTAAGAGTTAGCTGGAGTCCCTTCCAACTCACTTACGAGTGTGATTCAAGTGAACCTGCACTGTCTGTAAGGGTCATTATAAAGAGCCATGGAAAGGGTGCTTTGAGTTCATGTAGGACCGAACGGACATGATGTTTTTGGATTGTGCTTCCTTTCATCTCTACCTAGCATTTCTATTTTGGTCTATTTTCTATCTCACTGCCTTTATACCCATTTTTTTTTTTTCTGTGAGTCAGGTAACAGAAACCTTTACCATTAGAAATTGCTGTAAAATTTGTCTTAATGGCTTGCTCTTGTTCTTTTGGCAAATCCTAACTTTAATTAAATGACACAACCTTATTACTATTCCTAGGATTGCTTATAATGTTGACCTTGTTGCTAATGTTTGCAAGGAGCATCATCAAATCCTTGGAGGAAAGCACCTTAACAAACAACAGGCAAAAGGGAACGTTCATATGTAAATACACACGAAGTGAGTTTTCTATTGAACTCGAAGTCTGCCCTGTTGGTAGACTAACATATTATTCTCTAATATTACAGACTGGTTTGTTGTATTATTTTGTCTCTTATTTTTAAAATACATATTGCATTCTGCCTTATTATTTTAATTGTTGCTTTTTTAGGATGTGCCAAGAAAGCAGCAAATCTATCAAATACTAACACATTTTAAGTAAAAGAGATTGTTTAACACCGGTTTTACTGGAGGAGCTAAGGTCACTGAATTTGAGATCCTGAAGAGCAAGCTTAAGCGTTATAGTGCAACTTAGAATTACTCTTAAAATAATTCAGTCCCTTGAACTTCTCTTCTTAAATGAAATAGGCTAAGCTTTCTTGGAATGAATAAAAAATAAAACAGTAACCACAGAAGATAATTTTGCTGATGTTAGCAGATTCCTGAAGTTTGCTAAAGTATGCAAAGAGCAAAGCCAAACGCCACAAAAGCTGGGTTTTCTGTGGAGGCCTGATCTTACCAAAACATGGGGTGGAAGAAGGAACAGCTGACAGCTTGAATAAGTTAGAAAGTGGGCGTTTAAATTTCATGAATGTGGCTCCCTCCTCCCGTCCAGTGAAAAAAAAAAAAGGTTGTGCCGCTGAAATTTCTGACCAAGAGAGGTGACTAGTCTCCTGAATAAACAAGACAGCGATAGATCCGATGGCACCTAGGGACTAAGAAGCGGCCAGCTCCCCAGGGATCCCTGCAGTGGGTCTAGTCCACTAGCATGGGACAATCGAACTTTCTCCTGGAGGGGAAAAGGAACCCTGCTTGGGCTCACCAAGATGAATCGTAAAGAAAAAGGAACGAACCCTGGTTTGAAACAGGCCGGAAGCTGCCCAGGGGAGGCGTTCGGTTTTCTACCTTTGCTTGTTCCTGAGGAACAAGGCCTGTCACAAGGGGCGTTTGGAGGTCCAGGAAGTGACAAGTCGGCGGGCCTGGTGCCCGGGACCGGTCCTAATTGACCGGGAACAGGGCTGCTCTGGGTGCCCGGGCGCCGAAGCCTCGCATGGCGGCCCCCCAGCCCCTTGTCGCGGCCTCGCCCCCTTGTCGCTCCCCACTCCGTCCCGAAGGCTCCCGCGCCGGCTCCTCCCCAGCTTGCTTGGGTGGTTTCCTGCCGTCCCCATCCCCAGTAAGCCCTTCCCGTTTCCCTCCCCGGGCGCGCCGCCCACCCCAGATCCGGGAGGCCACCGCCCGTCACCTGCCCGGCGCTCCTCCGCGGCCGCGACCCGGACGGGCCCCGCATCCTCCCGCGCCGCCGCCGCCGCCGCCCGGGCCCCCGCCCGCCCCGGCGCTGCCCTGGAGACCGCAGACAACACAGACGCCGGCGCCACATGGGCGGGGCAGGACCCGACCTAGGATCCCGCGTCCCGAACCGCACCCCCGGCCCTGGCACGGAGGCTGCAAACGGCCGTAATAACGACATCGGGGCAGAGCCGGAGGAGCCCGAACGCCCCGGGAGAGGCTGCCTCGCCGCCCGGACTTCCCAGCGCCGGAGGGCAGAGGCCACCCGGGGGAGGAGATCTTTGCCACAAATAAAACTACTAAAATACGCGAGGAACTGCTACAAATCAAGAAGAAAAGGAACCCAATTAAATAATGGGTAAATGGAAAGGTATTTCACAAACACACGAGAAATCTAAATGGCCAATAAATATCTGTTTATTGAAATGATGCTTTAATTCATTAATAATCAGAAGAAGGCCAATTAAAACCACAGCGGATAATACCACACTCACCATAAGTTGAGTCGAAAAGTCCAAAGTTGAAACGTCTGGCAGCGTCAGGTGCTAGGGAGGACGTAGTGCAAAGAACCGTCACCTTCTGCGGGCGGACGTGAGAACCGATGCAACCAACCATTTTGGAAAATGGTTTGACATTAGCCAGGATATGTATGCCTTGGGATCCAGCAATTTCACTTTTAGGTATTTACCCTAAGAAGTGCGTGCTCCTGTGCATGCAAACTGGAAATAACTGAACTATCCATCAAAAGAATGGTTAATTAGATTATGCTATTGCCTATACTGGCATACTACATAGCACTGTAAATGAATGAAATACAACTATGTGTAACAATATGGAGGCATACTAAAAACACAATTTTGAACAACAACAAAAACCCAGAAAAAGTACATACTGTATGATTTTTGTATATAAAAAACAGGCTAAATTACACTCTACAGTGATTGTGGCTCCATACTTAGTGGAGGAAACTATGAAAAAAAGCAAAAAAGCAATTTTATGGGAAACACTACCCACTTAGTGATTCCCATCAAGTTAGGATTGTGGTCGGTTCTGGCAGGTAGGGAGAAGAATGTTTTTGAGACTGTATTTCCTGACCTTAATGATGGTTATATAGATGTTCATCTTGTAAAAATTCATTAAGCTGTACATTTATGTATGGGTAGAATATTTCACTATCAAAAAAGGTTTCAAAAAAGAATAAAGAAAGGAAGCATTAGGAATTATCTTCACATTAAAACAACAAGTAGATTTGAATAACTACCTTCAAAGATTGGTTTGAGGCCAGGTGCAGTGGCTCACCCTGTAATCCCAGCATTTTGGGAAACCGAGCTGGAGGATTGCTTGAGCCCAAGAGTTCAAGACCAGCCTGGGGAAAATGGCAAAACCTTGTCTCTACGAAAATTTTTAACAATTAGTTGAGCGTAGTGGCGCGTGCCTATAGTCCGAGCTACTTGGAAGGCTGAGGTGGGAGGATCACCTGAGCCCAGGAGGTTGAGGCTGAAGTCAGCCAATATTGTGCCACTGCACTCCAGCCTGGGTGAGAGTGAGACCTTGTCAAAAAAAAAAAAAAAAAAAAAAGAGAATTCTTCGGCCAGGCACAGTGGCTCATGCCTGTAATCCCAGCACTTTCGGAGGCCTAGGCGAGTGGATCACCTGAGGTCAGGAGTTCAAGACCAGCCTGGCCAACATGGCAAAACCCCGTCTCTACTAAAAATACAAAAATCAGCTGGGCGTGGTGGTGCACGCCTGTAGTCCCAGCTACATGGGAGGCTGAGGCAGGAGAACTGCTTGAACCGGGGAGGCAGAGGTTGCAGTGAGCTGAGATGTGCCACTGCAATCCAGCCTGGGTGACAGAGCGAGACTCCATCTCAAAAAAATAAAATAAAATAAAAAAAGAATGCTTCAATACCAGTTGCCTCATTAATGATAGGAAACACAGGAAATTGGAAAATGTCTTTACTACCCAGCTTTAGCACTTTTTATTCTGTTTTTTATTTGAGTTAGTTTTTTTTTTTTTTTTTTTTTTTTTACTTTTTTGGCAGCAGGGACCTTGTCTTATGAGTACACAGTAGGACCTCAATGTCTGTAGAAGAAATAAAAGCAACGTAGCTGAAACCATTAGTGTTATTCTGCCCAGTATATTATACAAGGTATTATTATAGCAACTGCAAACATGCAAGCAAATTTCAAGCAAAAGGATTTAGTCCTAATAGTGGCTTCCAGAATATGTTATAGAATCAATGCTGAGTCATTCACACTTGTCTACTTTTGATGCTGTGGTTCTTTAGACTCTTCCAGTGTTTTCTGCACTATCCAGAAGAGATTTTAACTGGCTTTTCTGAAAATTAGTGGTCCCTACGTGATTCAGGAGTCTGTCAATCCAGCAGCTACTTGCAGAGACTAGTCACACATAGAGCGTGGGACACTCTGGGCTTGATCTTCCTCCTTCTCCCCTTGTAATGGCTGTCCTGAGTATCTGGAGTGACTAAAGGGTGGAATAATCAACACGAGTGGTAGTCAGGGTCAGTGAGAAGACAGAAACCATGCCAGTTAGTATAATGGAAATAATTTAATATGAAGATTTATTAACTGAAAAGTTGAAAAGGGAACACAAGTGTCATAGAGGTAGTAAGTACAGGAAGCAGCTTCCACCTCTGTGGCTGGGGAATCACAGGAAAGAATTATTCACACTTAGAAGTATTAACACTGAAATTATTAACACTCAGAGCTGGGACCCAGGCCTCTCAGGAGGGTGAAATCCCAAGCTAGTGGGTGCTGGTGTCTTTGAAAAGGAATCATGAAGCTGGTTCTGAGAGTGCTGGGAAAACTGGAATCAGCTACTGCTGCTGAAACCAACTGAGCTGCTGGAGTGAAGAGACGTTGTCAAGGTGACCTCGAGAGGAAAAGGAAGGAGCAGTCCCTTTTCCAGTCTCCAGGCTTGGGGTCTCCCTCTACTGTCCCCTCCTGGCAGAGTAATACAAGGAGCCGGCTGGCAAAGAAAAATGAGGTTTGTAGGGGTTGCCCCAGCATCACGACCAGAGTATATGAGTGAAGCTGAGAGACAATGGTTTAATAAGCAGCACACTAATGCTCTGCTTTTCAGAATTCTTAAGGATTACAGAGTGCATGCAAACAAAATAAAACCATAAAGTGCATTGTTTTCATCTGCTGTTATGGTAATAACATTGATAATTTACATATGAATAGCACTTCACAGGGTCTGCAAAGTGCTTTTGCATATATTATCTTTTAGAATTCAGCTGTCAACCTGACCCTGAACTAACCAAAATACGCAGAATAGGAAAAACAAGTCAAAAAGCGCTTAAATACATGGGTTAGTAATACTGAACTGAGTTTACTCCTTTTCCACCCCATGCCACCCATTCATGCAACTCCCTTCTTTCTGTTTCCCTCTCCTACACATCACTCATGCTCTGTTCGTGAGGTCCTTCCTCTGCTCCATTTCCTTTTTGGTCTTACCCCTCCTGAGTCCACCAGACCTATGTCTAGCTCAGCAGCGTCTCCTCTAGCAGGAATTTTGTGGCAGTTCCCCCACATTGTCTGATGCTTCTTGGACCAGGGTGCTTCTCAAGCTGGAGCAGTTTTATCCTTCACGGAGAGTTGACAACATCTGGAGGCATTTTTTTGTTGTTATGACTTAAGGGAGTACTACTGGCGTCTAATGGACAGAGGCCAGAGATGCTGCTAAACATCCTAAAATGCACAGGACAGTCCCCCCACCCCCCTGCCAAAATTATGTGGTCCAAAATGTCAATAATGCCGAGGTTGACAAACTCTGTGCTAGGCTAATGGCCCTTGGTCTGTGGTCTCAAGGCACCCAACTGCATGCCTCTAGCTTTATACATATGCTTGTACAACACTGCATTGAAATTACATGTTTATATTTATGTCACCTCCTTACTAAACTATGAGCTCCCAGAGAACCAGAGAACAAGGACAAACGTAGTGAATGGCACCTAATAAATCCTCAGTAAATGTTGAAAAAAAGCCACAATATCCTTAGACTTTAGCACATGATTGGGGAGTAGATAAGTAGTCAGTCCCTTTAATAGAACTGGTGAGAGTGGCCAGTCAAACCTTGTAACAAGGATATACTCATATTTGGCATATAACTAGGTTGATCAGATAATTTATTAAAATCCAGGATAGCCAGGTGTGGTGGTACATGCCCTATAGGTCCAGCTACTCAGGAGGCTGAGACAGGAGGATCATTTGAGCCCGAGATTTCAAGGCTGCAGTGAGCTATGATTGCATCACTGCACTGCGGTGTGGGCAACAGAGTGAGATCCCACCACTAAAAAAAAGAAAAAGAAAGAAAAAGCCAACTAGGATACATTCAAGAATTTTTTTTAAGGATGCTATTTATTAATTACACTGGGACAATAGGTATACACTGAAATTGTCCTGGGTAGCCAGGCAGTGTAGTCATTCTACATATAACTGTAATATGTTTAATTGTCTGGTTTCTTCACACGTAGGGTAAATCAGAAAGGGTCAAGGAGGGCACTCTCAGGGCAGAAAGAAGGGGCAGTACCAGCAAGAGAAGTGACCAAAATATCACAAAAGCAAGAGATGTTCAAACAAACAAAGCAACCTGGGTTCATTTGGTGTAAGGAACAAACAGCCTTATTCCTGAATATCCTGTGTGAGAATCACACTATTATGGCAAGTGCCAAGATTAATTTTCATAATGATTAACTTCTTGAAACTCATATAGGGTAAGTCAGCTTCATAAATATTGACTAGAAAGGTAAAAGTCATGTAACTTATTTTACAAAGACTTTTGTCCAAAATATTAAAACATTTAACATCTCAAAGAGATAAACCTCAACTATCCAAAAGAAAAGTATTTACTTAGAAAGAGTCAGCCCTGAGAATTTTAGAGGACTGAAATGGTATAAATATATGTTTAAACAGAAAATGAAACTCAACAGACAGAAATACGAGTAACTTTGACACCCTTCTAGAAGAACGAGCCACGTGCTGGGGAAGCCCAGAGGAAGAGAATTCAGCCTGGCCGGGATCAACTTTGGGAAATAGATGATCTGGAAGGATGGCTCTTAGGAATGCAAATGAACAGATTATTATTATTATTATTATTATTTTTGAGACAGAGTCTTGCTCTGTTGCCCAGGCTGGAGTGCAGTGGCGCAATCTCAGCTCACTGCAAGCTCTGCCTCCCGGGTTCATGCCATTCTCCTGCCTCAGCCTCCCGAGTAGCTGGGACTACAGGCGCCCGCCACCACGCCTGGCTAACTTTTTGTATTTTTTTTAGTAGAGACGGGGTTTCACTGTGTTAGCCAGGTTGGTCTTGATCTCCTGACCTCGTGATCCGCCTGCCTTGGCCTCCCAAAGTGCTGGGATTACAGGCATAAGCCACCATGCCTGGCCTGAACAGATGATTAATGACAGGCTTTTTTCTCCTTTTTTGTGTCCTTGGTTTTCTTTCTTAAAAATAATTTTGAAACATTTCATCATGAAAATTTGAAACCATATTCAACAGTAGAGAGAAAAGTATAATGAATGGGCACATTGTTCTCACCCATCTTTAACAAAGATCAGTATGTGGCCAACCTTGTTTCCATACATACTGTGCTCCTCCCAGACTAAATTATTTAGAAGCAAATGTCAGCTATCACATGGTTTAATCTGTAAGTACTTAAGATGTGTCCCCAAGAGATCATTTGTAAATAACCATGACACCACGATCACATCTAAAACAAAATTAGTAATAACTTCTTAATATCGTCTAATCCTCAGTGTTCAGACTTCCCAGACTGTCTCCTACGTGTCTTTATAATTGGTTGGTTTAAATCAGGACCCAAACAAGTTCTACAAAGTGATTTTTAAAAGCTAACAGCTTGGCTGGGTGCAGTGGCTCACACCTGTAACCCCAGCACTTTGGGAGGCCAAGGTGGGCAGATCACTTGAGTCCAGGAGTTCGGGACCAGCCTGGCCAACATGGTGAAACCCTGTCTCTCCTAAAAATACAAAAATTAGCTGGGCATGGTGGCGCGTGCCTGTAATCGTAGCTATTTGGGAGGCTGAGACAGGAGAATCTCCTGAACCCTGGGAGGAGGTGGTTGCAGTGAGCCGAGACTGTGCCACTGCACTCCAGCCTGGGTGACAGAGTGAGTAAAACTCAGTCTCAAAATAAAGTAACAGCTTTATTGAGGTATAATTCACATACCTCACAATTCATCCTCTTAAAATGCACAATTGAGTAATTTTTAAAATATTCAGAGTGGCACAATCATCACGACCAGCTAATTCCAGACTGTCTCCCCAAAGGAAGCCCCATATCCATTAGCAGTCACCCCTCATTTCCCACTTCCCTCAGCCCTTGCCAGCCACTTATCTCTTTTCTGTCTCTTTGGATTGGTGTATTCTGAACATTTCATATAAATGGCTTCATACAATATGTGTTTTGTGAGTGTGTGTCTGGCTTTTCTCACTTAGCATAATGTTTTCAAAGTTCATGTTACAGCATGTATCAGTACTCCATTTCTTTTTATTACCAAATAATATTTCACTTTTTTTTTCTGTTTTGAGATGGAGTTTTGCTCTTGTTGCCCAGGGTGGAATGCAATGGTGTGATCTAGGCTCACCACAACCTCCGCCTCCTGGGTTCAACTGATTCTCCTGCCTCAGCCTCCCGAGTAGCTGGGATTACAGGCATGTGCCACCACGCCCGGCTAATTTTGTATTTCATATTTTTAGTAGAGACGGGGTTTCTCCATGTTGGTCTGGCTGGTCTCCAACTCCTGACCTCAGCTGATCCGCCCACCTTGGCCTCCCAAAGTGCTGGGATTATAGGCATGAGCCACTGCGCCCAGCCTCACTTTATGAATATACCACAACTTATTTACCCATTCATCATTTGATGGCCATTTGGGTTGTTTTCACCTTTGACCATTATAAATAATATTGCTATTAGTATTCCTGTACAAGGTTTTTTTTTTTTTTTGAGACAGGGTCTCATTGTCAGCTTGAGTGCAGTGGCACTATTATTTACCCATTCGTCATTTGATGGTAATTTGGGCTGTTTTCACTATTGACTATTATAAATAATATTGCTATTAATATTCCTGTAAAAGGTTTTTTTGTTTTGTTTTGTTTTTTGTTTTTTTTTTTTCGAGACAGGGTCTCATTGTCAGCTTGAAGGCAGTGGCACCATCGTGGCTCACTGCAATCTTGACCTCTGGGGCTCAAGTGATCCTCCCACCTCAGCCTCCCAAGTAACTGGGACAATAGGCGAGGGCCACCATGCCCCACTAATTCCTTCTTGTAATCTTTTGTAGAGACGGGGTTTTGCCACATTGCCCAGGCTGGTCTCAAACTCCTGAGCTCAAGCGATCTGCCCACTTTGGCCTCCCAAAGTGCTGGGATTACAGGCATGAACCACCGCACCTGGCCAATATTACTGTACAAGTTTTTGTGTGGAGATATATATATATATATATATATTTTTTTTTTTTTTTTCAGACAGAGTCTCGCTCTATTGCCCAGGCTGGAGTGCAGTGGCACGATCTTGGCTCACTGCAACCTCCGGCTCCCGGGTTCAAGCAATTCTCCTGCCTCAGCCTCCTGAGTAGCTGGGCTTGCAGGCTCACACTACCACACCCAACTAATTTTTGTATTTTTAGTAGAGATGGAGTTTCACTATGAGCCACCACGCCCCGCCTGTGTGGACATATTTTTCAATTCTCTTGGGTATATTCTTTCTAGGAGTAGAACTGCTGAAGCATATGGTAACCCTATGTGTAACTTTTTGAGTAACGCAAGGCTGTTTTCCAATGTGGCTGAGCTATTTTACATTCTCACCAGTCATGTCTGAGGGCTCTCATTTCTCTATAACCTTTCCAAAATTTGTTATTTTCTCTTTTTTATTATAGCCATTTTTATAGGTGTGAAGCGGCATCATATTCCAGTTTCGATTTGCGTTTCCCATCTTTTCTTGTGCTCATGGCTGTTTTTATTACATAGTTATTTTAATGATATATTTCAAATTTCAGTTTAAAAACTAGTGTCTGAGCAATCTCTAAAGCTGATCAGTACATTTTTAAAGTATTGTAAAAACTCATGAGTTTTAATGTATTTAACATGTTTCAATCACTACTCTTTATTTATTTATTCATTTATTTTTATTTTATTTATTTATTTTTTTTTGAGACAGGGTCTCGCTCTGTCACCAGGCTGGAGTGCAGTGGCGCGATCTCAGCTCACTGCAACCTCCCTCTTCCGGGTTCAAGCGATTCTCCTGCCTCAGCTTCCTGAGTAGCTGGGACTACAGGTGCATGCCACTACGCCCAGCAAATTTTTGTATTTTTAGTAGAGACGAGGTTTCACCATGTTGACCAGGATGGTCTTGGTCTCTTGACCTCGTGATCTACCTGCCTCAGCCTCCCAAAGTGCTGGAATTACAGGCATGAGCCACCATGCCCGGCCCAATCACTACTCTTTTTTAATGCTCAGATTATCCCATCTTTGGCCACTGAAAGTCCCTGGAGGGTGTACACAAATTGGTTTCTGGGCCCTTTAACACAGTTCCAGAAGAGTCTTTGATAGCTTCCTTTCTTTCTAGTATAAAATGTTCTAGCCTCGTTGATGTGGTTTGGATATTTGTTCCCTCCAAATCTCATGTCGAAATGTAATCTCCAGTGTTGAAGGTGGGGCCTGGTAGAAGGTATTTTGATCACAGGGGTAGGTCCCTCAAGAATAGCTTGGTACCATCCTGTTGCTAATGGGTGAGTTCTCACTCTGAGTTCATCGAGATCTGGTTGTTTAAAAGTGTGTGGGCCAGTTTGGCAACTCATGTCTATAATCTCAGCACTTTGGGAGGCCGAGGTGGGCAGATCACTTCAGCCCAGGAGTTTGAGATCAACCTAGGCAAGATGGCATTTGGGAGAATAATGACATTTTTGTGGCCTTAGTTTTGGTTTGCTTCTAACTGGAAACAAGACATAGAGCAGAAAACGTAAGAAAAAATTAACATTTAAAAAAATTTTTTTTTCAGACAGAGTCTTGCTCTGTCTCCCAGACTGGAGTGCAGTAGTGCGATCTTGGCTTACTGCCACCTCCGCCTCCCAGGTTCAAGCAATTGTCCTGCCTCAGCCTCCCGAGTAGCTGGGATTACAGGTGCCCGCCACCACACCCAGCTAATTTTTGTATTTTTATTAGAGATGGGGTTTCACCATCTTGGCCCGGCTGGTCTCGAACTCCTCACCTCGTGATCCACCCGCCTCAGCCTCCCAAAGTGCTCGGATTACAGGTGTGAGCCACTGCGCCTGGCCTAAAAATTAACATATTTCAACAGGTCTAGAGTAATTATCAATTATAACAAATTTGCTCTTGAACAAATTTGTTCAAAGCAATCACAGGAAGGGGGAGGGCTTCTCTCTTGGAAGGTACAACATTGAACAATAGAACTATATTTCATCTAGCTCAAAACCCCATTATATGCCAGGCACAGTGGCTCATGCCTGTAATCCCAGCACTCTGGGATTGTATTTTTTGGTAGAAGCAATTCTCCTGACTCAGCCTTCTGAGTAGCTGGGATTACAGGCATGCACCACTACACCCAGCTAATTTTTGCATTTTTAGTAGAAATGGGGTTTCACCATGTTGGCCAGGCTGGTCTCGAACTCCAGACCTCAGGTGATCCGCCTGCCTCTGCTTCCTAAAGTGCTGGGATTACAGGCGTGAGCCATTGTGCCTGGCCCAATGAAATAAACTTAACATCGCTTCTGTGACAGTCCTATGAGAGCTGCACAACTTGAATCTAACCACGAGGAAGCAGACAAAGCCAAATTGAGAGATGATCTACAAAATAACCAGCCTGTAATCTTCAAAAATATCCAGGTCATGAAAGGCAAGCCAAGACCGAAGAACTGTTCCAAACTGAATGAGACTAAAATGAAGTGTGACTCTGAACTGGATCCTTTGGGACAATTGGAGAAACCTGAATGGAGTCTGAGGACTGTTCGTGGAAGCAGAACAGTGCTAATTTCCCACTTTTGATGGTTGCATTGTGTTTCTAAAGGAGAGCGTTCTTATTTGTAGGAAGCACACACTGAAGGATTTGGGGGGTGATGGGTATTGTGTCAACTTACTCTCAAATGATTCCAGGGGGAAAAGTGCTTTGTTCTATCTTTACACTTTTCTGTAATGTTGTGATTGTCCAAAACAGTTTTGTCAAGAGAACAAAAAATCAGCATGGTTGGATCTGGCCCCTATCACAAATTACAGACTTACAATGTGCACATATGTTATTTTGTAATTGGTTTATTCAGATTCCAACAATGAGAAATGCTCCACATAAATGCCAAAGTTTGCTGTATAGCTTAAATAAACTGATCGGAAAAGAAAGGCATGTCCCATGTTACTTTCACACGTGAAAACAGGAAGTATAACTTGGTATAACCACTAGAAAAACAAACATCTATTCTGCTTTTTATTAAAACATTTTAAAAAGCCATCCATTAGGTCAATAATCAGTAAATTCAACCCATCATTTTCTTTTGCACATGTATTGGTCATGGAATTTCCAGGTAAAAATCTTATCTGACAGACAAGGTCCGCTCATGTGATTTAGTAATCTAAGGAATTCGAATCTTTGGGCCTACCCTGAGCTCCTCTTTGTGCCTTGGGGCATGGGTTCTGGGGCCTTCTTGCTCATCTGACTCATTTATTGTCATGTATCACTCCTCCCTGACATTGCTTTGTGCTGGTTACATCTTAAAAGTCTGTCTTGGAAGTAACTTCTTTTTTTTTGAGACAGAGTCTCCCTCTGTTGCCCAGGCTGGAGTGCAGTGGTGAGATCTTGACTCACTGCAATCTCCACCTCCCAGGTTCAAGCGATTCTCCACCCTCAGCCTCCCAAGTATCTGAGACTACAGGTGCGCACCACTACGCCTGGCTAATTTTTGCATTTTTAGTAGAGACGGGGTTTCACTATGTTGGCCAGGCTGGTCTCCAACTCCTGACCTCAAGTGATCTGCCTACCTCAGCCTCCCAAAGTGCTAGGATTACAGGCATGAGCCACCGCGCCTGGCCAGAAGTAACTTCTTAGGATCAGAGATCTTTAGGTACTTTGCATCCCAAATTTCTTTATTTTGTGACCAGAAGAAAATATTAAAAAGAAAAAAAAATTTTTTAAACAGTTCCATTAGAGCAAAGCATCAAAAAATCCTGTTCCATTTGAGGTAGGATGTTAGCTGCTCACACTGACCCTGATCCCCAAGGCTTCGTAGAATCCTCCTGCTCTGAAGTAGTGTCAGGCATAATTATTTTTTTGCTTTTCTTTTTTAAACTACAAGCTTTATGTGCATGGTTTGGTCCTCATGTTGCTGCCCTAGCTCCGGGGCAGATCATTATCCGAGGACACCATCTTGCATTGCACTAAGAGGTCATTATTAATGTCTCAGCAATTAAGCTCCTTCCCCCAGGCTGGTCCACTGAGGTGACACTGCGGCAACCCTGAAATCACATGTTCCATTGCAGAGAGCACTACACAATACTCTCTGGTACTTGGATGTGCTTTTCTTCTAATTTTGAATGTTGTACATTTTCCTTCCTCTTTGTTTTTGCTTCTGAGTACAACTTTGTGATGTAGTTCATGCAACGCATAGGGTGGGAAGCTGAAAGAAAAACATGTTGAAGATGAATATTTATTTTGAATAACATTGCACCCATTTACTTGAAACACTTTGATTGGATATCATATTTTTAGGTTCACATATTGCTTTATAAAAACCTAAAACTTACTGATGCATATAAATGGTCTGAAGGCATTATTATATTCTTTTTTGTTTTTCGTGGTTTTTTTTTGAGACAGGTTCTCACTCTGCCACCCAGGCTGAAGTGCAGTGGTGTGATCACGGCCCACTGCAGCCTCAGCCTCCCGGGCTCAAGTGATCCTCTAACCTTAGCCTCTTGAGTACCTGGAATTACAGGCACACACTACCATGCCCAGCTAATTTTCAAATTATTTGTAGAGACGGGGTTTCACTATATTGCCTAGGCTGGTCTCAAACACCTGGGCTCAAGTGATCCACCCGCCTCAGCCTCCCCAAATCCTGGGATTATAGGCATAAGCCACTGCACTGGCCTATACTATAATTTTTAAAGAAGTCTTACTATATAAACAATATACTGGTAAACGTGAAATAAAATATACAGATATTTCTGCTGTAAAATAATCTGTTGCTGACCATAACATATTGCCTTAGCAAAATTGCACACTAGAAATAACAGGGCTTACTGCAAAAATAGGGTCGGGGCAGATCACACTCAAGGCCTATGCAATTCTGTACAAAGAGACTAGAGATGGCCCCAGAGAATATTTTTAATATGTCCAAAACAACACAATTAAAATGCTAGATTTGAGGGTGCTAAGGCAAGGAGGATGAAAGTGAAGGCTTGAGCTCGGGAGAAAGTGAAACCCCCAGCAAACCCCTGAAGATGTACTTTTCTGGGGAGGAATCCCCTGAGTCGTGCAGGTACTCATTTTAAATATTCTTAAAGTTGGCTGGGCGTGGTGGCTCATGCCTGTAATCCCAGCACTTTGGGAGGCCAAGGTGGGTGGATCACTTGAGTCCAGGAGTTCAAGACCAGCCTGGGCAACATGGTGAAACCCCATCTCTACTAAAAATATAAAAATTAACTGGGCGTGGTGGTGCGTGCCTGTAGTCCCAGCTACTAGGAAGGCTGAGGCGGGAGGACTGATTGAGCTCGAAAGGTCAAGGCTGCAGTGACCTATGATGGCACCATGGCACTCCAGCCTGGGCAACAGAGTGAGAGACCCTGTCTCAAAAAAAAAGAAAGAAAAATTGTTTTAAAAGTTGAACTGGAAGGGCTTCCATTTTTCCAGCTAACAGACATAATTCTACTCCCACTGTTTTGGTTCTTCTTGCCTAGGAAAAACAGCTCAGGGAGCAACCCAACTCACACATGATATTAACATCATTTTCCTGTCCACCAGGTGAGTATGTGATGACGGGTATTTAGAAACAGGTGTTGCAACACAATCGACTTGGATGTTATTTACACACATTTTCCCCTCCCACCCCCAGTTTTCACACAGTCAATTCTCTTGTGTTCCTTTCCCAGCTAGTACATCTATTCATTCTTTTCAGTTCACGCTCTAGTAGGTCAAAACCTAAAGAGGCAGAGGTGTTATAAAAGACAAGCCTCCTACAAAAACCTCAGTAAAACCAATAGAATAGAGCGGCAAAACTCGCTGTATTTCTTGCAGCTCCTGGCGGGTAGAATAAGTTAGTTTGTATGGAGGAAATAATATGGTTGGAAGGTGGAATATTCTTGCTTTTCTATAGTCCTAGCTTCTGCCTTCCAGATCTTTATCAAGAATACAATCCCCAACCTCCACTTCCCATACACAATCTCCTTCCCATCCCGATTCTCTTCATTTTCTTTACATATTTTGTCTCAGGAATTGCAATGAAGTCATCCAAAGGACCTGACACATGCCTTCTTGAATTAATTGAGCCTATAGTCACTCATTTAACACAAATTTATCAACTAACCTGTGCTAGAATCTGAGGATACAGAGTAAATCTGATTACTCACCACCTAAAGGAGTATTGTAGTAGCTATGTAAAAACACCAAAAATTACAATATGGAGGAAGACGTGCTTCTATGACAAAGGTGTCATAGGATCCTCTGGTGGTCTTGGGGTATCCCTGTGTGTGACGTCAAACAGTCAAGGATGGCTTCCCAAAAGGAAGTCACCTTCTGCTACATGAACTTAACTGCTACTATTTATTTTTGCAGATGAGACTCCTTAAGTTCTACAGGATGATTTAGGAGACTTTCTAGTGCTAAAAAATCAGATTTTGATTCTTCTCCTTCTTTTTATTTATTTTTATTTTTATTTTTTTGAGGTGGAGTCCCTCTCTGTCACCCAGGTTGGAGTGCAGTGGCACGATCTCGGCTCACTGCAAGCTCCGCCTCCCGGGTTCACGCCATTCTCCTGCCTCAGCCTCCCAAGTAGCTGGGACTACAGGCTCCTGCCACCATGCCCGGCTAATTGTTTTGTATTTTTAGTAGAGACAGGGTTTCACTGTGTTAGCCAGGATGGTCTCGATCTCCTGACCTCGTGATCCGCCCGCCTCGGCCTCCCAAAGTGCTGGGATTACAGGCGTGAGCCACCGTACCCAGCCTCCTTCTTTTTAAAGGCGACTACTTAATTGCGATGGTTAATTTTAAGTGTTAAGTTGGGTGGATTAAGAAATACCTCAAATCTGGTAAAGCATTATTTTTGGGTTTGTCTATGAGGTTGTTTCTAGAGGAGATTAGTGTGTGAGTCTGAGTGGAGTAGGTGGGCATTGAGATTTGCCCTTGATGTGGATGGGCACCATCCATTCTGTTGGGGGCCCAGAAAGAACAAAATCAGAAAGAAGGCAAATGTGTTGATCTGTCTGCTGGAGCTGGAATACACTCCCTCCTCTCTCCTGGCAGCAGAACTCGAGACTCCCTAGCTTCGGATTTCAGGACTTAACGCTGGCGGTCCCCTGAGTTCTCAGGCCTTTGAACTTGGACTGAGCCAGGCTACCAGCATACCAGGGTCTCCAGTTTGCAGACCTCCTGTCCAAGGACTTGTCAGCCTCCATAATCTCATGAGCCAATTCCCCTAATAAATCCCACCTCATACACACACACACACACACACACACACACACACACACACACACACACACATATTCTGTTGTCTCTGTCTCTCTGGAGAAATCTGACTAATACATTAATGAACCTCATTGTTCAGATCTCAGGTCATACAGTTGACTTACATTGGCCATTTTTCTCTTCAGATGATGTTTCTTCATTATTTGACCTTGATCTGTAACTTTCTAGTGTGTGTTCTGAAACTTCGTTTTCTACAAAAAAAGAAAATCAAGCAACTAATTTCTGATGCCATGGACATGTAGAAATGTATATTTGAATAAGATAATACCTCTGTTACTGTGCAATAGTAGACTTACCATGCCCCTCCCATAACTCATACCTCATTAATTCAACACATAGTTTTTGATTCCTGTAGGGACTGTGCTAGGCAGTCCTGGGATTTTTATCCTTCTGTGAATAGAAGTGTCTATCATTTAATGCCAATTTCTGGATCTATGCTAGTTTCTATTGATTATACACTCTTAGACTATAGTCCCTGGAGATTCACACCCGAGTTTACTAGAAAACAAACAATTGCTTATCTGAGACAGCACTTATCAAATAGATTATGTAGTGTCTGACAGAAAGCTTTAATGGACAGAATTTCCCTTTTTTTTAGCCATTTGTTCTGGCGTCTTATAGCCCCCGTCAGGTTCCCTGCCCACTGACCTTTCTTCCATATCACATGTGCTTTCCTCAGCTTCATGATGAAGAGCTGGACTATGATGAAGAGTATGAAAATGAGGAAGGACACCAGCGTGAGCAGCAGGATGCCACTTTTCTTTCTTGCCAGTCCTAAATACTGAGGATTTGCTTCTATAAGGAAAATGAAAAAGGAGTTTAGATACTTTGGGTTTTTTTTTTTTTTTTGCCACTGGAGAATATGTAACAATACTTCTACAATGTGATATAAGCTAATAGACAGCTCAGATGAAGAGATGAGAAAGAGCTTACCCCTGAAGGTAAAGAGACTTACATTGTTCATTCTCTGAGAACAAGCAAACAGGCATACAACAAACAAGGCAATTATGTGTGATGATTTGAAAAGATTTTTTAAGTGACGTAGCTATTGGGCTAGTTATTTTTTATTTCTACAGAAAGCATATGAGAAAATCGACTTAAGTTATAGTCAGGAGATTCAAATTAGCTTTAGGAATGATTTTTAGCAAAATATAGTTAAGTAGCAAGAGGGATTGTTAAGGAGTTTAAAAAACTATCCAAATAAAATGAAAATTTATTTATCTTGGTTAGGTTAAATGTGGCCCTACAGGAAGGCATTTGGGCTAAATCAGATGAGCTTGTGAAAATATTTCTAGCCAGGTGCAGTGGCTCATGCCTGTAATCCCAGCACTTTGGGAGGCTGGGATGGGAGGGTTGCTTGAGGCCAGGAGTTTGAGACCAGCCTGGGCAACATAGTGACACTTTGTCTCTACAAAAATAATAATAATAAAAAATTAGCCAGGAGCAGTGGTGCACACCTGTAGTCCTAGCTACTTGGGAGACTGAGGCAGAGGATCACTTGAGTCCAGGAGTTTAAGGTTACAGTGAGCTATGACTGTGAAACTGCACTCCAACCTGGGAGACAGATGAGACCTGTCTCTTAAAAAAAAAAAAAAAGGCTTTCTAAACCTAGAATTCTGATTCTATGGGCTGTAGTCTTGCTAAATGTCCTAGTCACCTCATCTTAACCAATGAATAATTAAGGAGTGCCAGCTATGTGTAGAACATTGTGCTTGGACCTACAGAAGGCACAGTTCACATGCTTTGGGGATTAGCTGTCTCTATATATAAACAAATTAATAAAAACAAACAAAAGTAAGATATGTCAAATTCTGGATCCATATGTATTTATATCATAGTGTGTTCAGGGGTTCAGAGGCAAGAATGGTCTCTGAGGGTTGAGTTGGTCAAAAAAGTTTTCAGTGAAGATATTGGCCTTGAAGAGGGAGTAAGGAGAGGTGAGAGGAGGTCTCCTCTTCCACCAGGGGCAGTGAGGATAAACAAGGGCAGGGCGATTGAAAAGGGTTGATGTTTTCAGAGAAAAATATGTATCTCATAAGGACTTTGTAGATATGAGACTGCAGAAGTAGGTAATAGATGGCACCTAATGAGGTGTTTGGGACTCATGCTCTGTGTTGTAGACTTCAGGAAGCTATAAAGGGTTTTAGAACACAGGTATGCAGATAAAGAGATATTTTGATGGTAGGGTGCTAAAAGTGAACCAGAGGAGGAGAAACTGAAGTTATAATACTCCATGCAGGAGATGATGAGAGCCTGGATTGGGACGTTAACAGTGACAATGGACAAAATACCTGAAAGACAAGACTCAAAAGTTCTTGGAAATTGACTGATTTTATATACGTGTGTGCATATGCATATACATATACACATAGATATATTTGTACACATACATAGGAGTGATAGATAACACCAAGGTTTGGGACCCGTGTGTTGCTTTGGGGCCTGTGTGATGCTTTGGACAAGCTGATTTTGTGGGAGAAGGTGCTGTTTGGTATTTAGCAATGTTGAGTTTGGGGAAATCACAGAAAATTCAGCTACAGATACATAGAAAATGGAAAGAAATTGGGAGCAATGCTGAGGAGGATGTTCTGGAAATATAGGTATAGAAATCTTTTGCTTACTGGGCACAGTGGCTCACACCTGTAATCCCAGCTATTTGGGAGGTGGAGGTAGGAGATCTCTTGAGCCCTGGAGTTCAAGGCTGCGGTGAACATGATCGTGCCCCTGCACCCTGGCCTGGGAGACAGAGAGAGACCCTGTCTCTAAAA
The DNA here is from genome assembly GCF_000001405.40 of Homo sapiens. Lineage (NCBI taxonomy): Eukaryota > Metazoa > Chordata > Mammalia > Primates > Hominidae > Homo > Homo sapiens. The sequence goes on along the minus strand of NC_000011.10, from coordinate 122,865,435 downwards.
ACAAAACAAAACCAGAAAAAAAAAAGAGAGAAATCTTTTGCCTAGTGGCAACAGGAACCATCTTGGGAATGAGTAAACTCTTTAAAAAATAAGGGAAGAACAGCCGGGCGCGGTGGCTCACGCCTGTAATCCCAGCACTTTGGGAGGCCGAGGCAGGCAGATCACCGGAGGTCGGGAGTTCAAGACCAGACTGACCAACATGGATAAACCCCATCTCTACTAAAAATACAAAATTAGCTGGGGTGGTGGCGTGTGCCTGTAATCCCAGCTACTCGGGAGGCTAAGGCAGGAGAATCACTTGAACCCGGGAGGTGGAGGTTATAGTGAGCTGGGATTGCACCACTGCACTCCAGCCTGGGCAACAAGAAAGAAACTCTGTCTCACAAAAAAAATATATATATATAAAAAAAAGGGAAGAACAAAAGATGGAGAAGTAAAATCAGAAGTACATACACATTTAAGAAGTCAGAAGAGGAAGATAAGTTAATTAATGGATACAGAGAAGCAGTGGTTAGCAACAAATAACAGAACCAGGAAAAGTATGTCAAGAAGCCGAGAGGTAACTAAATCAAGGAGGGACAAGGGAGTGATTAACCAATCATGTCCTAAAGGGCAGAAAGGTCAAGAAAAGGGAGGACTGACAAAGGCCATTGAATTTATCGATTAAGAGGTTAAAATGTCGAGTGTTTATTCTAAATGCAGTGGGTGACACTTACCGGTGGTCAAGTCAGGATCTTGAGTGGTTTGTTCTTTCTCTTCCTTGTCAATCTCCGATGTACTAGAATCTTCCGTTACTGAGACTAAAGTGAAAGAAGATAAAACATGAGCTATGCATGCATTATATACATGTGACTACATACAACTGTAGTTACGTAAGTCTTCCCAGAGCAGCTTGGGAAGCCAAATTTAAAAACAGTACTGAGATCATTTGTGAACTATGGATTTCTTGCAAACATAATTGCAAATGGCTAGGCTCACTTTGCCTTATTTTTTTAAGGTAAATGTTTTGGGCATTTACTCTGTGCCTGGCCTTGAACTGAGCACTTGGTATATATTATTTCTCACCACAGCTCTGAGAAAACGGAGGTTTAGAGCAGTTATGTAAAGTACCTAAAGTCCTGTAGCAAATAAGTGGCAAAGCCAATACATAAACTCTGTTTTACCTAACTCTAGAGCCCAGCATTTAAACCATTATTTCATATTTCCATCCTGAATCAGGCCTATTAGGGAGAAGGTCTTTAGGATGCTTCAAGATAACAACTGAACACCGAGGAACGGCATTCCAAGCTTTAATTATAGAAAACCTACAGCCTGAAATTTATGTTGAAATATAGCTTCAGTTATTCAAACCTCTGCTTGCCTCCCCATTAGAAGTGGGATGTACTATGATGTTTTTTCTAGATAAGATAAATTATAAAAAATCAGAAACTGTGTGGTTTTTTTTTCCAGATTTTACTGCTGATGTTTCCAATTTCCTTTTTTCTCTCTGCAGTTTCTTGCTTTTTAGTCCATTGCACAGCGCCACTATGTGGACCCCGAGGGGAATGAAGCCTCCCATTCTATTGAAAATGGGTATTAAATGTAATAAAATCGTAGAAATGGAAAGCTGAAAGGAATTTTAGAAACCCTATTTTAAAAGTCTTATATATGAAAAAGCAGAGCAGAAAATTGAGTTGCTCAGTAGCAAGCCGTTAAAGATTACTAGATTCTAAACACGTTTACAAATATTGGATTATTAAAGCAAGTGATGTGGCTGTTCCACTTCATAATATTTTCAATTTCCATTGTCCTTCAAAAAATTGTATGGTACATGTTGTATTTATCAGTGTTTAGAAATCCCAAACATTTACTTTTAAATATTATTTAGGATACAAATTTTTAAAAATATGATCTGATACTCAGAACTATGAACATGATAATGCTCTGAAAGCCCTTATTCCAACAAATGAAATTATTATTGACACATTACATGAAATGGAAAGAGAATATGTAGGAATTTATGCCTTTCTGGATGAGGCTAATAGTCTTGCTCAAAGCACCATAACCAATTCTTTCTTTCTTTCTTTTTCTTTCTTTCTTTCTTTTTCTTTCTTTCTTTCTTTCTTTCTTTCTTTTTCTTTCTTTCTTTTCTTTCTCTCTTTCTTTCTTTTTCTTTCTTTCTTTTTCTTTCTTTCTTTTCTTTCTCTCTTTCTTTCTTTCTTTCTTTCGTAATTCATTTTCTGAGAAGCTGCTATTGCTGGATACTATGCTAGGTAAAATACAAAGTTAAATTAGATATACAATCATTGCTCTGAGTTAACCTCTAGTGAGTTCACTGTCTAAAAAATTGGAATTATAATCCAGGCTTTCTAAATTATTCTGTATTTGTAGTTCAATCCCATCATCAAAAATGACCTGAGTTATTGACAATCAAGTAATTGATGTGCCTTCAGAGGTGATTTTGTTATTCAATGACAACACCAAATCTCCAGCTTCTGCTTCTTTTCTCTTTGTTGATACCAAGTCTGTGTTTTGTGTTTGGTGTGCTTCAGATGGGAAAACAAAGAAACGAGTCTCTCTATAAATGAATTCAACTTTGTCCTTTACTGCAGAGGAAATTCAAATGTCACAGTCGTGAATGTGTGTGTGTACATGTGTACATCTCTATCTCAGGCAAACTAGAACTGAACTTGCAAAGCTTTATGTCAGCCTGAAGCCCATCCCACTAAGTATTCCGATGCCTGATGTGGTTCTTCTCTAGGATGGTACAAAGCTGGAGCCAGTTGGAGGGGCCTGTATGGTCTTAGTAAAAATTAAAACAAAAAATATTCTTAAAACTTAGAATGAGAAAAATAACCTTCCCAAGGAAACGTGATTTTTTAAAAACAAGTTTGAATGATTTTGACACTTACCAGTACTGGTGGGCTGCTGTGGGTCTTGAGAGGATAGAGAGTTTCTCTCCAGAGCATCTGAAGCTGTCTCTTCATCAGTAACTAGGAAAGGGGAAAAACAAAATTCTGCTACTATAGAGAGCAGTTTTACCCACATTGTGCTCAGTAAAAGAGATTGGAGAATATATTTAGCGGCTACCTGCTTGTAGAGGTTGTGCAGAAACCCCAGAACTGTGTGTTCTGTGGCTCCTGCTCTGGTTTTTGAATCTGTATCCCACTGAGTGTCCATCTGCTCACCTGCCTGGCTTAAAGCACAGCATGCTGGACCTCTGTGTGGTGGCAGTGGTAGGCAAAGAGTATTCACTGTTTCTATCTGTGTCCTTCTATCCATCAATCAATCCCTCTGTCTGTTTATCTACCCATCCACCTATCTATCTACCTATTAGATGGCTTTGGAATCAGCCTCAGACTGGGCTGAATTCCAGTGCTGCTATTTACCTGCTCCTGAATGAGTTGGACAAGATACCCGACCTAGCACTTTTTTTTCTCTTATCTGTAAAATGGAGATACTGACAGCATTTACCTCTTCGAGTGTTTTGTGAGAATTAGTAAGTTCATTTATATAACATGTTTAGTACAATGCCTAGCTATTTATGAAGCACAGTGCTAAATGTTATTGTATAACATTAATCAATGCTTAGGAATGTTTCCAGAGGGTCAGCCTAGTATAGGTTTTACCAGTCATTGAACAGGTTTTACCAGCCACATCCAGGAAGCATGTAATAACTGTGCCTGTCACTTTACAAATACTAACACTGACATGTCGGGTGGGCACAGTGGCTCACACCTGTAATCTCAGCACTTTGGAAGGCTGAGGTGGGTGGATCGCCTGAAATCAGGAGTTCAAGACCAGCCTGGTCAACATGGTGAAACCCCATCTCTACTTTAAATACAAAAAACTAGCCGGGCGTGGTGGTGTGTGTGTGTTTGTAATCCCAGCTACTTGGGAGGCTAAGGCAAGAGAATTGCTTGAACCTGGGAGGCAGAGGTTGCAGTGAGCCAAGATGGCACCACTGCACTCAAGCCTGGGCGACAGAGCGAGGAGACTCCCTCTCAAAAAAAAAAAAAAAAAAAAAAAAAAAAAATATATATATATATATATATATATATATATATATACGTATATGTATGTGTGTGTGTGTGTATATATATATATACTGACACGTCACAGGTGGTTCATGTTTTTATAAAATTTGTGAGTGCTTCTTGGTGTTTATTTAATCAAATAATTTTCCATGGTTTTGAAAACATATCTGGTTAATCAAACATTCAAACTGTATGAAAAATATAAAAATACCTGAATTGTGTGTAAGGGCTCTGAGGAAAGAAAGAATTACTAAGGAAACATTATAGAGATAATAGTATAGACTATAAGGCTAAAATGAACTCTGACCACACAGGTGCCAGAGAAAATTGAAGAAAGAGGAGAGCTGCTGGCAATGAAAAGAGGGAAAAGCTGGAATGCTAGTCAAATAGAAGTACTGGGAATAAATTTTAAGAAGAATATGGGGCCGGGCACAATGGTTCATGCCTGTAATCCCAGTTCTGTGGGGGGCCGAGGCAGGCAGATTGCTTAAGCCCAGGAGTTTGAGACCAGCCTAGGCAACATGGCAAGACCCCATCTCTACAAAAAAATAGCTGGGCATGGTGGTGCGCCCCTGTAGTTCCAACTACTCAGGAGGCCAAGGTAGGAGGATCATCTGAGCCCAGAGAGGTCGAGGCTGCTGTGAACCGTGATTACACCATTGCGCTCCAGCCTGGGTGACAGAGTGAGACCCTGTCTCAAAATTTTAAAAAAGAAGAAGGACATCACTGGGGACATATAGAATAAAATTTATCAATAGTGATTTAAATCTTCTAACATAGTATATACTATGTGAATTCAGAAAATTATGTTTATGTACAAAACAAGTTTTATCTATACATATTTAAAACTAGACTCTGTATTTACTTTGATTTATCCTGTTAATTAACAAGCTAGCAAACTATTGCATTTAGACTGAATGTTGTTTTAATTGGGTGGATACTGGCACATGATGATCTACCCCCCTAGTTGGTCAGAATATTGTAGACCTCTGCTATCCAATATGGTATGCACTAGCTCCAACGACTATTTAAATTAAAATTAATTAAAATGAAAATATATTAAAAATTTAGGCCAGGTGCAGTGGCTCACACCTGTAATCCTAGCACTTTGGAAGGTGAAGGCGGGCAGATCACCTGAGGCCGGGAGTTCAAGACCAGCCTGGTCAACATGGTGAAACCTGACTCTACTAATAAAAACACAAAAACTAGCTGGGCATGGTGGTGGGCACCTATAATCCCAGCTACTCAGGAGACTGAGGTGGGAGTATTGCTTGAACCTGGGAGGCAGAGGTTGCAGTGAGCTGAGATAGCACCATTGCACTCCAGTCTGAACGACAAGAGCAAGACTCCATCTCAAAAAATAAAATAGCTCCTCATTTGCAATAGTCACACTTAAAGTTCAAATTTCGGACAACTTGTATCCACCACTGTGAGTTTGACAACCTCCAAATGCTTAAAGATTTCTGATGAGATCGGTGATGATATTAATGAATGTGATTTTGATGCTGAAATATATCAACATTGGAAAGTTCTGTAGAACTTAGTGAATCAGTATTTTCCAAATGACTAAAACATAATGTTAGAAAAATCATGCCTGGGTAAAAATTCTAAGCAAAGTGTAAGACAGTTCAGTGGGTTTTAATATAACAGTATGAAAAGTTCATTGACATGGGCCCAGAGTCCACATAGCAACTAATCTTTAAGAAACTACTACTTGTTGAGTTTTGGTGTAACATCAAAGAAGAATAGCCACAATTATCTGAACCAGCTATTAAAATATTCTACCCTTTTCCAATTATATATTTGTGTGAGATTGAATTTTTATATATTTATTTAAAGCAAAATAACATTTTGGAAGAGATCGAATGCAAAAGTTACAAGAACCTAATTGTTTTCCGTTAAGCTAGACATTTATGAGATTTTCAAAATGTAAAAAAATGACATTTTCACACTAATCTTTTCAGTGTTACAAAATATACTTTTTTTTTCATTAAAATATGTCATTTCTGGGCCGGATGCGGTGGCTCACGCCTGTAATACCAGCACTTTGGGAGGCCGAGGCAGGTGGATCACCTGAGGTCAGGAGTTCAAGATCAGCCTGCCCAACATGGCGAAACCCCATGTCCACTAAAAATACAAAAAAATTAGCCAGGTGTGGTAGCAGGAGCCTGTAATGCCAGCTACTCAGGAGTCTGAGGCAGGAGAATCACTGGAACCCAGGAGGCGGAAGTTGCAGTGAGCTGAGATCGGGCCACTGCACTCATCTCAAAAAATAAGTGCACTCCATCTCAAAAAATAAAATAAAAACAAATATGCCATTTCTGTTAACATGTAGCAGATTTATTATTTTAAAATAAATTGACAGATACATATTTTTTTAATTTCTCAGTTTTAATTTCTAATAGGTAAATATTGACAGACATCACCTATATAAGTAAAAGTTCTTTGGGGTTCTCGATTATTTTTAAGATTGTAGAGAGGTCCTGAAATCAAAAGTTTGAGAACTGTTTTTCAAATATTTAAAAAATCCTATCCCCAGGTAAGTAATAGAAAACCAAGATTCCGCATTTTAAATACTAAAAAGATGAAATAAACCAGGTGCAGTAGCTCACGCCTCTAATCCCAGTGCTTTGGGTGGCCGATGAGGGAGGATTACTTAAGCCCAGGAGTTCAGACCAGCCTGGGCACCATAATGAGATTCTGTCTCTATAAAAAATTTTAAAATTAACCAGGTGTGGTGTGTGCACCTGTAGTCCCAGCTACCCAGGAGACTGAGGTGGGAGGATCACTTAAGTCTGGGAGGTAGAGGCTGCAGCGAGCTATGATTGCACTACAGCACTCCAGCCTGGGCTACAGAAGGAGACCTTGTCTCAACAAGAACAACAAAAAGAGCCAGGTGTGGTGGTTCATGCTTGTAATCCCAACACTTTGGGAGGCAGGCAGAGGTTGAGGGATCGCTTGAGCTCAGGAATTCAAGACCAGGCTGAGTAACATGGCGAAACCCCATACCTACAAAATATATGAAAATTAGCAGGGCGTGGTGGCTCATGCCTGTGCTCCCAGCCACCCCGGAGGCTGAGGCAGGAGGATCAACTTGAGCCTGGGAGGCAGAGGTTATAGCGAGCCAAGACTGTGTCACTGCCTTCCAGCCTGGGCAACAGAGTGAGACCGTCTCAAGAAAAGAAATAAATAAATGATAATTCTGAAATCTGGGTGAGGTGGCTCATGCCTGTAATCCCAGCACTTTGGGAGGCCAAAGAGGGAGAATTTCTTGAGCCTAGGAGTTTTGAGACCAGCCTGAGCAACATAGGGAGACCCCGTCTCAGCAAAAATTTAAAAATTAGCCAGATGTAGTGGTGCATGCCTGTAGTACTAGCAACTTGAGGGGCTGAGGTGGGAGGACTGATTGTGAACCTGGAAGATTGAGGCTGCAGTGAGCCGCGATCACACCACTGCACTCCAGCTTTGGTGAAAGAGTGAGACCCTGTCTCAAAAAACAAAACAAAACATAAAAACAAAGATAGCCTATTCAAAAATCAATTCCTGTTGCTCTACTCTCTTTCTCGAAGCATCACACTGTGGCTTTTTCAGAGGAAGGCACTTCTTTCCTCAGGACCACCCTAGTCCTGGTGCTGGCATGACCCTCACTTTACCCAGGTCCTTCCATGCAGAGCACAGGAATGAAAGGGGTCAGAACCCTTATGTGTAAATGTGTTTTAAAGCATCCTCAGCTAGTAATATTTTTTACCTAATTGGGTGAACAAAATGTTTGTAACATCTATATGTCAATATAGTAGCAGCTAGCCAAATGGAAGAAACAATGAACTAATGGAAGCTATCAACAGCTGATGCTGGCGTTTCTCTTTGAATACTATTTGGAGATCTGGCAATGAGTACAGCAAATAGATCACAAATAAAAATTAAGTCTTAGCCTATTATTCTTATTATTATGAGACAGAGTCTCGCTCTGTTGCCCAGGCTGGAGTGCAGTGGCGTGATCTCAGCTTACTGTAAACTCCGCCTCTCGGGTTCAAGCGATTCTTGTGCCTCAGCCTCCCAAGTAGCTGGGATTACAGGCGTCCACAATCATGCCCAGCTGATTTTTTTATTTTTAGTAGAGATGGGGTTTTGCCATGTTGGCCAGACTGGTCTCGAACTCCTGACCTCAGGTGATCTGCCCGCCTCGGCTTCCCAAAGTGCTGGGATTACAGGCGTGAGCCATTACGCCTGGCCTTAGCCTATTATTAAAAACATCTTTAGCTATAATTTTGAGTCATACAGAGCTATAGCCGTAAAGGTGGAGAACTGCCATTTCCCCCTTCATAGTAATTTTTGTAGATGGCTTGAACAATTGCTGAAAATTAAGAATGCATTTTTTTCGACATTGTTGGTTCTCCTATTGAAGAACCTGAATGTCTTTAGGAAGCTTTTAGATACAGGCTCATCCCCCACATGCCCTATGCTTCAGTTCTACTGCTGGAGGTGGAGGCGTGGGGTGGGGATGACTCACAGAGGGGTGGGGGTGGTTGTGTAAGGTTACTGTACAGCTCGGTCTGTAGGTCCATGAGTCTTACAGTGCAGCTTCTGCAATGACTACTTTTGGTTTGGTGAGAAAGTGACCCATGGAAAGTTTGTGGTAGTCAGAGGGGGCCTGTTAACCGCAGCCACAGCCCCCACAGGGCATCACGGCAGCTTTCCCACAGTGAGGTTCTCCTAAGCAAGCTTGCCTTTCAGCATCAGCGATTTCGTCTGATAAAAGAGCTTTTTCAATAAATGCATTGTCATCCAACAGTTTCCTCTTTCACTGATGTGAGTAATTCCTTATACTTTAGGATTTGATTACACAGAGAAGTACCTTGTAAAACAGTGAAACTCAGAGTCCTACTAATTGCAGACTTCTTACAGGACTCATGCATCTTAAAGGATACCTCTTGGCTCAAAGAGTTGTGTACAGTTTTAAAATTATTTCTTGGACTTTTGGGGAAAGAATCATAGAATAGAGGTTCTGAGAATGGAGGCAACTCCTCTTCACATTTAATATTGGATGTTTAAAATGGTGTTCAACTCAGAATATTAACATGGTTAAACTAAAATCTTCAAAGCAATTATAACAATAAAATAAATCTAAACAGGAATTATGTCTTCATGTATCTGTGTGTTTCATATTCACATAAAATGATATTGACAATTTAGGTTTATTTCAGCTAACATTATCTCCTTCTGGGTCAAGTACAAAGATGCAGTATGATTCATATGATTACTCCAAAAACACAACAGCAATAAAACGATTTAAAGTCATTATCAAAAAGCAAGCATGACACTATTTGCATATGGCGCTGTGCTAGGCTTTCTGCTCAACTGGGGTTCTTTTGAACATTGGAATAGTTGGAATTCCGTCACTCACCTGGAGAAATTTCAATCAGTACAGGAATTTGCTATTAGGAAAGCTTTGTTGGCAGTAATCTTAATCTGAAGGACTCTGCCCACTGCATTTAATTTTGTTTGATAGTGTAATATTAAAGTAAATCAAAAATTATTCAAGAGAATCATTAGTTCTTCTTACCCAAATCTTCAAACCGGAAGGGTGCTACTAGTTTTCTCCCTTGCAGGCCTCTGTGTCGGATAATGCAGTCCACCGTTGAATTTTTGCCATAAGTGTGGATTATGAGAGTGCTGGTAGTATTACATTTCTTCCCATCAGTTTCAAATTCATGGAGCGTTCCACCTATGTAGCAATTTGAAGAGGTTATGGCTATTTAATGCTACTGGATGAGGTTGGTTCTATTAGAGGCCAATGGCCTTGACTTCATGGCAAACATTAGATTTCTAACCTCATTCTAACCTCAGCCAGTTCCCTTGTATAGGCTTGGTTCTGGTCACAAAGGCAAACAGATGAATGAGAGTAGATGATGGTTTTCTACAAACTTTTCACTACTGGAAAAAAAAATTCAAAGCTTAAGAAGGACAGCTTGATGTTGTTATGAAACACAAAGATCCAAGACCTTATTCTGGTTATATGAATAAGGCGAATTAAAGGGAAGTCTTATAATGAAGTAGAATTGGCACTGCCCTGGGAATCAGATCTGGGTTTAGGTCTTTTCTCTCTAGAACTCCATTTGGCCCTCAGTGTTCTCAACTGTAAAGGGTCCTTTGCAACTCTAAGAATGTTGATTACAGGCCGGGCGCAGTGGCTCACGCCTGTAATCCCAGCACTCTGGGAGGCCGAGGCAGTTGGAACACCTGAGGTCAGGGGTTCGAGACCAGCCTGGCCAACATGGTGAAACCCTGTCTCTACTAAAAATACAAAAATTAGCTGGGTGTTGTGGCATGCACCTGTAATCCCAGCTACTCCAGAAGCTGAGGTAGAAGAATCGTTTCAACCCAGGAGGCAGAGGTTGCAGTGAGTCAAGATCGTGCCACTGCACTGGGAGACAGAGTGAGACTCCATCTCAAAAAAAAAAGATGGTTGATTACATAGATATCAAAGGTAATGTCTGTTGAAATGTAAGCAAACTATAAACAGTACCCAGACACCATAATTAATTAGTTATTCTGTTTCAAAGGCTCAACCTTTAGGTGCTTTGTTACAAGAATATTTTTAATCTGTTCTTGTGGGTATGACACAATATAGTACTATACAATATAGGGAAGATCATATCTGTTCCAATTATATGTATTATGTTAAATATATTTTCGATTTTATATCTGGGAAAAAGTTTATGCTCACAGATATTATACTTCTTCTTTTTTTTTTTTTTGATAGAATTTTGCTCCTGTTGCCCAGGCTGGAGTGCAATGGTGTGATTTTTGGCTCACACCACAACCTCCACCTCCTGGGTTCAAGCAATTCTCCTGCCTCAGCCTCCTGAGTACAGGCATGCACCACCAAACCCAGCTAATTTTATTTTTAGTAGGGACGAGGTTTCTCCATGTTGGTCAGGCTGGTCTCGAACTCCTGACCTCAGGTGATCCACCCACCTTGGCCTCCCAAAGTGCTGGGAGTACAGGCATGAGCCATTGTGCCTCGCCTGAGATATTATACTTCTGTATTATACTTATTTTAGACAATTTTGTGAAATTTTAAGAAGTCATTATAGTTCACTTTAGATTTTTACCTGTTTTAAACAAAAACATTTTCAATATCTATGATTAGCCTTTCAAGATTAAGGCATAAAATTGATTGGTTGTAAGAATAACTTGTCTGGAAAAGAGCTGATGAAATATTAAATGATGTCTTCTGGCATTGTCTGCCACTAGAGGGTGCCAAAACATTTAAAAATCCCCTGGAAATTTGAGTAGGAAGGAAGACAAAGAGAACCATTTCTCCCCTTACCGGACACTTCCATGCTATTCCCAAGTAGCCAGGTTATCTGCGGAGGGGGCTTGCTTCTCATGGTGGAGCACATGAGTACAACATGTTCTTCTCCATTTTGCTTTCTGATAACTGAAGCTTCCAGGATTGGCTTGAAAGGAGTTGCTAGAACAAAATGGATTTTTCTGTGTTAATTAGATATGAGTCTGCATATCTCAACAAAGCACAGAGGCTAATAATCTGTAGGTGATTGTTATAGGGTATACTCTAATTAATGGGCTTTCTTTTTTTTTTTAGACTTAGTCTCCGTCGCCCAGGCTGGAGTGCAGTGGCACGATTTCGCCTCACTGAAACCGCCACCTCCCAGGTTCACGCAATTCTCCTGCCTCAGCCTCCTGAGTAGCTGGGATTACAGGCACCCGCCATCACACCCAGCTAATTTTTGTATTTTTAGTGCAGATGAGATTTCTCTGTGGCCAAGCTGGTCTCGAACTCCAGACCTCAATTGATCCGCCCGCCTCCACCTCCCAAAGTGCTGGGATTACAAGTGTGAGCCACTGCGCCCGGCCCATATTTTTTAACTTAATCTCTTCCAGAATACAGTCATGTTAAAGGGCTTTCATGTGCTTGCAAAGCTACTTTGGCTGAAGCCAGAATGTGTATTACTCAGTGTGTTGTTAGTCTCTGAAAATTCCCGAACAAGCAATGTAGCAACAATTCTTAAAATGTGGTATATGAGGCCGGGCGAGGTGGCTCACGCCTGTAATCCCAGCACTTTGGGAGACCAAGGCAGGCAAATCACGAGATCAGGAGATCGAGACCATCCTGGCCAACCAACATGGTGAAACCCCATCTCTACTAAAAATACAAAAATTAGCTGGGCATAGTGGTGCACGCCTGTAGTCCCAGCTACTCGGGAGGCTGAGGCAGGAGAATCGCTTGAACCTGGGATGGGGAGGTTGTGTGCAGTAAGCCGAGTTTGCGCCACTGCACTCCAGCCCGGGCAACAGAGCAAGACCCCATCAAAAAAAAAAAAAGGTGCATTTATCTTATAAAGGGCATGTTCGTCCTTTTTCTTTATACTTCTGTCTTGGAAATACTTTTTAGTTAGGCTTGCTTCTTCCTGTTTCCCATTCTACTTCCACTTCAGTCCAGAACTGAGCTCTTCCCCATTTACTTAACTCACCCATCTGCCATCAAGACCTTATAAAGGCACTTCTTAGCTCCAAATATACATTAGATGTGTTACTTGTTGGCAATACGAAGATGAAAAAGGTATGATTCAAGGAGCTAATAGTCTGGTGTGGCTTCAGCCCCTAAACTGTTAATGAAAAGATTATGTGTTGAGAGCAATGACAGAGTATACATGGGGTGTTATGAGAGCCCAGAAGGGCACACAAGCAGCTGAGCCAGGATGTGTGCTCCCTTACAAAAAGACAACGCTGAGCTGAGTCACAATGGTTCTCAAACCCCTCCCCGAGAGCCACTCCTTCTCAGCTACTTTCCCATCATGCCTTTACCGTATGGCAGGCACCACACTGCAGTAATTCAACAGGAGAAGTCTAAGACATTCATTTGTGTGATATGTGAGATGATGTTACTTAGAGATCAATAAAAAGCAATGTTTTTAATCGATCTGTTCTGCCACAAAAAACAAAACAAGTAAGGATAGACATACTGGACACAGTTGACCATCTGTAGAACTGAGTAAGTCCCAGGTAATTAGGAGGCTGTCACTTCCTATCCGCACCTCCCAATCCCGCCCTCCTACAGAAAAGAGGAATTGTTTGGCAGAGAGGATTTGAGCAGATCAAGCAGTGCAGCTACATCTGAATTCATTCTATCTTAGGATTTGCTGTCATGAGGTTCCACTTCATTTGCATACATGTTTTTCTTCCTGAGCTGGTGCGCAAACTCCTTATGGGCAGAGATTGTGCCTAATTCATCTCTGATTCCCGAGAACCTCACATGGTGCCTGGCGCATAGTCGCAGCTCATCAAATATCAATTTTTCTTTTCTTTTAGTTCCCTGGAGAGAAAATTTAGTTGCTGTCAAAGACAAATTTCACAAGTTCACAGTTCAATCTTGGTCTTGCTTCTCAAAATGCTCTCTTCTGTTTCCTTTCAATAAAAGATGGCAGAGGTGTCCCAGGCAATTCCTTGCTCTAGGCAACATTTTTAAACTAAAAGGTTCAGTTTAAAAACGACATATCGTGTTCCTATCCATATTGCTCCCCTACTGGGTTCACTTGCAGGTACCTACCCAGCACAATCACTTTCACTTCCTTTGTGCTTACAGAGTCGCTGTAATGTAAGCACTTGTACACGCCTTCATCTTGCAGGGTTACGTTAGGCACAGTGATGGAGAGCTGATTGGCCGAGTGATGAAGAAGCTGGTATTTGGAATTTTTTAAAGCTGTACAAGAGGGAAATAGAGCTGTTATGAGGAAAGATATCCGATGAATCGTTGGCCTCTACCCAGTAGATGCCAGAAGCACTGCCCCGCTTTCTACATTTGGCACAATCAAAACTATCTCCAGACATTGTCCTATCTCCACGGGAAGGTAAGATCATTCCGGGTGGGGAACCACTGAGCTAGATCAAGCCATTCTGCTGCAGAAATCCGAGAGAGTCCCTCTTCTCCCAGTGTACCAAAACCAGAAACAAAACAACAAAAAGCATTATGTAACAGAATTATCTCTATTTAAAATTTTTTTCTCTCAGAACTTTTAACAATTAGTATTTACTTCTAGTTGATTTAGCTTGAAATAATATATTTCTTTATGTTAACATATCAGTATCTAATAATGCTTTCAAAGCATAACTTTTTTTTTTTTTTTTTAGAGACAGAGTCTTGCTCTGTTGCCCAGGCTGGAGTGCAGTGGCACTATCTCAGCTCACTGCAACTGTCATCTCCCAGATTCAAGTGATTCTCCTGCCTCAGCCTCCCCCAATAGCTGGGATTACAGGAGTGCTCCACCACGCCCAGCTAATTTTTTTGTATTTTTAGTAGACACAGGGTTTCATAATATTGGCCAGGCTGGTCTTGAACTCCTGACTTCAAAATGATCGGCCAGCCTCAGTCTCCCAAAGTGCTGGGATTACAGGCATGAGCCACCACGCCCAGCCAGCATGATATGCTTTAAGAGGCTCTGCTTTATAAATAAGACTGAAATGTGTTTTAGACTTTTCCAAGTATTTGGCAGTTAGCAATATTAAATGGAGACATAAAATGATCTAGGGTTTAGTAAAACCCTGCCTAACGTCAAAGAGATGAACCCAAGAGATTCTTAAGAGTCTTTTTCCATCTCAGACATCTTGTACTTTCTTCATGTGTGTTTGTGAAAAGAGAAATGACTGTCCTCATTTCCAAATTAATACATCCTGTCTATTTCTATTGCTTAAAAATCTTGATTTTATGTTAAGACCAACAGGAGAAGAAGAGCTATCTGGAAAGGAGCTTTGTAATGTGCCTTTGGATTGCTCAGATGGAAAACGAAGCAGCTGGCTTCTTATCTGGGGTGGTGGTGGTTGCATGAGGATCGGGCTCCCAGTCAGTTGGTTGCCTGTCTGTCATTGTGCTGTGGTTGTGTGATAGTTACTGAGAGTGAAAAAGTGGTGTGAGTGTGGGGTGGGGACATGGAAATGTGCTTTGTAATCTGAACCCCCTTTAACAACCATTCTGGTGGGGTTTCCATTTCACAGTTCCTGCCCCCAGCAAGCCACTGCGTGTAAAATAACAGGATTTGGAGGCGTGATTCATGTGTAACAGTAGGTGGGCTGAGCCCACCCCTTGGGTGACTCATGCAGGCTTTCTGTCCCACCAAACTGTCCGGCTGGAAAAACCCTCAGGTTAAGGTCTGGTGGCATTTTTTCTTTCTTTCTTTCACTTACCAGGATACTCATTTAAAAAAATGGTGAACCCTGAGGGGGTCAGCCACTGGAGGGAGGAGTTCTTCCTCAGAGAAGTGACACACTTTAGAGTGAGCGTCTGGCCTTCCTCCACGGTGATGGTTTCTGTGTGGTTAGTCAGAGAGGCCTCTGTGGAGGAAGAGAAATGGGGATGATCAGGCCGGGGGTCCACAGTGTCTCAGGGATTTTGTCTCGTTCATTCATTCAATCATGTATTATCTATTTCTTCTAGAAACCAAAAAATAAGCAAATACAAACAAAATGGGAGGGGAGAGGCAAGAACTGAGAGTAGGAGCAGTAATGATATCTCTTGAAGAAGGGGACCCTGGAATCAGGTCTGAAGGAAGGGGTAGGATTTTGACAGAAGACAGGGAAGGTCAAACTACAGTTCAACAGGTTTTGGGCGATTGCTCTGCCATATGCCAGGAACTGTACCAGGCCATTTACCTGTATTGAATTTAATTTTTTTTTTTTGAGACAAAGTCTCACTCTGGTTGCCCAGGCTGAAGTCCAGTGGCACAATCTCAGCTCACTACATCCTCCGCCTCCTGGGTTCAAGCGATTCTCATGCCTCAGCCTCCCAAATAGCTGGGATTACAGACACGTACCACCAAGCCTGGCTAGTTTTTGTGTTTTTAGTAGAGACGTGGTTTTACTATGTTGGCCAGGCTGGTCTCGAACTCCTGACCTCAAGTCATCTGCCCACCTCGGCCTCCCAAAATGCTGGGATTACAGGTGTGAGCCACAGCACCCAACCCGAATTTAATTTTCAAACTAACCCTAGAAAGGAAGAATTGTGCTCACTTTACAGACGAGGGAATAGAGGCTCAAGGTAACAGAGGTCATTGAGCTGGGATCTGTACCCAGGGCTGTGGATGGCAAAGGCCGTGTTTATGTAACTACATCAGCCTATCTAAGCCACAAGGCCCCAGAAAATGCAACCTTTCTGGCCTCAGCTTATAAAAGAGCATCTAGTACCTTCAAGTTGTGTGTCTAGAATTCTAAGAAAGAATGTTATAATCGTGGTGCTCTGGTGAACTGCGGAGTTACCCTTCAGGGCAAGTGGCTGAGCCCCACCTGTCCGAGAGTTTCTACACCAGAGGGAGGATGTTCTAAGATTTCATTCAATTCAGTATTCCACAGCCGAGCTTTCTCCAGACAAACACAAGTCTAATTTCTCCGAATCACAACCCCCAGAGAATGATGAACAATTTGTTCTAAGTAGCTGCACATTTATCTCCCCAAAAAAAGAAATTGATGAAAAATAAACTGGCATTCCTGATGATTTGGCATGCTTATTGCCATTCATTATTCCTTCATATTATAAATTAAATTATTTGTCCTGAGGAAAAGGCAATTCTTATCAATGAAGGTATAAACCACTTTTATAAACAGAAGAATACCATGGGGTTATAAATTATGAATAGCAAATGTAACAAGTTTTACGGCATCATCTTAAACCTTAACAACAACAACAAAAAAGAAACCAGGAGAATATATTTTCTTGTGATAAATTTCAAGTATTAGGAAAAGTGCTTTGGAGAGCTCTGGGAATTAATTGGTGTCTACTTTTTTGTTTGTTCCATTCCTAGGTCATTAATTTGAATCTAGCCTCTAGCAGAAATAACCCAGAATTATTGTATTGGATTCATATAAGCTTTCACGGGAAACTGTTTGCTGGAGTTCTAATGGAAAAACACCCATATCATCCACCAATACCATAATGAACAACAAGGAGGTAATAAAAAGAGATCTGTGCTTTCCAAAAAAAGCACTGGGGCATAAGGCCAGAATTCTGCTTAGGTTTGGCCATTTGGAAATATTCTCCTCTGTGACATCAATCCATAATTGAGTAATAAGGATGATATTAATAGAGAATGACAATAGAATTTCTTCTAAGGGATTTTTGCTGATAATAAAGATTTAAGAAGCCATTGAGTCCCTATTTTGTGTTCTCATGACATCCATATTAAGAAGGTAGGAAAGCCAGTGGTCCTCCACCTTGGCAGTATGTTAGACTCACTCAGGGAGTTTGTGTCCTGGCCTCATTCACTACTAATTAACTCGGAATTCGTGGTGGGGCCCACGCATCAGTTCTTCTGACCCCAGGCCTGAGTGTTCAGAGCATCCTATTCCCAAAGCCCACAGTTGCAGTGTAATGAATAAAATTCCAGAGCCCTGTGGCTGCTCCTCAGATACTTGGGACCAACTCTCTGCTGCTGCAGAAACCACATGGAACAGGAAGATGAGTATCAATCTCACTTTCAAAGACTTCCAGAAGACATTCTACCATACCACTGCGTCCAAGCCCTTATGCCCTTAGTCAGACTGGGTCTTCTGAAGATAAAAGTCTTTTCCATAGCATAAGGTCAAATAATTAAAGAAGCTATGCCTCTAGTTTCATTATCATTTGTTCACCACTTGCCAACAGCCACATGTGAATATACTGTAGTTTGTCCATGTTCCTCCAAAAATATGCCCCTTTGCATGGGACAGGGGACTTATGTGTCATCAGAGCTGGCAAGAGCATAGGGGGACATTCACTTGCATCACCACCCACCCTCTGGACTTCCTTGTTCTATTAAGCCCAGGGTTTCACTCTTGAGCTGTAACATCTCACTAGGCTCCTGTTGAGGCAGTCACCCAAAACACCCAGATCTTCTTCAGAGAATTTGTGTCACATCACGTCTCCCTATCCTGTGTTCATGATGCATTTCATTTTGGAACCAAAGTTCAGATTTCATATTCTCCCTACATCAGTCTTATCTGGTAAGTTTGGAGTGAGGGTTCAAGCTTTCTGAGAACATTCTGGCTCTTGATTGTCTTATCTGTCAATAGACCCCTAGGCTTTGTACCATCTGAACCTGTTGCACCGAGGAGCTGTTTATAATCATCTCTGTGTCCCTAACCTGGGTGGCATATGATGCAATGGTAACACACACGCACACGAGCCAAATTGACTGGGTTGGAATCCTGGCTCCTCCACTACTAACAGCACGAACTTAGGCAATTTAAGTGTGTGAATTTCCTTACCATAAAAACAGGAAAAACAATAGTATTCATCTCATAGAGTCATTGAGGCAATTAAAAAATATATGTAAAGAACCTAGTGTAGTACTTAGTCCATAGTAAGCATGACATTCTTCTTTTACTTGGTATATAGTGCTTAATAATTATTTGAAAAGCTGAACTGACTCTTGCTTTACAAAGAAAAGTGGAAAGAGTCAGTGTCAAAAGACAAAGCCTTGTAGCTCTGCAGCTCTTCACTAGGGATCTCCTTCCCCAGTGTTACAGGACTATTTATTATTAAACATTCTAAGGTCCTAGTAGACATTAAGGAAGAAGCAGTTAGGTCCTAGTAGACATTAAGGAAGAAGCAGTTCCAGTCGCAGTAAATCTAAATTGGAACAGTTCAGAAGGATTAAAGGTTTTGAGGAGCAAATGGTGATAATGAGTTCTTTTCATTTTGGACCTTAGATTCCAACCAAAGGTGTAGTTAATCATACCACTCAGTTCATGGTACACAATCATTATTTGATGAAAAGACAGAGAGAGACAGACAGACAGACAGACAGAGGTGTTAGAACTCTGTGAAATAATAAAATTTATGGCTATGTGCAGTGGCTCACTCCTGTATTCCAGTACTTTGGGAGGCCGAAGTGAGCAGATCACCTGAGGTCAGGAGTTCGAGACCAGCCTGACCAACATGGTCTCGAACAAAATTAGCCTGGCGTGGTGGTGGGCACCTGTAATCCCAGCTACTCAGGAGGCTGGGGCAGGAGAATCATTGAACCCGGGAGGAGGAGGTTGCAGTGAGCTGAGTTCATGCTGTTGCACTCCAGCCTGGGCAATAGAGCAAGACTCCATCTCAAAAATAAATTAAATTAAATAATAATATGTTTTCCCACTTCTCTCTTCTCTTCATCACATAAATTGTTTGCTATTGAAATGCTAACTTATTTGCATATGTGTTTCTCAATGTCATCCCCAAGTCACATCTACTTGCTTTTAGATCCTGCATACTTGGCGTGCCCTACATTGCTGTGAATGGAGTGGGTACCCGGTATCTCCACTTGGACACTAGTTTCCATCTCATTTATTTACACAAGGAATTCCCTTCTGTGTTGCTCCATCTCTCAAAAGATGATTTGGTACAAAAATAATTCTACCATCATTGTTTTTTTTCTCTTTAGCTGTATCATTCTCTGGCTGGATGTGGTGGCTCACACCTGTAATCCTAGCACCTTGGGAGGCCAAGGTGGGAGGATCACTTGAGGCCAGGAGTTTGAGACCAGCCTGGGAAACATAATAAGACTTTGTCTTTACAAAAAATTAAGAAAAAAAACTGTCATTCTCATCAGCACACAAATATATACTATTCATCCCATATTAAAATGCATAAACAAAATGATGTCAGATTTCCTTCCAGCTACTATCCTATACTACCCTATTCTACCCTATGTCCCTCCTTTTTATTTATTTATTTTTTTGAGACAGATTCTCATTCTGTCACCCAGGCTGCAGTGCAGTGGCATGATCTCAGCTCACTGCAACCTCCACCTCCCAGTTGCAAGCAATTCTCCTACCTCAGCCTCCCGAGTACCTGAGATTACAGGCACCCACCAGCACATCTGACTAATTTTTGTATTTTTAGTACAGAGACGGAGTTTTACCATGTTGTCCTGGTCTTGAACTCCTGACCTAAAGTGATCCACCCACCTCTGCCTCCCAAAGTGCTGGGATTACAGGCATGAGCCACCGTGCCCTGCCTTCCCTCTCTTTCACTGACACATTTTTCTAAAGAACTATCTATATTTGTTTATCCCACTCTTTGTTTTCTGACCAGGTTTTCAACTCCACTACCTCGTTGAAATCTCTCTTTGCCAAGGTTGCCAAAGACCTTCACATTGCTCAAACCAATGCTCCATTCTCAGACCATATCTTATTCAACCTATGGTGTTCCTTCGCCATATATGATCACTCTCTGCCCCTTAAATCAGTGTCTTTACCTGGTTCCCTAGATGTCAGTCTCTTTTTGACTCCCTTCCTAACTCACTGGCAGCTGCTGCTCCTCAGCTCTATTTCCGGGTTCTTCTCATCAATCTGCCCTTCACACAACGGAGGTCAGATCCTGGATAGACTCTCTATACTCACTCCATAGGTCATCTCATCTGGCCTCATCACCTTTCTGATGATCAGTTAGAAGTCTGAAAGCCTAACAAGTACAACACAAACTCTTGATTCTCTTCCCCCAAATGTGTTATTTTAGATTTCACCAACAGCAAATAGCCTAGTTATTCAGGCCCAAAACCAATAACTCTGTAAAGAAGGTGTTGTTATTCCCATTTCACAGATGAGGGCATCAAAGCTCAGAGGTTAAGCAGCTTTTGAGCCAAGATTTGAATCCAGAACTGTCTAACTTCCATAGCATTGTGATGCTTACTGTTTTACTCACTAGTTCTTGTGTACTGTCTTGATGCCTATAAACAGACTGAAGTTTCTAGAGGACAACGGCTATGTTTTATATTTCTCTAAAATTCATTCCTTACAGAAACTATTACAATGTGAGCTTGAAAAGTACTGGCTTAATGCTAGTATTCACGATGGCACTATAATGTAGGTGATTGACAGATACCTTTGTTCTCCTGTTGTTAATAAAAATACTGAGAAACAGGAAGGAAGCTACTGGAAGAAAGTTACACATGGAATCAATGATAGAATAAAGAGTAGTATTAAGAAACATGCCCTAATTTCATCCTTGAGGACTAGACATTGACAGAAGTTTTGCCAACGTTCTTACCTTTGGTAAAATGATGGTCTAAACAGAAAGCCTGCATTGGGTAAGATGGGAGTGGTGAGATTTATCTGCAGCTTGTTTAGGAATAAATGTCTCCCATTTTAAGGTTGTATGTATCATTTTTCTCTTTCTTAGGATGCATGCTTATGAATTAAATAGTATAATTTAACCCTTACAACATTTTAAAAATTGTGATGAAATATAGTTTGGCTTTTTATTATACACTAAAGTACTGTATGTCTTAAGATTAATGTTTGCACTTGCTGAGAATTCGGTATCAGGCGGCTAACCAGATTGACCACACTGTAGAGGCCTGAGTTTCATATGGAAAGGGCTGTGTTTGAGGCATAGAATATTCGTTGTTTCCTTTACTCTTTGCAACAAGCCTTGCTTTTGGCTTTACGGGTCTGCTTATCTTGCAGTGTTATCATGTAGACCCCATGTTCGATTTAGAAACAGGAAATCACTGTAGAAGGGAAGAATAGCCCCAGTGAGAAGCCACAGACCCACCCAGCTTTGCTTAGACTGTAGTGCTTAAAAATATGTTTCAATGTCTGTAGTTTTGTTAAAGGTGGAAGAGCAGGATGCTGTGCCTAAGTTTTGGTGGCACATTTTCCAAGGACAAGTTCCCCAGGGTCTTCTCATTGCCACTGGAAACCAAATTAGAACTTCTTTTGACTTTTCTTTCACCTAAGTTTGGAGTCAGACTTTCACCTTTGTTGTCAGAGGGATGGGGTGTGAGATATCTTCTTTGCTTACCACTTCCTCCTCTGTAGGCTCTAGAGACATGTACATCCCCATTTACCTTTAAGCTTTCTTATTAGACCCCGAGTGCCATACACCTACTTCCTAGTCCTATCTGAGCTTCAGAGTTCTTATCTGCAAATTAGCCCTGCACGGCTCCCCACATGCTGAACATACAGACCTTGACAATGAATGACTGTGGTGTTTCGCCTGTGAGGTCACCACTTCCTACGGTAGGTGATGTTTACAGAATGGATTATTGACTTCTGGGCTTTGTCATTATCTCCGTGACTGAATTCATCCATCCATGCATGACCATATGTTATGAGATTGCTAGCTGATCCTGGGGCTATAGATTGTGACTGCTTTATATATGGAAATGGAACCTGTGACCTTCACCGTCATCACCATCCCAAATCCCATGAACTAATTGTCCTATCAGTGGATGGCTTTACACCAAAGCACATGTGATCTACTCCCAAACAAAAGGACAAGCAGCAGTAACAGCCATCTACCAAAGTACACATAGACAAAACCAGTGCAGTTCGTAAGATTTTTTGGTCTTTCCCAAGATTTTGGAAGTTCTCATGTGCAATCTTTACCTCTACTATAGACTATCATGTAGACTGAGAAAAGAATAAAATATTCTTTCCTTTTCTTGCCTTAATAGCCTAGTTTTTACATGCAATAAATTTAAAACCAGAGCAGAGCAAGCCTGTCCTGCAAAGACCCCAAACTCTACATGTCCCATTGGAACTCGTTATCTCTACTGTCCCCATGCTCCACCCATGTCTAACACAGATATGCCACCTGCCCCATTCTAGAGTTCCCTTATATAAATTAATGTCATCACCAACCACTGCACACCAGATATTTGAGAGGTGCTCTAAACTCTTCTTTCTCCAAAACATCCTTTAATCAATTTAGTCCTCTTTTGTCACTATTATTGCTGCCTTAGTTAAGGACTCCATCATTTCTTTCCTGGACCACTGTAATAACTTAGTTCTAGTCTCTCTTCTCTCTAATTCATCATCATCATCTGGTTCTAGGATTACATTTTAAAACCATGAATTTGAGGCCGGGCGTGGTGGCTCAACGCCTGTAATCCCAGCACTTTGGGAGGCCGAGGCGGGTGGATCTCCTGAGGTCAGGAGTTCGAGACCAGCCTGGCCGACATAGTGAAACCCCATGTCTACTAAAAATACAAAAAATTAGCCAGGGATGGTGGCAGGCACCTGTAATCCCAGCTACTCTGGAGGCTGAGGCAGGAGAATCACTTGAACCTGGGAGGTGGAGGTTGTGGTGAGTGAGATTGTGCCATTGCACTCCAGCCAGGGCAACAAGAATGAAATTCCATCTCAACAAACAAACAAACAAACAAACAAACATATAACCCATGAATTTGATTATGTCTCTTCCTTCATTCAAGTGTTTGCTATGGCTTCCATTGCCTATAGGAATCAGGCCCAAATTCCAGCCGACTTGACTCCTGTGTTCTCCTCCTTTGCCATGTCGTGATACTCCTTTTCAGATAGTCCTTGTACATGTCCACTTGCTGTTTCCAGAAAGTTCCAGGCTCCAGAAGATAGTTTGTCTTTTTCTATGATATTCTCTTGTCCTGGAATGTCTTTCTCATCTCCTTCAAGACTCAACATTAAGACCCAACTCAAGACTCAACTTATAGGCTCAACTCAAATTACACAACTTTTGTCAAAACTTCCAAAACAGGCCTTAGCTTCCCTTTTCCCCATAATGTCTTTCCCCTAGTTTCCCAAAGTCTTGAGATATACTTCTATTACAGCACTTAGCACATTACTTTATAATTATTTGGTTACAGGTGTTTCTCTGTAGATAGATTACAAACTCCTTATGGAAAAGCTGTTTGCCATCCACTCATTTTAGCATAATGTAAAATTTTAGATATTGGTTGAATTAGTGGATAAAAATGAGTAAATAGGCCGGGCTCGGTGGCTCACACCTGTAATCCCAGCACTTTGGAAGGCTGAGGCAGGCGGATCATGAGATCAGGAGATCGAGACTATCCTGGCTAACATGGTGAAAGCCTGTCTCTACTAAAAATACAAAAAATTAGCCAGGAGTGGTGGCGGGTGCCTGTAGTCCCAGCTACTCGGGAGGCTGAGGCAGGAGAATGGCGTCAACCCGGGAGGTGGAGCTTGCAGTGAGCTGAGATCACACCACTGCACTCCAGCCTGGGCGACGGAGCAAGACTCTGTCTCAAAAAAAAAAAAAATAGAGTAAAAGTATATATTTAGGAATAAATATTATAATAGGATGCTAACTTTGCTCTTTAACTGTTATATCAAATAATAAAGACTAGGGCTAAGTTAAAGCCAGAGACATGCAATGCATTAATTCTCAAATCAGAGCCCTAGTTACATGACTGTCATGAGGCATTAAGCAAAAGTGTGTTTTAATTCAGATCATTACAAAAAAAGATTTTTATTATTTTTAGATTGAATCAATAGAGAAAATTGCAGGTATAAAAATAAATCAGACTTGTCAGAATCGGAATATTTTTAGTACATTTTAAAGAAGCTGTCTCAACATGTCATCTAACATGTGACTTTTTCCTGGGCAAAGAAAGTATGAAAAGAACTACTCAATTTGCAATTTTCCTTTGTTTTCTGCATCCTACCCTCCACAAAACAATGAAAACAGAGGGTTCAAAATTCATTGGATTTGACATTTTCATTGTCTACAGTGTAATTTAATGGGATGAATTTTGAAAAATGCTTCATTTTTATTGTGTTTTTACCAGTCCTAAGACTATTTATTCTGGGAGTGGCCTTGAAAAGAGGGCAGGCTCTGAGATTACGTGACTTTTTTTTTTTCCATAAATTTTTGGCAGCCATAGAAGTAACACTGTAGAAGTAGTCACAGTGATCTTCCCATAATTTAATTTGCTAAAATCAGCTGACAGTTTATAGCTTTGCCAAAACTGATGATTTGCTGCCTTTTTTGCTGACAAGAAAGCAACATGGTCACCTCCTCCTAATTACGTCTGGGATGGGCTTGAGCAAGGTTAGGTCAGGGGTGGCAGCCACTGCTCAAATGCCATTGAGCTTAGATGCCCTCGGGTGGCCCCTTGAACGAGTTTTCAAATAGGACTTTTTAATATTGAATCCTCCAAATTGTGAAAGTCAGTGGTTTTCCAACTTTTGATCCACATTAATACATTTTCTGTCACAACTAGTACACACACACACACACACACGTTAATTAGAAGTTTCATGAAATAAATACTTTTACTATGTGCTTTATAGGCTGGTATTTATGTTGTCATATTCTAGCTTTAAAACTTGGGCAGGTTACATAACTTCTTTTCTCATCTTTAAATTGGGGATATTAGTACCTACCTCAGTACTTCCGCTATGATTAAGTGTAATTAACACAAAGTACTCAGCACTGTGCATGAAACAATATTTTTCCTCTCTATATAAATAATATTTAAGTAATTTAGGTTTACCTTGAAACATAATTTTTGCTATTTATTTAAAAAATGTATTTTTATGAGTTATTTTTTATGAGGCAATAACTCAAAGCCTGAAAAAGTTAAGGTCAGTGAAAGGCTTTAAACTCTGGAAAAATTGAAATCATCCTAATTTTAGCTGTCTAAATGTACTCTTTTTGAATGTATTAGCTATTCTTTAAGCCACTTAATGAAGAAACTAATATTATTCATTACCAAAATTGAATCCTTATTAAGTGCCTCAGGGTACAGGGACCAAAAAAAGAAGGCATTAATTGAAGTATATAAAATAGGGAATTGAAGTACTATGTAAAATAGGAAATCGAGTTTTTTAAAGTAGCGTCCTTCAGATGCCATTCCAGATTAAATGTAGATTTAGAAGGATAGGTGCATTTCATGAAACAGAACTACAGTTTCAATATTTGGTAACAAACACACAAAAAGCAAAATTTTTGAGTGGATTTGTGAGGGATGTCCTTTGCATGAATCTGATACAATTGTAAGCAGAGACTGAGGGACAACAGGAGCCACTTCCTACACCCCTGCCCCCACTTTTGGGTAGAAAATAATTTGACCTGCTCCAAAAAGGTAACTGCTTCTATCCTTAATTTTCATAATGCTACATTAGGATTAAGCACTAAAATCCAAATTTGAAAATTATAGTAAAATGTAAAGTATAACTTACTCTTTAAAAATAAACACGAAGTTTTCATTGGTCTCATTATTACCTCTGAGCTAAATAAGTGTTGCACAGCGCTTTATCATTTTCAAAGTGCTTTCACATTTGAAATTTGATCCTTCTAACAATCCAGGGAGTTTGGTGGATCAAAAGTTTTTATCATTTTCATTTTAAGATGCAGAAACTGAGTTTCAAAGAGATTAAATCGTTTGGCTAAGATTTATACAGCAAGGAAATTTTAAAATTCAACGTGGAGGCCGGGCGCGGTGGCTTACGCCTGTAATCCCAGCACTTTGGGAGGCTGAGGTGGGCAGATCACGAGGTCAGGAGATTGAGACCATCCTGGCTAACACGGTGAAACCCCGTCTCTACTAAAAATATAAAAAAATTAGCCGGGCGTGGTGGTGGCGGGCACCTGTAGTCCCAGCTACTTGGGAGGCTGAGGCAGGAGAAAGGCGTGAACCCGGGAGGCGGAGCTTGCAGTGAGCCGAGGTCGTGCCGCTGCACTCCAGCCTGGGCGACAGAGCGAGACTGTGTCTCATAAATAAATAAATAAATAAAATAAAATAAAATTCAATACGGATGCTCTTTCAACTGGTATGCCCTTAAAAGACAGAGCCTAATAAGCTTGTTTCATCTTGCCGTAACATAGGACCCACAGAGACACACACTATAATGATCCTTTCTATACTCCTTAGCCATTGAACGAGAGATCAAATAAACGCAGTAACATCCCTCAGATGCATGATTTGAGCATGGCTTGGAAAGTATTAGCAGTTACCTGGGTTGTCTTCTACAGCAGCTCCTCTGTAAATGCAGTTGACTGACTGATAGGTAGATGTGGCAAAACATTAAGTCAGCTGAGCAACAACAAAAATAACTCTAAGTCCTTACCTTGCAAGGGGAACCATGCCAGCAAGCTGAGAACTCTCCACCACATACTGTGCTGTGCTGCTGTGGCACCTTTGTCAACTTCCTCTAGATTCTGAGACAAATGGAGCTGAGTAGTTTCTTTTAAAGGGGGAGAGGCAGTAGATCTGTGACCTCATGTGTATCAACTCCTCCATCTGTCTGGAAGCCCCCTCTTAGTTAGCTGCCCCCAGAACACCTCCTGGTGGAACATTTTGGGGACCACATGTATTATCTTGATGGCAGAGAGGTGTGAGTGATGTGTTGGTGACAAAAATTGTTTTACCACAAGTGGGTAGTACTGGTAAATCAACTAGTTGCAAGGTTTTTAGAGGGAGCATGGGTGGGAGAAATACTGTAAAATGTCCCTGTGTAGTGACGTCATCCTTATTTTTACTTTTCTAGTTTATTAGATAAATACAATTAGATAATTTTTGCTCAACCTTTGGGAATATTTTATTTCTATGCTGACATCAATTTATAATTGTTGTCGGGGAGGAATTCATTCATTCATATAGATATACTCATTTTTGAAATCTATATATCTGTCCACCCACCCATCCACCCATCTTTTCATCCACCCACTCACAAATACAAATCTATTCATCCACCTATCCATCCATCCATCCTTCCATCCATCCACCCACACATCCATCCACCCATCCATTTATCCTTCCATCCACCCACTCACTCATGTATTACCTGCCCACTCATTCCCCATCCACCCATCCATCCATCTATTCATCCACACATCCATCCATCTCTCCATCCATCCAGCCAGCCAGCCATCCATCTATTTATCCATCCATCTATCCATCTATCCATCCATCCATCCATCCATCCATCCATCCATCCATCCATCCATCCATCCATTTATCCACCCATCCATCCATTCACCCATCCATCTATCCATCCATCCATCCGTCCATGACCTATTCATTCACCCACCCATCTATCTATACATGCAAATACTCATCCATCCACCCAACCACCCATCTATCTATCCACCCACGCATTCATCCATTCACCCACTCATTCATCCATTTACCCACCCATCTATCTATACATATGTCCGTCCGTCCATCCATCCATCCATCCATCCATCCATCCATCCTTCTATCCACCCATTCATCTTGTCACCTGTACAGCATCTAGTATGCACTACTTTGAGACATGCTCAAATAAAAAACATAAATTCCTTGTTTTTCAGGAGAATATAATCTAGTGGGGGAGACAATGTACATATGAACAGTTCTGGTATTTAATTTTCATTAATTGGACAAATTGAGATAGATTTAATGTAGTTTTTCCAGGAGCACACAGTAAAATATTAGTAAGTTTATGTTTAGAAAACAGAGATCAGTCTGCAATGCTTGGAAAATGAAAAGGAAACACTACTTACTGGCTCTAATTGAAATTAGTGTTAATACTCTGATAAATTTGATGAAGTTTGGGTAGGAAAAGTCTTACTCATCAAAAATGTCTTCCAAATATTTTGTTGGCTGGGCACAGTGGCTCATGCCTGTAATCTTAGCATTTTGGGAGGCTGAGGTGTGAGGATCATCTGAAGCCAGGAGTTCAAGACCAACCTGGGCAACATAGTGAGACCCCCATCTCTACAAAAAATACAAAAATTAGCTGAGCATGGTGGTGCATGCCTGTAGTCCCAGATACTTGGGAGGCTGAGGTGGAAGGGTTGCTTGAATGCAGGAGGTTGAGGCTGCGGTGAGCCGTGATCACACTACTGTACTGCAATCTGGGTGACAAAGTGACACCCTGTCTTAAAAAAATAAAAATAAAAAATCCTCCAAAACACAATATTTTGTCTTTCAAATTTTTCATTTTTTAATTTTTTCCCTTTTGCTCATAATATTCCATCCAGGAACTTCTAATTTTTATACTTGTCCTCAGTAGAAGAGAACAGTTTACCCAGGGTCACTCTTCCTCCATAGGGCATCCATGAGGGGGTCTCAAGGTCCTTTTCCCTTGCCTTGAGGTGGAGCAACTCTGAAGCTCCCCAAGGGATCAGGATCAGCTGAGATCTTTGTTGTAACTGCACCTCAGTCCAGCTTCTACCGATTCTCCAACTTGCTTCCTTCTTGTCACCAAGAGTACTCATCTATAAACTTCTGCACACGGATCTCTGTATCAGCTTCTGTTTCCCAGGAACCTGACCCACAACAACACTTGACATAGGTTGTCAACGAGTGAATGAAAGACTAAATTGACTCTTTATTTGAGATGTAAATGCTACTCTTTTTGCTCTGAAGTCTAAAAAGATGTTTGACTTACAATTTCCCCAGAGCATTAAAGAAGAGCTTACTTTAAATTGCACTTTGGACGATGGAGAGTGTATCCTTTTCATCCACGGGTGCCATATTCAACTGGTTGAAAACCTTGACAAATGTCACAATAGTCCACTGGACTTGGACATTAAGAACGGTTGGTGGGGGAAATGCTACAAGGTGAACTGGTGGACGACATACATGTGTGCTTTCCAGGGTCCCTGTTCTCATTACCCCCACTTCAGCCTGCAGCTCATGTAGTATTCAACAGGAGAGGGCAGCAGATTGTGGCTGCTCAGTGAATTGGGAGAAAAAGACGAGGTTGGAAGGTAATAAGTGGTCTACCTATTTTCTAATGGGAAAGAGTCTACTGAACAGTATGTGGGAGACCTCACAACTGATAGCTAGTTTGTCATTTTGGTCTCCGTTTTATGAAATCTTCATATTATGTTTCAATACTAATAGGAAATAACATTTGGTGGGGTGGCAGAGGGGGGACATATTTTGGAGAAATAAACAAACATCCTCTCTATTTTTCATCGTCACCCTTGTCAACCTGAGTTTTGGGGGTGGGGGGGTGCAAACATGAAAAATAAGACATTTATTAAATAGGCTAAAGATGAACTGTTTTAAGGGTCAGAAAACAGGGGATTTCCTTATGTCTAGAAGCCACTGGGTTTTTTTGTTGCATTTACAAAAGGGGCCTACACTTTCTTCTTGACCTTTCACAGATTCTGTGAAGAATCGTGACCTTTCCCAAGGTCAGAGTAAGAGGTGGACTCGCCTGCATCTACCAGAAGATGCCTCAGATAACTCACACCAAGTGTTGAGGTTTTCTGAGCACTGCTGTAAAACTTGCACAAAGTGACTGTGGAGTTTCTAAGCCAGAGCAGCAGCCTTTGAAATTAATTATTGATTCAGAGAGAAGTTTCCTAGCAGTAGTGGGAGCTTAGTGGGACGAGCATGGGAGTGAGTAGCAGACAGACCCAGGCTTGTCCCCTAGGCCCTGTCACTAGCAGCTGTGTAGCACTAAGCACACTACCTGCCTGTTGGAATCAGTTTCCTCACTTGTAAAATGGGAAGAATAATTACAGCCTGAGGTGACTGTCCAGGAATCATAAGGCAGGAGCTGAGAAAGTTCGACTGTAGCATTTTTAAAAATGAAGAATTGGCCGGGCGTGGTGGCTCACGCCTGTAATCTCAGCACTTTGGGAGGCTGAGATGGGTGGATTGCCTAAGCTCAGGGGTTTGCAACCAGCCTGGGCAACACGGTGAATCCCTATCTCTACTAAAATACAAAAAATTAGCCAGACTACGGTAGCTGTAGTTCCAGCTACTTGGGAGGCTGAGGCAGGAGAATTGCTTGAACTTGGGAGGCGGAGGTTGCAGTGAGCCGAGATTGCGCCACTGCCCTCCAGCCTCGGCGACAGAACGAGACTCTGTCTCAAAAAAAATAAATAAAATTTAAAAAACCCAAAGAATTAAGAAGTTTGCCTGAAGTGACACAGTGAGTCAGTGATACACACACACACACACACACACACACACACACACACATTTTTCTTTGTCTATGAGATTCCTTTGAAGGACTTCAAATTTTTATACTTGCCCTCGGTGGAAGAGAACCAGCTCACCCGGGGCCACACCTTCTTTATGGGGCACTCATGGATGGTTAAATTGAAAATATTATAATACCCAGAGCACCCAGCATCTTGGCACAAAAAACATTCTCCATAAATCTGCAGACCTCAGGTGGCTGGAGCAGCATCTCATCCCCACAGGAACCATGGTAGGTTGGGTGTGCCGGGAGGAGGAAAGGCATCATTCACCTTTTGTTAAGACTTCTGCCGAAAAAACCTACTATTGTGAACCTGGGCTTTCGTGAGGGTAGAAACTTTATTTACTCTAGTGAAATAGATCATTCTGAAAACAACCCAAATATGAGCTGATTTCAGAAGGCAATTGTGGTTTCGGAGAGTATACCACAGGATAGCAAGGGCCAGCTTCAGGCCCCAGCTCATGGAGCTCTGCCCAGATAAGTGACCAGCCCTGGCGTCTTCATCTATAAATGAGATTAGATGAAAGTTGTGGTTTCCAAACTGTATTCTGAAGAACCCAAGTATCCCCAAGACACCTCAGGCTTCTGCAATATTTTCATTGAAGTTTCTTTTAAAAAACATTTTCCATGATTAGTCCAGGCTCTGGAACCAGGCTGACATGGTCCTGGTCTCAGCCCTAACACTCATGAGCCGTGTGACTGTGTGTGAATTATTGAATCTTTCTAAGATTCAACTTCCTCTTTCATAAATCGGGAATAATAGTTTCTACCGAATAGAGTTGGTGAGAAGATTTAAAAAGCTTACACATGTGAAGTACTTAGAAAAGTGTCTGATAAATACAAGCACTCAAATGCTAGCTGTTACTTTGCTGGCCACTGGATGCCACCAATCTATGAATTGTTATGTCAGGTAAAATAGTTTTGATGCTGGATTCTGTGGATTTAGAATAAAATCCAAATGTTTCACCGTGGTCTATGATGAGATCAACCCACTTTTTCTGCAAGGGGCCAAGTATAAACATTTAAAATAGTTTTACTTCTCAACTCTGCCCTTGTATCCTGGAATAGCCATAGGCAATATGTAAATAAGTGAATGAGGCTGTGTTCCAATAAAATTTTATTTATATATACTGGAACTCTAATTTCATATATCAATCTCTTTATTCTTTGCTTTTTCCCCCAAAGATTTGAAAAGCTAAAAATCATTCTTAGCCTGCAGCTGTACAGGCAGGCTGTGGGCCAGATTCTGCTCACGAGTGAGATTCTGCACAATGAGCAATACTTTGCTGACCCCTGGTCTGTAAGACCCCATGTCTTTATAAGCCCCCCACTTTCTATCATGCTTACTACACTTTAGCTCCCCAGCCTCTTCTGTTCTAACCCAGCTAGTGTCTTCCCATGTGAGGGCTTCTGTATACACAGCTTCCTGATACCCTCCTCGTTTAGGTCTTCAGCCCAACCAGCTCCTGCTCAGTTTTAACTGTTGGTTTCATCATCACCTGTTCAGGGACGCCATGCCCTAACTAAGAGTGTAACCCCTGCCCCACATCCCTTCAAAGTTACTTTCTATCATATTACCCAGTTTATTTCCTAAAGAGCATTTATCAAAATCTGTAATTATCTTGTTTATTTATGTATTCATTCTCTGTCTCCCACTCCATCAGAGCAGGGGCCTTGCATTCTTTTTTGCCACTATAGCTCCAGCCTGCCACTCTGCTGGAAATAGTGTTCAATAAGTATTACAGAATGATGAATGAATCCACAAGCTCAGTATCTTAGTTTCATTCATTGAGTTGATAATACCTGATCTCCTTACTTTGTAAAATTGTTATGAGGATCAAATGAGGAAGTGTTTTTTTTTTTAATTATAAAGAGTTATACGAAGGGAAGTGGTAAATCATTAAGGCAACTTTCATGCGTGTCTGTGTGAAGAGACCACTAAACAGGCTTTGTGTGAGCAATAAAGCTTTTAATCACCTGGGTGCAGGCGGGCTGAGTCCGAAAAGAGAGGCAGCAAAGGGAGATAAGTGTGGGGCCGTTTTATAGGATTTGGGTAGATAAAAGAAAATTACAGTCAAAAGTGGGTGTTCTCTGGCGGGCAGAGTGGGGGTCACAAGGTGCTCAGTGGGGGAGCTTTTGAGCCAGGATGAGCCAGGAGAAGGAATTTCACAAGACAATGTCATCAGTTAAGGCAGGAACAGGCCATTTTCACTTCTTTTATGCTGGAATGTCATCAATTAAGGCAGGAACTGGCCATCTGGATGTGTATGTGCAGGTCACAGGGGATATGATGACTTAGCTTGGGTTCAGAGGCCTGACATTCCTGTCTTCTTATATTAATAAGAAAAATAAAACGAAATAGTGGTAAAGTGTTGGGACGGTGAAAATTTTGGGGGGTGGTATGGAGAGAGAGAATGGGCGATGTTTCTCAGAGCTGCTTCGAGCGGGATTAGGGGCGGCGTGGGAACCTAGAGTGGGAGAGATTAAGCTGAAGGAAGATTTTGTGGTAAGGGGTGATATTGTGGGGTTGTTAGAAGGAATATTTATCATTTAGAATTATTGATGATGGCCTGGATACAGTTCTGTATGAATTGAAAAACTAAATGGAATAAGAGAAGGAGAAAAACAGGTATAAAAGGTCTAAGAATTGGGACGACTCAGGACATCTGATTAGAGAGAGCCTAAGGAGATTCAGCATAGTCCTGCCAGCAAAGATTATTTATTTACTTCAAGAGTTAAGAGTGGCAGTTTGGGGATAGCACCAGGAGATATCAGCTGTGATGGCTTGGAGAAACAGTGTAAACCGGCAGTGTAAACAAGAGCAGGGCATGTATGAGTAGTTGAGAATGGTGAATAGGAGTATGACTAGAGAGAAGATAGTAGGGATGACAAGTTTTTTGGGGGCACAGTCTAAGTTGGTCTGGTGTCTGGAATGAGACTGGGGCCTAATAAAAAGGAGTGTCTATACAGGAGCTCAAATGGGCTGTACCTTGTAGCATTCTGAGGACAGGTCTGACTTCTGAGAAGGTAAAGTGGTAAAAGTATTGTCCAGTCCTTTTTAAGTTGGTGGCTGAGCTTGGTGAGGTGTGTTTTTAAAAGACCTTTAGTCCGTTCTACTTTTCCTGAAGACGGAGAACCGTAAGGGATATAAAGGTTTCACTGAATACCAAGAGCCTGAAAACCTGCTTGGCTGATTTGACTAATAAAGGCTGGTCTGTTATCAGACTGTATAGAGGTGGGAAGGCTAAACTGAGGAATTATGTCTGACAGAAGGGAAGAAATGACTGCGGTGGCCTTCTCAGACCCTGTAGGAAAGGACTGTACTTAACTAGTGAAAGTGTCTACCTAGACTAAGAGGTATTTTAGTTATCTGACTCGGGGCATGTTGAGTAAAGCTAATTTGCTAGTCCTGGGTTGGGGCAAATCCTCGAGCTTGATGTGTAGGGAAGGGAGGGGGCCTGAGTAATCCCTGAGGGATAGTAGAATAGCAGATGGAACACTGAGAAGTTATTTCCTTGAGGATAGATTTCCACGATGGAAAGGAAATGAGAGGTTCTAAGAGGCAGGCTAGTGGCTTGTACTATAGCATAGCCTGCCTTTGCTGGTGTGTGGCAATTAGGCCTGGTGGAACCGCCATCAATAAATCAAGCGTGATCAGGGTGAGGAACAGGAAAGAAGGAAATATGGGGAAATGGGGTGAATGTCAGGTGGATCAGAGAGATACAGTCATGGGGGTCAGGTGTGGTATCAGGAATAACGTGGGAGGCTGGATTGAAGTCCAGGCCAGGAACAATGGTAATTGTGGGACTTAACAAAGAGTGAGTACAGCTGAAGGAGCCGGGGAGCAGAAAGCATATGCATCAGGTATGAGGAAGAAAATAGATTTTGGAAGTTATGAGAAATGTAGAGAGTGAATTGAGCATAGTTTGTGATTTTTAGGGCCTCTAAAAGTATTAAAGCAGCGGCAGCTGCTGCACACAGACATGAGGGCTAGGCTAAAACAGTAAGGTCAAGTTGTTTGGACAGGAAGGCTACAGGGTGCGGTCCTGGCTCTTGTGTAAGAATTCTGACCACGCTAACCATGCCTAGGAAGGAAAGGAGTTGTTGTTTTGTAAGGGATTGAGGTTTGGGAGATTAATCGGACACGGTCAGCAGGGAAAGCACGTGTGTTTTTATGAGAATTATGCCGAGATAGGTAACAGATGAGGATGAAATTTGGGCTTGACTGAAGTAATGGGGGCTGTCTGTGAAGCCTTGCGGCAGTACAGCCTAGGTAATTTGCTGAGCCTGATGGGTGTCAGGGTCAGTCCAAGTGAAAGCGAAGAGAGGCTGGGATGAAGGGTGCAAAGGAATAGTAAAGAAAGCATGTTTGAGATCCAGAACAGAATAATGGGTTGTGGAGGGAGGTATTGAGGATAGGAGAGTATATGGATTTGGCACCACGGGGTGGATAGGCAAAACAGTTTGGTTGATAAAGCGCAGATCCTGAACTAACCTGTAAGGCTTGTCTGGTTCTAGGACAGGTAAAATGGGGGAATTATAAGGAGAGTTTATAGGCTTTAAAAGGCCATGCTGTAGCAGGCGAGTGATAACAGTCTTTAATCTTTTTAAATCGTGCTGTGGAATGGAATCTTGGCATTGAGAGGAGTAAAGGTGATTAGGTTTTAATGAGATGGTAAGGGGTGCGTGACCGGTCGCCAAGGAGGGAGTAGAGGTATCCTATACTTGGGGGTTAAGGTTGGGGGATACAAGAGGAGGATGCAAAGGAGGCTTTGGATTGGGAAGAAGGGCGGCAATGAGATGTAGCTGTAATCCAGGAATAGTCAGGGAAGCAGATAATTAAGTTAAAGTGTCTCAGCCTAATAAGGGAACTGGGCAGGTGGGGATAACTAAAAAGGAGTGCTTAAAAGAGTATCGTCTAAGTTGGCACTAGAGTTGGGGAGTTTTAAGAGGTTTAGAAGCCTGGCTGTCAATACCTACAACAGTTATGGAGGCAAGGGAAACACGCCTTTGAAAAGAAGGTAATGTGGAGTGGGTAGCCTCCGTATTGACTAAGAAAGGGACGGACTTACCTTCTACTGTGAGAGTTACTTAGTGTCTGTGTTGGTCCTGTAGGCTTCTGAGGCGATCAGGCGGTGTCAGTCTTCAGCTGCTAAGCCGAGAAGATCTGGGAAGGAGTCAGAGAGCCTTGGGCCAGAGTTCCAGGGGCTCTGGGAGTGGTTGCCAAGTGAGTTGAACATTCTGATTTCCAGTGGGGTCCTGCACAGATGGGATGTGGCTTAGGAGGAATCCTGGGCTGTGGGCATTCCTTGGCCTGGTGGTCAGATTTCTGGCACTTGTAGGAAGCTCCTGGGGGAGGAGGTTCTGGAGGAATGCCTGGCCGCTGTGGTTCAGGCGTTTGGAAGTTCTTGTTTGCTGGAGATGTGGCTGGGGTTTGTCTTACAGTGGAGGCAAGGAATTGCAACTTTTTTCTATTATTGTATACTTTGAAGGTGAGGTTAATTAAATCTTATTGTGGGGTTTGAGGGCTGGAATTTAATTTTTGGAGTTTTATTTAATGTCAGGAGCAGATTGGGTAATAAAATGTATATTGAGAATAAGACAGCCTTTTGACCTTTTAGGGTCTAGGACTGTAAAGCGTCTCAGGGTTGCTGCCAAACAAGCCATGAACTGGGCTGGGTTTTTTTTTTTTTTTTAATACTTTAAGTTTTAGGGTACATGTGCACATTGTGCAGGTTAGTTACATATGTATACATGTGCCATGCTGATGCGCTGCACCCACCAACTCGTCATCGAGCATTAGGTATATCTCCCAATGCTATCCCTCCGCCCTCCCCCCACCCCACAACAGTCCCCAGAGTGTGATGTTCCCCTTCCTGTGTCCATGTGATCTCATTGTTCAGTTCCCACCTATGAGTGAGAATATGTGGTATTTGGTTTTTTGTTCTTGTGATAGTTTACTGAGAATGATGATTTCCAATTTCATCCATGTCCCTACAAAGGACATGAACTCATCATTTTTTATGGCTGCATAGTATTCCATGGTGTATATGTGCCACATTTTCTTAATCCAGTCTATCATTGTTGGACATTTGGGTTGGTTCCAAGTCTTTGCTATTGTGAATAATGCCGCAATAAACATACGTGTGCATGTGTCTTTATAGCAGCATGATTTATAGTCCTTTGGGTATATACCCAGAAATGGGATGGCTGGGTCAAATGGTATTTCTAGTTCTAGATCCCTGAGGAATCGCCACACTGTCTTCCACAATGGTTGAACTAGTTTACAGTCCCACCAACAGTGTAAAAGTGTTCCTATTTCTCCACATCCTCTCCAGCACCTGTTGTTTCCTGACTTTTTAATGATTGCCATTCTAACTGGTATGAGATTGTATCTCATTGTGGTTTTGATTTGCATTTCTCTGATGGCCAGTGATGGTGAGCATTTTTTCATGTATTTTTTGGCTGCATAAATGTCTTCTTTTGAGAAGTGTCTGTTCATGTCCTTCGCCCACTTTTTGATGGGGTTGTTTTTTTCTTGTAAATTTGTTTGAGTTCATTGTAGATTCTGGATATTAGCCCTTTGTCACATGAGTAGGTTGCGAAAATTTTCTCCCATTTTGTAGGTTGCCTGTTCACCCTGATGGTAGTTTCTTTTGCTGTGCAGAAGCTCTTTAGTTTAATTAGATCCCATTTGTCAATTTTGTCTTTTGTTGCCGTTGCTTTTGGTGTTTTAGACATGAAGTCCTTGCCCATGCCTATGTCCTGAATGGTAATGCCTAGGTTTTCTTCTAGGGTTTTTATGGTTTTAGGTCTAACGTTTAAGTCTTTAATCCATCTTGAATTAATTTTTGTATAAGGTGTAAGGAAGGGATCCAGTTTCAGCTTTCTACATATGGCTAGCCAGTTTTCCCAGCACCATTGATTAAATAGGGAATCCTTTCCCCATTGCTTGTTTTTCTCAGGTTTGTCAAAGATCAGATAGTTGTAGATATGCGGCGTTATTTCTGAGGGCTCTGTTCTGTTCCATTGATCTATATCTCTGTTTTGGTACCAGTACCATGCTGTTTTGGTTACTGTAGCCTTGTAGTATAGTTTGAAGTCAGGTAGCGTGATGCCTCCAGCTTTGTTCTTTTGGCTTAGGATTGACTTGGCGATGCAGGCTCTTTTTTGGTTCCATATGAACTTTAAAGTAGTTTTTTCCAATTCTGTGAAGAAAGGCATTGGTAGCTTGATGGGGATGGCATTGAATCTGTAAATTACCTTGGGCAGTATGGCCATTTTCACAATATTGATTCTTCCTACCTGTGAGCATGGAATGTTCTTCCGTTTGTTTGTATCATCTTTTATTTCCTTGAGCAGTGGTTTGTAGTTCTCCTTGAAGAGGTCCTTCACATCCCTTGTAAGTTGGATTCCTAGGTATTTTATTCTCTTTGAAGCAATTGTGAATGGGAGTTCACTCATGATTTGGCTCTCTGTTTGTCTGTTGTTGGTGTATAGGAATGCTTGTGATTTTTGCACATTGATTTTGTATCCTGAGACTTTGCTGAAGTTGCTTATCAGCTTAAGGAGATTTTGGGCTGAGACAGTGGGGTTTTCTAGATATACAATCATGTCATCTGCAAACAGGGACAATTTGACTTCCTCTTTTCCTAATTGAATACCCTTTATTTCCTTCTCCTGCCTAATTGCCCTGGCCAGAACTTCCAACACTATGTTGAATAGGAGTGGTGAGAGAGGGCATCCCTGTCTTGTGCCAGTTTTCAAAGGGAATGCTTCCAGTTTTTGCCCATTCAGTATGATATTGGCTGTGGGTTTGTCATAGATAGCTCTTATTATTTGGAAATACGTCCCATCAATACCTAATTTATTGAGAGTTTTTAGCATGAAGGGTTGTTGAATTTTGTCAAAGGCCTTTTCTGCATCTATTGAGATAATCATGTGGTTTTTGTCTTTGGCTCTGTTTATATGCTGGATTACATTTATTGATTTGCGTATATTGAACCAGCCTTGCATCCCAGGGATGAAGCCCACTTGATCATGGTGGATAAGCTTTTTGATGTGCTGCTGGATTCGTTTTGCCAGTATTTTATTGAGGATTTTTGCATCAATGTTCATCAAGGACATTGGTCTAAAATTCTCTTTTTTGGTTGTGTCTTTGCCCATGGGCTGGGTTTTTTACATTTGATGAAAGAGCCTAAACGCTTACTGATTTGGGAGAGGTCTGATGAAGAAAAAGGAGCATTAACTTTGACTATGCCTTTAGCTTCAGCCAGCTTTTTAAGAGGAAATTGCTAGGCAGGTGGGTGAGGGCTACTCACAGAATGAAACTGTAAACCTGACCGGGTGTGAGGAGGGGAGGTGATAAAAAGATTATAGAGTGGAGGAGCGGAGGCTGAGGAAGAATTGGGACTTAGCTCGGCCTGGCGAGGAGCAGCCTGGGGAGGAGGGGAGAGGTCAGATGGATCTGTAGAAAGGGAAGATTAGAAAGACTCAGCAACGCTTGGGGTTGGGACTGAGGGGACAGGTGGGAGGGAAAGAAGGAAGATTTGGGACAAGTTGCACTGGGCACAGAGACTAGGGAGGGACCGATGTGTAAAAGAATGCCTGGATGTCAGGCACCTCAGACCATTTGCCTATTTTTTGACAAAAATTATTTAGGTCTTGTAGGATGGAGAAATCGAAAGTGCCATTTTCTGGCCATTTAGAACTACTGTCGAGTTTGTATTGGGGTCAAGCGGCATTGTAGAAGAAAATAAGGCATTTAGGTTTTAGGTCAGGTGAGAGTTGAAGAGGTTTTATGTTCTTAAGAACACAGGCTAAGGGAGAAGAAAGAAGGAGGAATGGAGGGTGGAAGGTTGCCTATAGTGAAGGAGGCAAGTTTAAGGAAAAGGGAGAGTAGAGACACAGAGGGAAGTGGTTTGGGGGTTCTTACCTTCCAGAGAAGCAGGAAAGGGGTCAGGGCACAGAGATACGAGGTTGGGGCACAGAAATAAGGTATCAGGGTGCAGAGATATAAGAGGTTGGGGCATGGAAATAAGGGATCGGGGCACAGAGATATAAGAGGTTGGAGCGCAGAAATAAGGGATCAGGGCACAGAGATACAAGGTTGGGGTACTTGCCCCTCCCCCAGAAATGTGGGACTTCCTGCTAAGGGTGAAGGAGAAGGGTTTGGGGGTTTCTTGCCCTCCAGAAAGGCAGAGAAGGGGTAGAGACACAGAGAGAAGGGGTTGGGGGTTTCTTGCCCTCCAGAAAGGCGGAGAAGGGGTAGAGACACAGAGAGAAGGGGTTGGGGTACCTGCCCCTCCCCTGGAAAAGCGGGACTTGCCACTAAGAGTGAAGGAGAAGGGGTTGGGGGTTTCTTGCCCCCCAGAAAGGCAGAGAAGGGGTAGAGACACAGAGAGAAGGGGTTGGGAAACTTGCCCCTCCTCCAGAAAAGCAGGACTTGCCACTAAGGGTGAAAGACCAAGGCAGGCATCCCTGCGTGGTCTGACACCTCTGAAACATGGGTGAATAATCAGAGAGGCATCCCTGCAATGATTAAACACCAAGGGAAGGCTGCCTTTCCTAGTCCATGACCGGCGCCGGAGTTTTGGGTCCATGGACAAAACGTGTCTCCTTTGTCTCTACCAGAAAATTGAAGGAATTGAAATTAAAAGAAGGGAGAGATTGAAGTGTGGCACCAAGATTGAAAGGAGAAAGAGGTTGAGGGATAGTGAGGGAGGTTGGAGAAGAGAGTAAAAAGAGGCCGCTTACTGGATTTGAAATTGGTGAGATGTTTCTTGGGCTGGTCGGTCTGAGGACTTGAGGTTGTAGGTGGACCTTTCTCACAGAGCAAAGAGCAGGAGGACAGGGGATTGATCTCCCAAGGGAGGTCCCCCAATCTGAGTCACGGCACCAAATTTCATGCGCGTCTGTTTGAAGAGACCACTAAACAGGCTTTGTGTGAGCAATAAAGCTTTTAATCACCTGGGTGCAGGTGGGCTGAGTCTGAAAAGAAAGTCAGCGAAGGGAGATAAGGGTGGGGTCGTTTTATAGGATTTGGGTAGATAAAGGAAAATTACAGTCAAAGGGGGTTGTTCTCTGGTGGGCAGAGTGGGGGTCACAAGGTGCTCAGTAGGGGAGCTTTTGAGCCAGGATGAGCCAGGAGAAGGAATTTCACAAGATAATGTCATCAGTTAAGGCAGGAACAGGCCATTTTCACTTCTTTTGTAGTGGAATATCACCAGTTAAGGCAGGAACCGGCCATCTGGGTATGTATGTGCACAGGGGATATGATGTCTTAGCTTGGGCTCAGAGGCCTGACAGCAACATCTTAGACAAGCTACAGAATTCAACCAACACATCAATTTTTACCATTCTTATTGTGACTCAGAGAACAATACTCCAAAATATGGTGCTGAACACTTTTGAATTAAAGAAACTGGGAAGATGTGAGAAGCTGCCTCAGCACCAAGGGCTTTCTAACCTTCTCTTGCTTTTCTCCCCCAAGTCCAGAGAGGGGCTCTCTCTGGAAGTTCCTTTCAAAAGAAATGCAATTTGTCTTAAGACTCCTTTGGGCCGGGCACAGTGGCTCACACCTTTGAGACCAGCCTGGCCCATATGGTGAAACCCCATCTCTACTAAAAATACAAAAATTAGCTGGGCGTGGTGGTGGGTGCCTGTAATCCCAGCTACTCAGGAGGCTGAGGCAGGAGAAACACTTGAACTTGGGAGGCGGAGGTTGCAGGGAGCTGAGATCATGCCTTTGTACTCCAGCCTGGGCATTGCAGCGAGACTCCATTTCAAAAAATAATAATAATAAAAGAACTCCTCTGTAAGTATCTCATCAAATAACCAGGCAAGATTAACCACCACAGAAGAGGTTAAAAATTGTTACCACACCCAGACAGACTTTTCATCTATTATTCTAAGGACAGCTCTGAGAGATGACCTCGGAGACTTCATCTGCATAATAAGGCAACCTTTGTTTGCAGTGCAGTTCTGCCCCTCACCTTTCCATAACTTATTGGTCCCATTTTGTTTCAAAAGAGAATCAGTTATAAACTATTATTGGCTCTTTGTGCCCATTTAATTCTCCTGAAAATCACTTACCACCCCTCAAAATCGCTTACACTGTCATTTCTCTCTTTCCTATAAAGAGAGTATTTAAGCCTCAACAATCTGGCCGTTCTTAGAGTTGTATATTTGCGGAACTCCTATGTCTGAGGTGAGTTCATTTGCATGCCTTTCCTCCTGTTAATCTGTGTATTGTCCATTTGTTTAGCACACTTGAACTTTCAGAGGAGGTGGGAAGTTCTCTTTGCTTTACAGATTTGGCACAACTGGCAGGATACTAAAACTGCTCTGCTCCTCTGGAAGCTACAATTGAGAGAACCTAGGACCTGATGAAGCTGGGAAAAGGTTAGGAAATTCTTATCAGGCAGTCCTATGGATCTTTACCTATGGGATCCAGTTGAGCAGACAGTAAGAGTCACCTCTTGTCTCTTTTTCTTTTCCAAAATTAAAATAACAGGAGAATTTTTTTTAAATTAGTGCTTTGAATCTGTGACTCTTGTAGACTTATCTTAGGCTTATTGATTATTGATCTATAAACTCCTATAAATGGTCTTTGTTCTTCTTGCTTTTGTATTTGGTGTGGTTTGTCATAAGGAGGAAAACCATAATAAGATTATCTTTTTGTCTTGTTTTTATGTCTTGAGAAACTTGGCTTTGTAATCAGCGAATTTATTCTCAGGTGCTACCTCAAAGGGAATAAATTATCAGGTTTATGCCAGGCAGGCAGCCAGTTGGCTGAGAGTCCAAAATGTCCGTTTATCTGAATGTGCCAGCTCTCAAGAAAATTTGTCTTAATTGTCTTAAACTTCATTGTCTTATTAACAATGAGGATCTTTGCTGTCTTAGGCTATCTTTGAAAGAGACTTTAGATCTTGAGAGGGACTGCATGTATCCTCCATAAAACTCAGTTCTTACATTTATTGGTTTTAAGTTATAAAAATTCTTACTGATTTTGAGTCACAATTGAGGCAGGAATACCTTTAGAGGTTTGGAAGCTATTTGTATGACTCTGGACACTCCTTAATGATCCTCCCCCTGCTGTAACTGTCTGATGGGTTCTTCTGCCTGCTGCACAAATAAAGACCATGACATTGCAATAAAGCAAGAGTTGAATTGATGTCAGGCTGGCCAGGCATGCCAGCATGGGAGATGGAGTTACTACTCAAATCAATCTCCTCTAAAATTTGGAGACTGGGGTTTTAAAGAATGATTTGGTGAGTAGTGAGTCAGAAGGTAGGCAGTGCTGATTGGTTGGGTTGGAGATGAAATCACAGGGAGTTGAAACTGTTTTCTTGTGCTAGTAGTTAGTTCCTGGGTGGAGGCCACAAGATCAGATGAGCCATTTTATCAATCTTGGTGGCATCAGCTGGTGTATCGGAATATGGGGAGTGCAAAAAACAAAACAAAACAAAACAAAAAGCTCAAGTACTGATTTCAAGTTTTACAACAGTGACTCCTAAACCATAATTTCTAATCCTGTGGCTAATTTGTTAGTCCTGCAAAGGTAGTCTAGTTTCCAGACAAAAAGGGAGTTTGTTTTGGGAAAGGCTGTTATCATCTTAGCTTCAAAGTCAAACTATAAACTAAGTTCCTCCCAAAGTTAGTTCACCCTACATCCAGGGATGAGCAAGGGCAGTCTGGAGGTTAGAAACCAGATGGAGTCAGTTAGGTCAGATCTCTTTCACTGTAATAATTTTCTCAGTAATTTTTGCAAAGGCAGTTTCAGTCTCTCTCTTTGGGTTTTATAACACCTTATTCTTAAGATGTGGGCTATGAAGATGGAAAAAGCACAATGACCACTCTAGCTTTTTCTTGCTGACATGTGGCATGATGGGAGTAGGAGCTGACTCCAAGGTAAGAGGAGTGGAACTGCCTTGCAGCTGTCTGCACACACTCAGGGTGCCTAATCGGGGTTTCAAGGCTTGCATGACAAAGGCATTAGTATTCTTCTCTATCGTTTTAGCACAGCATTTAAATGAGCTATAAAGTAAATAATGAGTTCTAGGGTAAGGAGTGAGAGTCCTAGCTTCAGAAGCCTTTGTGGAACTGATCTGAAGCTCTGAGGGATCCAGGTGAATAGCGCGAAGAATCAATCAGAAATGGGGTCTGTAGTAGAGAGATATTTGGGTCAGAGGTTATTAGAAAGACTGATTAGGATAGACAGGAAAGGGCAAATTTAAATATACCAACCCATATATTTTTAATTGGTTTCCTAGTCCTGAGACTAGATCAGTTCAGTTAAATAGCTGTTTACCATATCAGGAAGTGGCAGTGCAGATGGGCTAGGCTTCTGTATGTGATGACAGCAAACAAGCTTTTAATAGGAGGCATTTCTGTGGAAACAGAAGAAAAACAAAGGTTAATGTTGGGCATAATTTATTGAAACATTAGACTCAAAGCATCTTTAGTTATAGAGGAGGAAGGCAGTGGCAATCTGACATGTTTTTCTTGCCTGTACCACAAGGAATAAGCTTCAGCTTTCAGGGCCTCAGGGAAGATATAGCAGCAATTTCACTGAGTTCAA
Organism: Homo sapiens; assembly: GCF_000001405.40. Taxonomy (NCBI): domain Eukaryota; kingdom Metazoa; phylum Chordata; class Mammalia; order Primates; family Hominidae; genus Homo; species Homo sapiens. Next base: position 122,821,152 of record NC_000011.10, on the reverse strand, counting down.
GTCAGAAAAATGAAAGAAAGATTTGAAAACATTAGTTTTGGGACCTGTAACCCAGAAAGAATTCAGGAATCAGTCTAAATTGCAGAAAATAATAAAAACTCAAAAGCAGTGGACAAGACTAGAATCTAACAACAGAGGTACTATAGCTTTCTCTGAAATACAGTTTGTCTCTCTCCAGTCCCCATTTTTATTAAAAACAAATTTGCTTGCAAAATAAGTGTTAGTCTTATCATACTTGGCATGAATATTTGCATAAAGTCAGCAAGAATAATTATTTGCCATATAGGCTTTTTTGAAAATTGACTTTAATGGAACTTTATTCCATAAGGAATTTCAGCTTAGATTTTTCAAAGCCTTGAGCCCAGCCATGGATTTATCTGTGCCTGCAAATATCAGTATGACCCTTGGGTGAATTCCTCTCCTTGAGGTTCCAAGATAACTTGGGGCTCCTGGGCTTGTCAGAAAGTGATATTGTTCACTTACCACAGATCGAGAACCCTGGACAGGGACTGCATAGAAAAGGTTTAAGGCCAGTGTTTACCAGGGGTTTTCTTGGCCCTATAAGTCAACTTTGATTTCTTAAAGCAGTCTGTTTGTATATGGAAGTATGCCATTACAGTCAAAACCTTGGTAAAATAATCAGTGTCTCCAGCGATGTCCTGTTATAAAAGCAAACATTATTATTACATGTAGGCAAATAACTATACTGCCATAAAGTTAAGAATACTCACAAATAGTTTCCAAATTCCGGAGAAATCAGGTAGAGAGAAAGAAATATGCTCCAAGGTTTTCTCACAGAGTATACTTTATTCAATTGATAAAAGCTGTAGTTAGCTCAAAAGAAAAAAAATTTTTCTTGACTCTAAAAACAAAACATAAAGAATCAGTAAATGTTTTAAACAAAAAATCATAAGAGATAATTTCAGTCTTCTATTAGTTCAGTCCATGCATTAACTCCTGTTCTGCTTGATACTGAATTAGCAAACCTCAAGAATATATTAGCTCTCCATGAAAGTACTGAAAATTTGTTTTTTCCCCCTCTATTCCAAGGACCATGGGAGCCAAGAAGCATCACAAGGGAAAATCATCTCCTTTTGTTTCATAAAACCATAGGCAAAAGCCTGTCAGTTTTGCAAGATGATGCCCAACAGACTGCCTGGGGAACAAATGAACATTTTCCATCCCAGCCAAAGCAAAATACATATAACAAAATAGACACTAGTCACCTTTCTCAGCACCTGATATTGACCTGGCAAGGCTCAAATTTGCCCCTGTTCATCCCTGTCATCTTTGATCCACTCAAGGTGGGGAGAGATGACCTTCAACTGCGAATTCAGTGGGTGATCTGTGGGCAAGATGAAGAGCAGATGGTCACCCTGTGTCAGACCTGTGGAGCTTCTGCTAACAATTGCTTCAGGGTTTACCTAATGTGACCAAATAAGGAGAGTTCTCCAAGTTAGGCCTGCTTGACTTCCATTAGCATTTTTTTCAGAGATCACCTCCACATATACAAACACAGACACAACAAACACAAGACAGACAGAAGACCTTCTAAACAAAGATCCCTAACCAATAATTCTAAGTATTCTTTCCAAACTAACCACCTACTCTCTTCCTGAGAAATCTCCCCAAAATCTTCCTGATTAAGGAAAAATCTCCTGAACCAAGACTCTTCCTACTATTTAGGGAGATTCAGCCAAGCCCCTTAAAGGAGCTGAACCAAGACCCCAGAAGAAGCCAAACCAATCAGGAGAAGAAAGGAGGTGCTGGAAGCACCTAGAATATGCACCAAATCAGACACCCCATGATAGGACCACAGACAGACATCTAATGATGGGGTTACAGTTATAGGACTTTTTCTCCATTGCAATGAAATCCATGCACCATGGATTGTCAATGCCCTGCCAGTAGAAACAGTGCCAGAGACAGCCTCCAGTCCAAGAGAATTAGGCAGCCTCTTGGGCTGGCCTCTAGATCCATTGCTGGAGAGGGGGCTACCAAACCACAAGCAGTAGTCACAAGGGTGATCCTGGATGAGCCCTCAAATTTGGAACTGCCCAATGTGTTCTTCCTGCCCACTGCACAAATAAAAACCATGGCATTGCAGTAAGGAAAAAGTTTAATTGATGTGAGGCCAGCCATGCCACATGGGGAGACAAAGTTATTACTAAAATCAATCTCCCCCAAAATTTTGGAATTGGAGTTTTAAAGGATAATTTGGTGTGTAGAGAATCAGAAAGCAGGGAGTGTTGATTGGTCAGGTAGAAGATGAAATCATAGGGGTTTGAAGCTGTCCTCTTGTGCTGTCAGTTCCTGGGTGGATGACACAAAATCAGATGACCCAGTTTATCAATTTGGGTGGCATCAGCTGGTGTATCAATCAATGCAGGGTCTGCAAAATATCTCAAACACTGATCTCAGATTTTACAGCAATGACTCCTAAGCCATAATTTCTAATCCTGTGGCTAATTTTTTAGTCCTACAAAGGCAGTATAGTCCCCTGACAAGAAGGGGGTTTGTTTTTGGAGAAGGCTGTTATTGTCTTTGTTTCAAAGTTAAACTATAAACTAAGTTCCCCCCAAGTTAGTTTGGCCTACACCTAGAAATGAACAAGGACAGCTTAGAGGTTAGAAGCCAGACAAAATTGGTTAGGTCAGATCTCTTTCACTGTAATAATTTGCTCAGTCATAATTTTTGCAAAGATGGACAACTTTTGTTTTCCTGTTTTGTCTTACTGACTGTTCTTTCTTTTTGATTCTCCATTTATCAGGGGCATGTAGGTTATCCCAGATTTCTTTGCTGCAGGCAGCCAAACAAAAAGTTGAGCGCCTCAAGAATATGGGTGAACTAAAATGTGGGTTTACATCCATTTGTGGCTAGCTAAGCTTTCCTTTCCTTGGTTGTCCTGTGAGAGTGGTCTGGATCTTGGAAAGGCCACCTTGGTTAAAGCCATAAAGGGGCTTATTAGTTGAGTCTTGAGTCACTTGTTGAATATACCTTTGGATTAAAATTTTGGTTTATATTCAGAGCATGTTAAAAACATTTTTTTTTTGTTTTATTGGTTTGCTTTCTGCCTTCTCATTTGAGCTAAAAAGGTACTTTGTACTCAAAAGAGAAATTTGATTATTAATTACCCTGAACCTCTAAAAACTTTCAGTATTTCTCTGTACCTGTCAATTCTCTCCCTTGTCTTACCTAAGAAACCATCCCTCTTAAAATGCAAACTTCAGGGAAAGAAAAGCCAGGAAATGAGAATGTTTGCTGTTTGCCCAAAACTGCTAATGATATACTTAAAAGATTTTTAAAAAGAGCATTATTCTCAGAAGTCAGCTTAATTAAAAGGTGATATTCAGACTATATATATTTTTAAGGCTTTTCTCCTCTTGTTGGGATCTTATTTCTCCCATGAGAACTTCTTAGTCAGCCAAATTATCCCACATTCCCCACCTTTTTTGTTGTTTGTTTGTTTGTTTGTTTTAGGCAGAGTCTTGGTCTGTCACCCAGGCTGGAGTGCAGTGGCTCCATCTCAGCTCATTGCAACCTCTGCCTCCCAGGTCCAAACAATTCTCCTGCCTAAGCCTCCCAAGTAGCTGGGATTACAGGCATGCACCACCACACCTGGCTAATTTTTGTATTTTTAGTAGAGACAGGGTTTCGCCATATTGGCCAGGCTGGTCTCGAACTCTTGACCTCAGCTGATCTGCCTGCCTTGGCCTCCCAAAGTGTTGGCATTACAGTCATGAGCCACTGTGCCTGGCCTTTTTTTTTTTTCTTTTTCCTTTTTGCTAACTAGAACGTCATTGGCCTTTTTGGAAAACTTCCAGACTGGCTCCTCTAAAACTTGTTTTACCAGTTATCATTTCTGTCTTTCCTTCCTTTTACCACTTTTGATCTTTCACCCAGTTCCCTTGTTACGTTCCCTTGGTACATTCCCTTCACGCCCCTACCTCTTTACATAGCCAGAACCAAGCCAATTGGGCTTTACATGTTTATTTCTGGCACAGTGAAGTATTTTCTTTCTTCAGGAAGAAGATTGTTTTTGGTCCTCAAACAACTTTCAAATAAACCCTCCAAAACAAAAAAACCAAAAACAGACACTTTGCTGATTTAAGCTTAAACAAATCCCAAGTACACTATTCGTTTTCTCTGGATGTGCAAGCAGCCTTTACGTACATCACAAAAGAGCAGAATGAGTTTGGGAATCTGTCAAGCAGAGAATGGCTGAGAACCAGCCAGAAGGCTAAATATAGCCTGGTCTTTTGTCAGATATGAACATTAGCTGTTATGTTTCCTCAGGAAGTAAACCCTGCCAAGGTAGTAGACAGTTGGGTTAATGAAAATCTGTATTCATGTCCTCGGTACAAATTTGCATTCAAGGCTTATTTTAAGATCTTATTAGCCTAACATATAATTACTTCAAAAAAATAGAGTCAGCTGGGTGCGGTGGCTCACGCCTGTAATCCCAGCACTTTGGGAGGCCAAAGCGGGTGGATCACCTGAGGTCAGGAGTTCGAGACCAGCCTGGCCAACATAGTGAAACTCCGTCTCTACTAAAAATACAAAAAAAATCAGCTGGGAGTGGTGGCAGGTGCCTGTAATCCCAGCTACTTGGGAGGCTGAGGCAGGAGAATCACTTGAACCCGGGAGGCAGAGGTTGCAGTGAGCCGAGATCACAACATTGCACTCCAGCCTGGGCAACAAGAGTGAAATTCCATCTTAAAAACAAAAACATAAAAACAACAACAACAACAAAAAATGGTCTATGGCTTTTAGAAGTGCAGATTCTAGTTTGAGCTGAATGTGCCCTCTCTCTTACCCAAATTCTCACTCTCTGGATCATTCTTGGTGCAACTCCTTGAGGTAGATGGTGGGTAGTAGTAAACCATGAAGGTGACATGGAGTTCAGGGCACTATACCCGAAAATATTGCATCTCAGCCTATTGAATAGTTTAAGATGAAGGAATCTGAGAAAAAAACAGGAGCAGAAAGGTCACTTTGACTGTTCTCCCCCGCCCCACCCTTCTCCCCTGAATCAGGTGATAAAACCTAGGAAGGACTCTAACCTTTCCTGACGCAGGTCCTGAGAACTTCATGTGAAAGGTGCCTTCCCTAGAGCGGGAGAAAATGAGCACCCTCATCTCTGAAGACAGAGGGACACCCAGGGGAATCTGAACACACAGGCCTCATTAAGTCCTCCCAGTTTATTACCATTAGATCATACTCTTAGTTCTATCACGTTTCTCCATGACTATCTATTCTTCATCAAATTTTGCATTGAAATATTCAGGTTTAACTAGTTTTCTTCAAATCTTCATTTCCTTATGAAGGCTTTTGTGTCATGTGAAGGAAAACAGGGAGCTTCACCCCCAAATATGGCTCCCTGGTATAATGAGTATTTTGGGTTTTTGTTTGTTTGAGTCTCGCTTTGTTGCCCAGGCTGGAGTACTGTCATGGCTCACTGTCAGCTAGACATTCTGGGCTCAAGCGATCCTCCCACCTCAGCCTCCTGACCAGCTGGGACCACAAGTGCACACCACCACACCTGGCTAATTTTTGTATTTTTTTGTAGTGACAGGGTCTTGCTATGTTGCCTAGGCTGGTCTCAAACTCCTAGGCTCAAGCAATTCTCCGGCTCTGATCTCCAAGAATACTGGGATTACAGGTGTGAGCCACCACACCCAGCTGAGTATTTTGAATTAAAGGCCCTTAGAGATCAACAGATGCTAAAAGAAGCCTTTCCCCTATCTACATAAAGACTGGACAGGCCCACCAAGGAGAACAATTGCTTTTCCTTCCTCTATCCCCTCTCAGTCCTCTACCTGTCCCAAAGCACAGGATGAGGTTATTCTCATATCTACCAAAGAAGGAAACAATTACTTCTGGTCCCTTCTCGGAGTTTCCATTGACTGAACTCACATCACAGGATGGAAGACTAAAGTCTGACAACAAACCTGGACAGACTTTTGTCCCAAATGACTGTCCACTCTGTAGGCCTGACCGACTTTGTCCCAGACCATTGTATGTTCTTCAAGTCCATTGAATTTCCTTAAAAATCATTTACTATCTGCCTAAAATCACCCACACCTCCCCATTCTCTTTCCCCTAAGATGTAGGGCATATAAGCATCTGTACCCCGTTGGGAGACTGGGCACTCACTCTGTGATACTCTACAAGCTCACGTAGTTAATAAATTTATTTATGCTTTTTCTATTAATCTGCCTCTTGTCAGTCATTTTCAGTGAACCTTTAGAGGGCAGAGGGAAAGCTTTCCCTTGGCCCCAAGACATGAAAAACTTGTATGCTTTTTCTTTTGTTAATCTATGTTTTGTTATAGGGGCCTCAGCCATGAACCTAGGATAGGTAGAAGGAAATATATTTTTTGTCTCCTAGTTTGCACATAGGGCAGGGGAAGCATTTTGAAGCTTGCTATTTTCACACAGAGTGGGTGTTCAGCTCCCCAGTCTGAATGGCATGGAGGCTTGATGCCTGGTCAGAAGGGTCCAGAGACACACAGTGCTGCTGGAGCATCCTCCCCTTCCATCAGCAGAAAGCGCCCTCTGGCCTTTTGAAAACAGAATCACACTCTGAATGCACATTTATGAAATAATAATGAACAAAGTAACATCTGAAAACATGATAGGAAGAGACCACTCAGAATTTAAAATGACATTGCTCTGGATCAACTGAGAAGTTTCTTTTTATTAAATCATCTATGAACCATTTAATGGAGATGCTCCTGAAAGGTGCATCTGTAATTACAATGGTGCCATAGCTGTATCAACAGGGGAGAGCTCTCAGCCAGGAAAGCACAAGTGCCACGGAGAGTTTACAAAGAATTTGGCAATACAGGTAGGTGTGGTTTTCCTATAACTACAAATAGTCTTCAAATAAATACACCTGAATCACATACAAAAAAAAATACAATAGCCTTATAAATGAGAAAGAAACCAATACACCTCTCCAAAATAACAGGTTTAGAATGATCTGTGTATAACCAAAATGCCTTGGCATGGTGTTTCCATCTTGAGTGGCAATCAAAGAAAGAAGCAGTACATATTTTCCATTATACACATCTATCCTGTACAGAGTCCATGATAGTTGAACAGCTGGAAAATTCCAATTTGTTGTGTAATGGCAGCTAAGTGTAAAGTATTTGCAAGAACTGATTGTATATTAAGTTCGACTAGTCATCACTATAATTTTAAACCTACATACACCAATCCTACTATTATTTGTACTTAAAAATGAAGTTATTTCATCTGCATTTACAATCTTTTTCCCTTTTCGCTTGAATTTTCATTATAGCTAGTCACTTTCCTAGGGAAATTCAATATGTTGAAGTATTAAAGAGAAGCAAATCCAATTTTAATTCTATGTTTAAAAATGAAAAGCTTCTGCTATCACCTAACAAAATATCCCCCATCACCTTTGTAAAGTGAACATTAACCTAAATAGATGTTAAATCGCTCTTTACCCCACCCTCCTCTGCCTGTCTCATCTCTCCCCGCAATGCAGCCTTTTAGACTAGTGCCTCTTCTTTCTCACACGTGTGCTGGATTGCAATTTAAATGCAAATAACCCTGCACCTCATTATCTAAGTTCGTGCAGACTCAGTAACAGTTGCCTGTGCTGAAGGCTGTGAAATCAAACGGAGGTTCATCTGTATTCTAACACATGGATTACTTAGAGTAATTTCAAAAGAGCAATTCATCACTGCTTTGAAATTAAACACTGGACTTGCAGAGTGCCTAGGTTACGGAGGAATGCCTTTCTTTTACCACATAGGGAAGCCTTTCCACAAAGGCAATGAGATAGGAACTTCTTTTACTGTAGCTGTTCAATTAGTTCCCAACAACACTAGGTAATTGAAATAAGAGACTTCATTTTAATACGAATACAGCTAGTTGAGTGGAAAAGACACACTTATGGTAATGTTAAGCACAATGACAAGACAATCTATATGCATTCCAAATACCACTAACAAGGAAATTATCAACAATGATTTACCAAACAGACATCACTCCAGAAGGCATATTTTTTATTTTTTATTTTTTGCAAAATCATCTTTTAAATATAAGGTTACTTTAAAATAATTCTTTGGTTAAAGTATAATTAAAATAAAAAGTAGAAACTCCTCCAAGCCTTTCACTACAGAGTGAAAAATACGCCCCTCTTTCAGCCATCAGATGGCCATTTAATCAGCCATTCAGATTCTATGAATCTAAATGTAATGGAAAACACTGTAATCTGAACTCCATACTGGGGTGAAGCAATAAGCTCCTAGCTACCAATGCAGTGATGGTGAAGAGAGCCTGGGAAAATGAAACCCCCAGCTTATGCATTAAAATGTGCCAATTACTCTGGTCCATGGAGGAACAGACGCGGTATTTTAAAATCACAGGAAACAAAGTTCTGTCTGTGAATAACACTGGGGCATTACCGGATTGATGTGGCACACTTGTAGAAGCAGGAAATGCTTTCAGGCTTTCAATCCCAGATTAAAACCTTTAGTTAATTTCATTTCACCTAGTTTATTTCAAATAACTTTCTACATTAAAACAAAATTCCTCTGTACAAGAAACCATTTGCTTCTTATCTGTCAATTCCTTCCTTGCCCTTCCTTCTCCTCTCCCCATACATCATTTGTTTTAATAAGCATCAGCTTCAGATCAAAAAGAACCAGCTGCAACTTCAGGTTATATATATTAGCCTATACTTTTTGGATGTATATGAAATTGAGTAATATAGTTGTCTCTTTCTTTTATTATACATAGATGCCACATGATTTACAAATAATTTCTCAGTTGCAGTGCAAGTTTAGTTTTTTAAATAGGTAAGTGTGCAAGGGGAACTTAATGTGAATTCAGATCTTTTGGGCCATTTTGACAAGCAATTTGAAATAATGAAATTGAAATGAAAGCAGAGAAATACAATCTTTCTTGTTTTCCACCTGAATTATTCGGAAAATTATTTCAGATCTCTATCTCCTTTTGCTTATATAGACCATTGCCTAAGGCAGTGTCCATATTGGACTAAGAACAATGGATTGTAGCCCAGTCAGACAGATTTATCAGTTCGTCATACAACTAAGATAACCTAGAAGATGGAGTGGATAACCTATTCCAGACTCTATTTCATACATTACAGATACTGCCCAGAACACACTGCTACAGTTTCAAGGTGAGGTGTTCAAGCATTATTCTGAGCACTCAACGCCCATGAAAATTTGTGGTGAATCTGTTAAAGATTATGGATCTGATTAAACAGTGGATTCACTTCATTACAAATACCAGAAGAATGAATGGTAGAGCCATTACATTACTTGTAATGTGACTTTTCTCTTAAGACCTTTATTGGGAATATTCCCTCCCAACATTTTATATTAACACATCATCACAGGGTTATTTCCATACCCAGAAGCTGGGTCAGTGTTTGCGCAACGCTAGAAGAAACCATGATTGATTTGTTTCTCAAAATGTAAAATACATGACATATTTTTCTAAGTGACCTAAAAAAAATACAACTATGGGCCAGGTGTGGTGGCTCACACCTGTAATCCTAGCACTTTGGGAGACAGGGGCAGGAGGATCGCTTGAGCCCAGGAGTTCAAGACCAGTCTAAGCATTATAGTGAGACCCTGTCTCTAAAAACAAAACAAAACAACTATAATCCTTTTGCTCATTAACATATATAGCCAGCATCCTTTCATGTCCTCTTCTTTCTAGGGGTTATCAAGTTGTAGTTTCAAACGCAAGCATAGATGTATTTTTATATACCTTACGTTTTATGCATCTGAGTTTTGAAACATAGTCAATGTTACTGCAACATGTAAAGATCCATTTTACACTAACTAATGTCTCTTTAAAGGGCTGGCATTTCACTTTGCATACATCTTCTACAGAGTGAACTATACCATAGGAGACCATCATCTGTGGCCATCAACAGTCAGATAGTCACACAATTAAACAGACATTGATAACTGATGATTTGGTTTGATTGTCATTTATTTCTTTTAAATAAACTCCCTCTAAATGCAGGAAGTAAGTATAATGAGAAACCACAGAATGTGGCTCTCCAAATTTCCTCAGTAGCCCTACCTATGTATTTTAAATTATCATAGAAAAACAAACAAAACGACAGCACAAGTAGCAGTGCAGCCATGACTGTCATCATTTATATTAGTTCCCTGACTTACTATACATCCCTGGTATAATTGATGCATTTGTGGATGTTCCATTATGGTTGACACGTACTGTAAGTGTACAACAACCTGACCCTTGGTATGGTTTGCAAACATGTCCATATTGCACAGAATGAACTTCTTGCTGCAAATAATATATCTAACATACATCCTTTCAAAATGTAACATCCTTAACTAGTTAACATAGTCTAGAGTCTAGGGGCAAAGACAAGCAAATATTGATGATTTAGAAATGCAGTAGCACGTTAGGCTACAACATGGTTAATTCCAAGTCACTTCATATTTTGCAAGTTCTTTGCTCCTATGATTGAATACTTCAAACATGTATCTTATCTTTCCTCCTGAGTATCCAAAAGTGCTTTGGAGAGCAAAAGTGCTTTGTCTCCCCATTTCACAGAAGCAAGGAGGGGGGATAGGGCTGTAGCAAGAAGGGCCAGCTGCTCTAGAGAAAATGTGGCAGTACCAGGGTAAATGTTAGCATCCTTAAGCGGGTATCTTCAGCCAGCAACACTGGTGTATGGGGGCTAGTGACGGTAGGATTTCATGTGTAACCTAAGAACAACTCTCTTCAGGGCATGTTTTCTAATAATCTTAAAAGGATTCCTCAGCTTGGCTCTACCTAACTGGAAAATGGAGATAAAAAAAAAAAAATTCCATCCCCAAGCTGTCCTTTCAATGCTCCCCCAGCTGGTCTGGGCACACTCCTTCCTCTTGCACCCCTTAGAGCGGGCCAGCAGCTCCCTCTGGGAGAAATGAGGCCCCTTAGCTGTGCATACCCAGAGGGAACGAAACATTCTCTTCTGTAGCAGGTGCCCCGATTTAGGAAGACAATTCTCCAAAGCCTTGTGAGCTAGGCAAGAGTCCAGAGAGAACACATTTTTTTCCTCTGAATCAAGTCTTTCTCTCATTTACACAGTCTCATCTTAAGAACTTTAAGTGTGAAAGGAAATATGCTAAATTATTCTGAGCTGTCCACTTAGAGTGTGGTGTGGATTTTCCCACTGTTTTTAAACACACAGAAAGACACACTCCAAAAGGCCTTTCCTTCTTGTTCACTGGTGTGGTTTATTCTTGAAGCAAGGTCTCTCTCCAGTTGAAGCCCCCAGTTGGTCCATGGGTAAGAGGAAGGATTGGTGGATCTGTCAGCTGCCATATTCCAGTTTCTCCTAATTCTTCACAGGAACAAAATCCCAGATATGGGATCTGAAGTAAGAGTCGTAAAGAAAGGGGATATTAGGAGATAGGTTTAATGCTTTAACTTTTACCTAAATACAAAGATATTCATGTGGCCCTAGAGAATTGCAGTCAGAAATGGATAGTGGCTTTGTAGAAATGCATTCCCTTCAAAAATCGATAAATAAAATAAAATGGGTAAAACTGGTAACTTAGAAGAGTATTTACATTGCAAGAGGATTCATCAGAAGGATCCATTAAATGGTGACCTCCCCTAAAGTAATTAAGTCATTGTTCATAGATTGCTGCTTAATTGGGTGGCAGAAAAAGAGGACCAAAATACATAAGGCTACAATGCCAGGAGTTAATTCCCAATTGCAAGTCCAGGTAAAAAGGCAGCTCAAGGCCGGGCACAGTGGCTCACGCCTGTAATCCCAGTACTTTGGGAGGCCGAGGCGGGCGGGTCACTTGAGGTCAAGAGTTCGAGACCAGCCTGGCCAACATGGCAAACCTCATCTATACTAAAAATACAAAAAATTAGCTGGGCGTGGTGGCATGTGCCTGTAATCCCAGCTACGTGGGAGGCTGAATCAGGAGAATCGCTTGAATCCAGGAGGCAGAGGTTAAAGTGAACCGAGATTACGCCACTGTGCTCTAGCCTGGGTGACAGAGCAAGGCTCTGTCTCAAAAAAAAAAGAAAAAAGAAAAGAAAAAGTCAGCTCAAACATTTCTGAAATTATACTTGGACCCAATGGAAAATATTTTTCAATTTGAAAAAATTTGTTTCACCCGTTTTTTTTTTCTCCTTACGAGTCTCTGCAACATTCAAAGCTGAAGCTGTGCTCTCCCTCACTTCAGTTGTCACAGCAATTTTAAAACTTATTTTTGTCTGTGTCCAGAGCTGCATTTACAAACAAGACAAAATTCTCTGTCTTCCAGCACTTACAAATGAGGACAGATGCATAAATAAACTTTTCAAAAATGTGAAAAAAGATTGCAATTGAGTTTGAACCAGGTTCTCTGGCGGCAGAGAAAGGAAGTATGTAATTTGCCTGAAGGGAAGTGTGTGGGAGGCAGCTGACCAGAAAACCTCTCCCACAGGCACAGAAAGGAAGACTCCAGATGTGTGGGTCAGCCTCATGGGTTTTCTGTCTTGCTGTCTTGTTCCTGGCTTTGCCTTTTAGCCTCCTCATTTGAAACTGCTGCATGCCTCGGCCTACCTTCAAGGACCTGTGTTTGAGTTAAGCTTTCAGATGCTGTCTTTTGGACTGACCTCTATTGATCCAACCCAAGTTCCCTCAGGGAAATTCAGAGAAGGTCCCTCAGGGAAATCCAGACAATTTGCTTATAATTCCTAGCTGCTTCCTACATTTTAGCTCTTAGAAGCTAGAACTAGCTCTCATACATTGTTTTTCTAACACAAGGCTTAATAAAGTGCCCTGCACAGAGTATCACTCAATACATCTTGGTTGAGTGAAGCAATAAATGAATATTCCCAGCTCAGCATAAACACATGCTTCAAAGAACTTGGTAATCAGCCAGTCACTGTACTGACTTCAAACTACTAGCCATCACGGACCCCAAAGTACGAGAATGAATTACCTTTCGGACCATTTGTACGAAGTCCTTGGAGTTCTGAGGTGACAGGCCCTGAAGTTGGCAGGTACACGCTTCAAGGGAAGATGCGTGGGCCACAATCAGGATGTTATTTCCTGGGGGAAAATGGCAAGGTATGGGAAGACTGTTTCTATAAAGACATGGAAACTTTGCAAATACTGGAAGCTAACTAAATGCTCTGCAGGGGAGCAAACACACTCAAGAAGACAATTTGCCTAAGCAATATTTTGAAAGTGCTTTGTTACTGATAAGGCAGCTTAATCTTTTTAAAGAAAACATTTATCTTAAAATAGTTACAGATTTATGGGGCCGGGTGTGGTGGCTCATCCCTGTAATCCCAGTAATTTTGAGAGAACGAGGAGGGAGGACCACTTGAGTTCAGGAGTTTGAGACCAGCCTGAGCAACATAGTGAGACCCTGTCCCTATAGAAAATTTTTAAAAAATTAGCTGGGTGTGGTGGCCTGTGCCTGCAGTCCCAGCTACTTGGGAGGCTGATGTGGGAGGATCACTTGAGCCCAGGAGATTGAGGCTATAGTGAGCCATGATTGCATCACTGCGCTCCAGCCTGAGTGTCAGGAGCAAGACCCTGTCTCAAAAATAATAATAATAATTATGGATTTATGGGAGGGTTACATACATATACATACATACCGACAAGATCCCATGAACCCTTCATCCCATCCCCCTCCAATGGTAACATCTTACATAACTATGGTACAGTATCAAACCCAGGAAATGGACGCTGGTACAATACACACAGCGTATTCAGATTTTAGCAGGTGTGCAAGAAGTCGTTTGTGCATATGTGACGATACAGTTCATGCAATTCTATCATATGTGTAGCTTTTTGTAACACCATGACAATCAAGATACAGGACTGTTGTGTGTCCATAGGGCTGTCTGTGCAACTCCTTCTAACATAGTTTTAAGTGTTCCCACTATAGAACTATGAGCACTTGAGACTTCCTGGTTGATAGAACATGTTGTGTACCTTTATGGTAGTGAGTGGCTAATCAATGAAAACTGGAAGGTGGGAATCATTCATAATACTGTTGCTCATGGCTGCCTACTGTTTGAATATAAGTATTTTAACTTAAAAAAAGAGATGAAGGGAATGTCCATACTTTTTTTGCAATATGCCTTTTTCACTAAAAAATTGATAGTGAACAGTCTTACATATTAAATATTTGAGCTCAGTGTTTAGAAAATTCAATAGCAAACACACTTGAGCCTTATACAACACTGCTCTTGGTTGGTGATAGCAGGGAAGGTGTATGTGTTTGTGTAGGTGTGCTGTGTGTAGGTGTGCATGCCGCTGCATCAATTATAGGCAAAACAGTGGCATGCTAGAGCTTTTGGAAATTATAAGAGGGAATCTCTTTCACAGGGTGCAAGAAGAATAGCTATAACGCAGAATTTAAGTTATTAAGAATAGTAACTAAGTCTGGTATAAACCCCTGGAATATCTACCATTTTAGGAACTCAGAGAATATTACAAATTTAATGTAAAAGTATCTGGAAGAAAATCTGGAAATACATTTCTTTGGTTAGCCAAAGCAAGTTGAAACATCTTGAATAACCTATTAACCATTATAGAGAAATAATCACGTATGTACAGATGGAGTTCAGAATAATACCACTTACCTTTACTTTTACATTCACTTATTATTTCTTTTGTTACTTGGAAACTTCTACTGATATAAGTATCATAGGATTCTGAAACAACTAATTTGCTGATTGGAATGTGAGGTCTGTAATAGAAAAATGAACAAAGGAAATGAAAACATTTTGATCTTGAGACAAAGGAAGATATCACTCTAAACTTTTATTTCAAGGCATTTCTAAAGATCCCGTAGATCTGTTTGTTTATCCATTTCCCTAGAAAGGAGAAAGGTATAGGGAACAGCATTTCTACTATATGAACATGGAGTGGAAATGTACAGAAATAACAGCTATGTGTATGGCGTTACAGTGACCAGGTGAAAAATGAGACATTCAGTGCATGTTTCACTCTCGGGATAACAAATAAGCCATTGATGGATGGTCCTAGTCACATAGCTAATACAAAACAAAGCAGAGATGGAACCCTCAACCTATTTAGATCAGCAGGGATTTCCCAGACCTCTCTTCAAGAGCAGCAAGGATGGGTTTTAAACGCAGATATTAGGTCCATCTGATTCTTTGCGAGTTTATCAAATTTCACCAGTCTTTTCCTTTAATTCTCTCTTATTTTGAACACAGACCATACACTTGGCACAAGGAGAAGTGCAAAGCATAAAGATGAAGACCACTCAATTTCTGTGTTGGAAAAGTTCTCTGCCTGTGGTTGGGGTGAAGAGGTTATTGATGTAAATGATAATTACTATACAATCTACAAAGGCATGTGATACTGTGTGTCCCTCACCGGCCTGGGGGCCTGGCTGTGCCCCCCACCCAAATCTCATCCTGAATTTCCACATGTTGTGGGAGGGACTTGGTGGGAGATAATTGAATCATGGGGGCAGGTCTTTCCTGTGCTGTTCTCGTGATAGTGAATAAGTCTCACAAGATCTGATGGTTTATTTTTTAAAATTTTTATTTATTTATTTTTTGTTATTTGTTTTTTGTTGTTGTTGTTGTTTTATTTTTGAGATTGAGTTTCACTCTTGTTGCCCAGGCCGGAGTGCAATGGCTCGATCTCGACTCACTGCAACCTCCGCCTCCTGAGTTCAAGCAATTCTCCTGCCTCAGCCTCCCAAGTAGCTGGGATTAGAGGCATGCGCCACCACACCCGGCTAATTTTGTATTGTTTTTAGTAGAGACAGGGTTTCACCATGTTGGCCAGGCTGGTCTTGAACTCCTGACCTCAGATGATCCGCCCACCTCGGCCTCCCAAAGTGCTGGGATTACAGGCATGAGCCACTGCACCCAGCCAATCTGACCGTTTTAAAAAGGGGAGTTCCCTGCACAAGCTCTCTCTTTGCCTGCTGCAATCCATGTTAAGACGTGACTTGCTTCTCCTTGCCTTCCGCCATGATTGTGAGGCTTCCCCAGTCACATGTAACTATAAGTCCAGTTAAACCTCTTTCTTTTGTAAATTGCCCAGTCCCAGGTATGTCTTTGTCAGCAGCGTGAAAACGAACTAACACAGCATGGAAGAGGATGATCAAAGCTAGGCTTCCTGTCCCGGTGCCCCTGCATGTCTTCAAACCCAGTCACCAATGCCCTTGGGGCCTGCCTCTGCCTGCCTCCACCCCCGCTTAACTATGTAGAGTTTCTATGTTGTTTCTGGTCCACAAGATGTTTATCTTGTTTTCTGGGTACAACTATGTCATTTCAATTTTCTTATTTTGTCAATTTTCATATTTTGTCTTTCACTGCTGGGTGTTTAGTGCCTGGTGGAGGTGTGGTAAGTTCTCAAAATGAATTCACATGGCCTCTTGATCAGAAGTAGGCTATTACCACTACTATTAGCACTGAAAATATTTACTGAGGTTCCCATATGTGTCAGGCTCTGTGCGAGTGTCCTGCTTGCATTTCTTCGGTCTAATCCTCCCAGCAATGCTTTCATAAATGCTGTTTATGGATGACAAAACAGAAGCTCAGAAAGGCTGCAGCTGACTTCCCTATGCTAACACCGTTAGCAACTCTTAGAATCTGGATTTGAATCTGAGTCTGGAGTCTGGCCTGTGAGCCGATCCTCTACACACAGCTTCTGACAGTGCCCTTGCTAAGCCTGGCCTTCTGTGCACACCGGCTTACTGTCCAGGGGAAGGATGCCGTTCCACTTGAAGGAAACTTGCCCATATCCTGCATTCTCTCAGCATGCCTGTTTCTCCTAGGAAACAGCCTTCTGAGTCTCACAACACCCTGGGGGATAGGTAGAGACCTGAATCACCACTTGTTGGGGCTGTACCTCATTGTTCTGGAGCAAGCTTTCTCCTCTTTTTCTGTCCCCATCCCCACCTCTCACCCAGTTCCATCACCATTTATGTCACCTCATCTCCCAGGCCCATCCCCTGCCCACAGTGACAAAAGTCCACTTTGTATGGCCCAGGGAGTCATTTCAAGTGTGAGACCATGTAATGTGTGAGATTTATGTAGGTGAAGAGCGGGATACATGCTGGGATCTGGTTCGTCCTGATCAGTTCTTGCCTATGGCTTCTCCCAGCACCTTAAAGTGGAGCCTGTGAATGACTCCAGTGTCTGGAGTCCTGATGGGCTTGGCCTGAGTCAAAGCTTCCTCACCCTTGTCAGCAGGTCACGTCATGCTGCTAGCCACACCTGCAGGCCCTGTACTGTCCTCAGAGTCAGGTGGCCTTCCCCCCACCCACTCAACCTGGAATACGGTGCTCTGGAAGTCAGGTGGCATCCCCGAAACTGTATCCTCCCCCATATACTCTCTGCTCCCCACCTTGCTGTGGTCCAGGTTGTAAGCACAGGCCTCTGCTTTGAGCCTCATGCCAAAGTTTGATTTGTTTCCCCTCCAACACTCCAGATCCATACCCTCCCCCAGTCCCCTGTCCTCTGAGTCAGGGCTCTGTTCTGAAGCCCCACCCAGCTGGTGTGGATTTTGTTTTTTCTGCCTTGCTCCTCTGGCCCAGCTCCTCAAGGCTGGGGTTGTTTTCAACCCCCCCAGGCCCTGGGCTGGTCTTGCTGCCTGTGGATGATGCTTCAATATTAGTCACCAGCCTGGTTAGCTTCCCTAACTCGGCTTTCAGTCCCACCTCCCTCCTGTTCTCTTCCTACCCCTGTTGCAAGGTGAGAGGGCTCTTTCAGCAGAGCCTGCCTGATTCACACTACCCCGGCTCTCAGGGCTTCCCTTTCTGCCTGTCACCACATGTCTTCAATCATCTGGGCACCACTTCCTTGCTTCCAAAGGCTTGTCCATTTGGCATCATTAATTTCATAGGGAATTAAACTCCGGGGCTGTCCCTTTCACATGCTTCAACTTTGGCTTTCTCAACTGATTTTTCAAATTAGAGGCTTCATCTCCTACCCCAACTCCCTCGCCAAACAGAAAATGGTTGAATTGAATTCTGATTTGCCGGAGAGGAAAAGGCAATCTGGAATAAGGACTGTGTCCTGATCCCCAGGCTCCTGGCATTCATCCTTCTGCTCACACTGCTGGTGGGGTGTGTATCTGAGTGTACATTGACAGGCTCAGGTAGGACGATTCTGGAGACCTTTGTAAGGCCGCTTGGGAGGCAATGGCAAAACACATCTAGAGGAAATATAAAATACATAGTTGACCTAAATTGGTCTGGGTGGGGCTGGTGGTAAATGGTGAAAGTCACTTAACCAATGTTGGTGGCAACTCCTCCTCTTTCCAGGCCAAAGGGATGCTGGCTGCTGCATGGGGGACAACAATTTATTGCTAATTCCCTGCAAAGAACAGAAAACCAGTGGCCAGAGAGGGGATAGAACAAAATGTGAAGTGTATTCATAGGGGATCCTGTTGATTGATCTAATTTTGTTTTTGAGGAATGCTAATTCCTTTAAGACAAGCAGCAGCAGCAGCACATAACTAGTTAATGGGGTTATCCGAGGTCTTATTTGCTGAACAGAAAAAATGAGTATGGAAAAAGAATATATTGTCTATTACCTTAGCCAGAAATGCACATTGCTTTAATGTGGTTTGGGTAGGTATTTAAAATGAAAGGTCAACAGATATCACATAAGAAAGTTCTGCTTATATTGACCACTTGTTACAAACTCTGCCTTAAGAAATATGAACTTAATTCCCCATTATAATGGTTGTGACTATCTGTTCCTTCTCAAAGAGATTTTTACAAATACCTGAGTAGACTTTTGATAGTTAAGGTAACTATATTATTATTAATTCTTTTTTTTTTTTTTTTTTTTTTTCAGACAGAGTCTCACTCTGTCACCAGGCTGGAGTGCAGTGGCATAATCTTGGCTCACTGCAACCTCCGCCTCCTGGGTTCAAGCGATTCTCCTGCCTCAGCCTCCTTAGTAGCTGGGACTACAGGCGTGTGCCACCACGCCCAGCTAATTTTTGTATTTTTAGTAGAGACGGGGTTTCACCATGTTGGACAGGCTGGTCTTGATCTCCTGACCTCACGATCCACCTGCCTCGGCCTCCCAGAGTGCTGGGATTATAGGCGTGAGCCACCGTGCCCAGCCCTATTATTAATTCTTAATTGTATACATGCAGATTATTCACCTGTAAGCAATCAACAAACACTTTTTAAAATCCCAGCACAGTCGGGTCTAATGGAAAAAGGAAAGGAACAGGAATGAGATGACTGTACAGCAGATTGCATGGTGCTGGACATGTGGAAAATGATGAATAAAGTTTATTATTATTATTGTTATGTGTGGTCACTAAATGTATAAATACCTTTAGGCAAGTTATTTGAACTCTCTCATACATAAAAATGGTTTACCTACATTCTGGGGATATAGCAATAATAAACAAAGATAATACAGAGATTTAAAAATGCTTTGAAAAATTAAACGTAGAAACTGTAAGACAAGACATCATCATCTCCCTTATCGCTCCAATCTTCTCAACTGCATCATCATTAGCTCGTGCTTATTGCTGGAATGCAAAATGGTTTTATTACACTGAAACAGGTATAATAAAGTCAGAAAAATCCAACACGGGGGTGAGGCTGGAGAATCTAATCCACACTAATGCCAAATATGAAAAAAATGCTGGCTTTTCTCCAGTTTTGATTTCTAAAATCATAGCTCGTTTTCCACCACTATGGACAACTGCCTGTAGGTGATGTCCAGCCCTGGCTCCTTCCTGAACCTGGCCTAGTGCTAGTGCAGAAAGCACTTCCACACTGGCCTCAGTAAGCAGCAGTTTCCGAGGCTTACCTGTAGGTTGTATCAACACTCAGGTTGGCTGCAGCTAACTCTGATGGAGGTATCCATGCAGGTAATGTGCTCCCAGCAACCCATTTTGTCCACTCAAATAAGCCGGGCTCTACACGGATCTTCAAGTGATTTTCTTGTTGTAAACCTTAGGGGTAAAATACAGTGAAGATGAAGAAAGTGCCTGTGGATTCTCAGGCCAAGTTGTTATAAAAATTCTGATAAATCAGCTATTCTCTTTCCTACTGGCTGCTATATATAGCTAAACAGAAATGGAAGCATGTGGATTTGGACAAGGTTTTTAATTTTTGTGCATTACTAATACATGAGTTTAATACTCCTGCCGTACCCCCAGGATGTATGCTGGCTTTAAGTCATATCTGACTTCAGGAAAAAAGC
Organism: Homo sapiens; assembly: GCF_000001405.40. Taxonomy (NCBI): domain Eukaryota; kingdom Metazoa; phylum Chordata; class Mammalia; order Primates; family Hominidae; genus Homo; species Homo sapiens. Next base: position 122,800,936 of record NC_000011.10, on the reverse strand, counting down.
CACAGCTCATTATCCATATAATTTATTCGAGGCTGGGTGCGGTAGCTCACACCTGTAATCCCAACACTTTGGGAGGCGGAGGAGGGCAGATTACTTGAGTCCAAGAGTTGAGAACAGCCTGGCCAACATGGTAAAACCCCATCTCTACCAAAAATACAAACATTAACAGGGTGTGGAGGCGTGCACTTGTGGTCCCAGCACTCAGGAGGCTGAGGCAGGAGAATCACTTGAACCCAGGAGGCGAAAGTTGTAGTGAGCCAAGATTGTGCAGCTGCACTCCAGCCTTGGTGACAGAGCGAGATTCTATCTCAAAAAAAGAAAATTTATTCAATTCTGTGACTACCATAATTCCTCTTTCTTTCTTTATTATTATTATTTTTTTTGATACAGAGTCTTGCTCTGTCACCTAGGCTGAAGTGCAGTGGTACAGTCTCGGCTCACTGCAACCTCCGCCTCCTGGGTTCAAGCAATTCTCCTGCCTCAGCCTCCCAAGTAGCTAGGATTACAGGCGCCTGCCACCAAGCCCAGCTCTTGTTTTTTTTTTTTTTTTTTTGTATTTTTAGTAGAGATGGGGTTTCACCGTGTGAGCCAGGATGGTCTCGATCTCCTGACCTCGTGAACCGCCCGCCTCGGCCTCCCAAAGTGCTGGGATTACAGGCGTGAGCCACTGCGCCTGGCCCCCATAATTCCTCTTTCTAAAGCAAATTCCATGATGGCCTTACCAAGAAACTTCAGATAGTCTCTGAGTATCCAACATCGTATTTGAATATCATGTAAATTATTCATTTTCTCTATCAGAAAATCTAATGCTGAACATTTACTAGTAGCGGTGTAGAAGTCCTCTGTTTTACTGTAGTGTAACTGGCTTCCTAGAAATAGTCCCTGCTTAGTTATCTTCATATTGCATGTAGTCCAGTTGTTCTGTGCAAATTTAATACATAAATCCCTTCTGGTAGTGAAGAGGTTTACTTAAGGTTAAAGGATAGAAGACTCAGATGCAGTGTCAAATTCTTTGTTGGCTTGTTTATTTCTGGCTCATTCATTTCTTGGTAGAAGTAAACAGTCTAATCCTGTTGCTTTTAGTTTTCCTTCCCATGAAATGAGAATGGAGATACCTGTAACTCACGCTTCCACAGATTTTAGGGTGAAAGTTGAGTATCTTGGTAGCAATGGTGCTTTTAAAGTCTTTCTAATTAAGTAAAGAAAAAAATGATGATTAAGATTTGAGGCTCCTAAGAGCACCCTTGCTGCTGTCAACAGGAGGCAAACAACAGACCAAAACAGGAAAGTTATTTGACTATTAAGTGTAAAGAAAGGATCACACTCTGTAAGTTCTAAACATTTTGCAAGCCTAGGATTCATCCAAGAGCACTTTAAATTCTCAAGGAAAACATTAGTATACTTCCTTTTATTTTGCTTAGGCTGCCAGAGTATTTTTTTTTTTTTTTTGAGATGGAGTTTCACTTTTGTTGCCCAGGCTGGAGTGCAATGGCGCAATCTTGGCTCACCACAACCTCCGCCTCCCGGGTTCAAGCAATTCTCCTGCCTCAGCCTCCCGAGCAGCTGAGATTACAGGCATGCAGCACTACACCTGGCTAATTTTGTATTTTTACTAGAGACGGGGTTTCTCCATGTTGAGGCTGGTCTCGAACTCCTGACCTCAGGTGATCTGCCTGCCTCAGCCTCCCAAAGTGCTGGGATTACAGGCATGAGCCACCGTGCCCGGCCCAGAGTATGTTTTTGTGACTTGTGCAAAGATCGCCTTCTGAAAGAATCCTTGCTTCATTCCAGATTCAAAGCTTTCAACTGGCAAATGTCCCATGGCTCTAAGATAATTTATGTGTGGGGCTGCCTAGAAAGAGAGGGATGGACTACTTGTTTTTGTCAACCTGCAAGTCTTACCTTTCAAGATATTGTGTGCAGTCTGAACGCAGCGAAGGGACGGGGAGCAATAGACATGATCGATAATGGTATTGCTCTCTAATAAGGCTTCACCTGCAAAGAAAACCACAAAAAAATCAGTCTGATGGATTTACTCAGTCTCACCTTGACCCGCAGTGTGAGAGGGGGCCAAGCAGTAAGCTCCTGTAAACCCCTCTTTCCTAACTGGGGCTCACATAGAGCCAGTAGTTTCAGCCTTTGTTAGTTTCTAACAAAACCCCTCATCGGCGTTCCTATGAGAGCAAGCGACAGAGCCCTTCTTGTCTTGTCTTTTTTTTTTTTTTTTGAGATGGAGTCTCGCTCTGTCGCCAGGCTGGAGTGCAGTGGTGTGATCTCGGCTCACTGCAACCTCTGCCTCCCGGGTTCAAGCCATTCTCCTGCCTCAGCCTCCCGAGTAGCTGGGAGTACAGGCGCGCACCACCACACCCAGCTAATTTTTGTACTTTTAGTAGAGATGGGGTTTCAACATGTTGGCCAGAATGGTCTCGATCTCTTGACCTCGTGATCCGCCTACCTCAGCCTCCCAAAGTGCTGGGATTACAGGCGTGAGCCACCACACCTGGCCCCTTCTTGTCTTTTCTTTCCCTTCCCTCTGGTGCTAACAAGTGGTAAAGGCTTTAGCTAGGAGATATTTAGAAACAGGACAATACTTTGGCTTCAAGTTTGTGAAAGAGGATTTATTTTATGAATATTAGGTCTTGTTTTAATTTTATTCTGTGCTAACCAAAATCTCAACATGTCATATTTTTAGATACCAGAGATAAATCCCAACACCTCATACTTTAATGCTATCCTCATAAAATCCACTTCTTTAAAAAATTTATTATTATTCTTAATTTAATTTTTAGAGATAGGGTTTTGCTCTGTCACTCAGGCTGGAGTGCAGGGGTGTGATCATACCTCAGTGCAGCCTCGAACTCCAGGTCTCAAGCAATCCTCTTGCCTCAGCCTCTCAAAGTGCTAGATTATAGGTGAGAGCCATCACGCCTGGCCTGGAATCCAGTTATTTTGTCTACTGGATTAAATCCAAACACCTTAATATGGTGGCCAAGGTCTTCCATGAACTTGCCTTTATCCATCTTGCTAGCCTCATCTCTGCCTTGCCTCACAATTTATACTCTAGACACAAGACACTTTGTTTCCCCTGCATTCCTGAGGCTGTTTCTCAAGCCTAAGACTCTTTATGTGGTCCCTCCCACTGAGAATGCCATTTCCTCACTCCTATTCCTTCTTTGCCCAGCTAACTTCTACTTCAGCTCTCAGCTCACCTCTTCACTCTTAGATGTCTTTTTGTGTTCCCATAATATTCTGTGACCATGCATAGCTCTATGCATATCACTATGTCTGGATGCATGCAATCAATACATACACATTAGTGCATAGCTCTATGTATATCATATTGTATGATATTTATCCACACATAAGTTTGTTTCCCTGACTCACACTTGGGTTCCCCTAGTCCAATACCTTGCACAAAGTAAGTGAGCACTAAATATCTGCTAAGTGACTGAACAGAAAATACTATCTCCCCGTGCCAGTAATGGAATGGGCTTGCAAAGAGCTAGGCATCTTCAAAGGATCAGTTGGCCTTTACAAATTCAGCAAGTCCAGGGTCCATCTTCTTCACTCTTGTCCTCTTCCACAGCCATGTTTGGCAGATGCTGCTGTCTTGAACTAGAAGCTGACCTGTCTGCTACATCCAAGAGTGAGCACAGTAACCCACGCCATTACTGGATCACGTGCTCCTCAATAAGGACCACACCTCATTCACTTTGGTCAACCAACCCAGGGCTGAGCACAGTGTCCTAAACTTAATGGTTGTGTAGTAAGTTCCTTTTGAATTGAGGAAACTTGTAGGAAAGTTATAGAAACCCACAGGAAGTGTCTTGCATATCCATGGTACCAGTGTTTTGAAGGAGGAGGCAAGAAATGCCTGGAGTGCAGTCACTCCAGGATACTTACCCACTAGTCTTGCTTGCATGCATCCAAACACAGTGATGGGAGCATCTTTCTCGTAATCTCGGAAACCACCACTCCGCTGAGGTAAACTATGAGGCATGTTCAGGTTGGTGCGTATGTAGCGGCCTGAAAAACAAAGAGGTTAGACAGAGGATACATACATTTCTTGTTTACTTGGGACTCCCTTACTGATCCTGACACTCTCCACCCCCATTCCTTCTTGGCCAAAGAGATCACACTGAGCTCTCTGGAGCTGATAGAAAATATCAAGGCTGACATTTTGTTTCATAAAGTGACTTGGAATCCACTTTTCCATTCTACTGACAAAAGTGACATGAGGTAGTTTCTCAGTGAAGGTAATAACCAGGCACTTTAAAGCAGGTGAGATTCCCTGGTTAAGCAAGCCTCTGTATCTTCAAATGCTACTCAAATGAAAATGGAACCGAGCGAGCCAGGGAGATTTAATGGCAGGAACTCTGGCCATAGGATCAGGGCACGTTTCTGCTGCTGACTTTGCCATATGACCTGGGGCAAGACATCTGTCTTCTTTGGTCCGTGGTATCCCAGTTTATAGAATGGGGACAAGAACACTTACTTCTTCTCTAAAGCTCAAGACAATCAGGAGGGGCTTACACATGACAGACATCTTCTATAGTACGCAAAACTATGAATGACTCCATCTAGATAACTGTAGCTTGACTGTGCCGCCTAGAGGCCACTATGGGTATGGCAGTGCTGAGCAGGCCCACCACCAACTCACCTTTGGCATCGAAGCACTGGGACAGCCAGTACTTCCCAAACACAACATCCATCCTCTCACCATGCCGACACACAAAAAGGCATCGCTTCTGGGGGCCGGGCTGGCTGTTGACCCTCAGCGGCTGCAGAGAAAGAAAGGCTATTAGTGAAGACACACATGGCAAAGTGGACATGTCTTGGAGCCAGGTGCCAGGTGAGCTGAGCTCTACTACCAAAGTTCTGCCAAGGTATGACTTGGTGAGGACAGTAAGACTCGTCCTACAGACCTCATAAGTTATTTGGAGGCTGGAATAAGATAAACTGCATGTGCTTTATAAAATAGGAAGGGTTATGAAAAGGGCATTATTGTTGCTACGGCTGCTCTTTGTAGGAGTAGCATTTGGCCATTAAAGTGGCCACTAAAATATGACGTCCACTTTAAGTTACAGCTCAGAGGTAAAACTAGCCATTCATGTAGAGAGAGCCATCTAGTGGGGCACCTTCCCCCCAAAAAGGGGCAATTCATCAACTTCTTCAGGGAGTGAGGACTTCTGTGATCACAAATGTGTCTACCTCTTCTCTAAAGTGTGTGGACAGACCACATGGTCCTCATGGTCTGCTCCAGTAATGAGACCCTGTTTTCCTATTCTAATCACTATGTAGCCTCTGCTGTCTGACTATATATATGATCCCCAAAATGAGACAACTGCTACCTCTGGGTGATGACATAGGCAAATCTAGTCAAAGGCTTGTCCAAATGACTTTGGCTTCTATAACTGCTGGATGGAACCTTACAGCTGTTTCTGCATTCCGTCTTTCTGATGCAGTCAGCTTTTCCAGTTTCCTTAGCGCGGGCCAGCACTTCACATTTGCTTCTAGTTGCCCTGACGTGGTTAATATGTGGAACGGTGGCATGATCCTTCCCATCTCTTTTCCTGTTGTTCCTTAATTTAAATCCTGGGCTCCAGCCACAATGGTTACTCTCTTGATCCTCAACATGCTTGAACTTTCAGCTTGCCTCTATTTGTACTGTTCAACAACGACTCCCTGCCTCCTTCCATCTCCAACCTTCCTTGAAAAAGTTAACACATACTGAGCACTCATTATATGCCAGTTATGGTGCTAAGAGCCTAATTTTATTATTTTCTTTAATCTTTGTAACAACCTACAAAACAGATACAACTATGGGCATTATTCCTACTTTAGAGATAAACTCTCCTCCTATCTCTGTGGAACAACGTTCCTTATGAACCTAGGTTCAAATGCTGGAAGTAACTGTCAGTACTGCTCATCTGACTCTTCCTAGCCTTGAATTTTTGTATATCTTTTATAATTTGGTGTACTTTCTTCCCAAGAGATCGTGGAAGCTTTGGAGACAGCAAGGGCAAGGCCTCATGCTTAATAAATAGGTTCTCAGTGAATCCTGGTTAGAGTTGGGGGTGTGACCCTAGCAATCAGCCTTACCTGCATGGGCTGGCAGATGATAGTAAGAGGAGTCGTCTCCCCGAGCCCCTGGTCCTCATAAGGCCGCCTCTCCAATACTCCATCCCCAAACGTGAGAGAGTTGGATGACGATGTATTTAAGATTGAATAAGAACTGCAGAGGAAGATAAGGAAGGTGTTAACTGCTCTGGCCAGCAGTCATCAGCACTTCCTCCTGGGCTCAACAGGAGTGTGGGAGTTAACTCAAAGCCCTCTGTGGGTAGCACAATGATGGGGGATGCTGAGCAGGAGTGGCCTCATTCCTAAGGGAAAAATACCTTGTTTTATACTGAAGTCTTGCAGTTAATAAATTAGAGGTAGGCCGGGTGTGGTGATCACACCTGCACTTTGGGACGCCGAGGCAGGCGGATCACCTGAGGTCAGGAGTTTGAGACCAGCCTGGCCAATGTGGCGAAATCCCATCTCTACTAAAAATACAAAAAATCAGCTGGGCGTGGTTGTGCGTGCCTGTAGTCCCAGCTGCTAGGGAGGCTGAGGTATGAGAATCTCTTGAACCTGGGAGGTGGAGGTTGTAGTGAGCCAAGATCGCACCACTGCACTCCAGCCCGGGCGATACGGCGAAACCCCGTCTCAAAAAGAAATAAGAATAAAAATAAGTAAATAAATAAATTAGAGGTAGATGGATTTCTGCACTGAGGACAGATATATTCATTCCTTTGGGCAGGGATGGATCCTAGTGATTTTGTGCCATGCATGGTTGGCACCAAAGACAAGTTCAAGAATAACAACGTATCAATGATCTGTTTGCAGCTATTTTTCTGGTTCAAAAGAAATCTACGATCCCTGTTGCCTTTAATATTTCCCGTGGTAATTTCCATCTGAAGTGAAGAGTGATGGGGGGTATTTTCACCATCTCCACCTCAGCCAGTGGCTCCTAACAGTCAAGGAAACTTTGTGCCAAAGTCCCCTATTCTACCCTCTTCGGTCTCCAAACCCTATCTCCCCCTCAATCACGCCTCCAACAAGATGATTACAAATAGAATTATTTCAGAGAAGACCATTCTCACCAGACGTTTAGAGCTGTGAGCCAAGAACTGTCATTTCTGAGTGTAACACTATAGCTACAGAAGCCTAAAAGAGGTCTTGCTGAAAGGAAGACAGTCAAAACCTGCCAAGCTTAAATTATTGTCAATAGTTAAGACTTCCACAAAGCTTTATCTAATAAACATTGCAATGTAAATATGGTTGTTAGGCAAATCCAGTGAACATCTTTGGAATCACTGAGCAGAGTCCAGGGGAAACATTTAAATTTTATAGATTTCTTGCTTCTTTACAATTTGGGTAGCCATCCATCCCAGTTTGCTCCATATACTCCTGGCTTGCATCTGTTGATGAGGCAACCCGTTTAGGCTACCACCTGTTCTGGATTATTCACTTTTAACATTGTATTATCAGAATTTTATTTTATTTTAGAGACGGAGTATTGCTCTTGTCGCCCAGGCTGAAGGGCAATGACATGATCTGGGCTCACTGCAACCTCCACCCTGCAGGTTCAAGCGATTTTCCTGCCTCAGCCTCTGGAGTAGCTGGGATTACAGGCGTGCGTCACCACGCCCGGCTAATTTTTGTATTTTTAGTAGAGATGGGGTTTCACCATGTTGGCCAGGCTGGTCTCAAACTCCTGACCTCAGGTGATCTGCCTGCTTGGCCTCCCAAAGTCATGCTGGGATTACAGGAGTGAGCCACTGCACCTGGCCCATAATTTTATTTTTGAAAATACCTTTTTATATTCACCAATATAATACAGCAAACTGGTTGTTAGTAAATTTTTGTTCCTTCACTTTCAGAAGTGGCTCCTTTTTCACTAGAAGTGATAGACTCATTCTATCTACTTATAAACGAAGTCTCAGAAGTCTCATGCCCTGAAAAACTGATTTTGAACCCTTGTGCATATCAGAATCACCAGGAGACTTAAAAAAAATACACTCGTGCTGGGGTTCTGCTCCTCACACATTGTGACTCAGTAGGTCAGGGGTGGGACCCAGGAACCTACAGTTCAACAAAGCAGCATCAGTCCATCTGCGTATGTTGCCAAGTGAAACCTGTTACAGTAAAATTTAAGTAACTGTAGCCCAAGGAAATCTTGTGCCGTTCACACAGTATAATAGACCAGCTATTCTACTTTATTTTAAACTAAGACCCTCCCAAACATCACACAGTTCAAGAAAATCCAGTTTGGCTGGGCACAGCGGCTCACGTCTGTAATTCTAGCACTTTGAGAGGCCGAGGCAGGCAGATCACCTGGGGTTAGGAGTTCAAGACCAGCCTGGCCAACGTGGTGAAACCCCGTCTCTATTCAAAATACAAAAATTAGCTGGGCGTGGTGGCACACACCTGTAGTCCTGGCTACTCGGGGGGCTGAGGCAGGAGAATCACTGGAACCCAGAAGGCAGAGGTTACAGTGAGCTAACATTGCACCACTGTGCTCCAGCCTGGGCAACAGAGTGAGACTCCATCTCAGAAAAAATTAAAAAAAAAAAAAAGAAAAAAAAAAAGAAAATCCAGTTTTATTGTCTGACTCATCAAAGCTTCAGGGTGCAAAATGTCTGGCTACCTAGAATCGTTCTTGTACATATCTGTTTGTTTCTTTATCGCAGCTGTGAAGATACTGATAGGATCCCTTCTCTCCCTCCTTCGTCTCCCATGGCAAGACGAATGCCAGCCTCTTTCCCTTCTTAACTGTCATTATAATCAAAGGACCTGACTCACTCTGAGACAGCGTGGAGCTGCCAGTTCCAGTAAGAAAACAGTCAGATGCTTCTTGCTCAGAACAGTGGAGGGAGGAAGCCGGGCCTGACATCCAGAACATCTCAAGCATCGGGAGAGCTGGCTTCTCCCTGCAACACACCAGGCCTGTGCTAAGCCCAAGCGGCCAGGCAGCTCACCCAGCTTCATCAACTTGTCTTGGTTCATAACTCAGAACCAAGTAAGACACTCCAGTTAGTGTGGAGAGAACATATTTCCTTAGGAGGGACTCAGAGAACTGAGAAGCACTTGGCAGGGAGTGTTGTCAAAATCATTGACCCCCAGTCATGACTTGTTGCCTGGATCCCCTGGGCAACTCCCACCATGCCAGCCAGGCCATGCTTGACATCCCCCTGGGGCTCTACCTCCTGATGTCTCTCTTGGGTTAGGAGAGAGAGAAGGTCTGTGTCTGTCTTACAAGGAAGCTGGGCTCTGCCTCCTTGAGTCATTTGACCTCTGGGGTTAAATAGGAAAGTGCAGTTCATCTACAGGATTGCTTTTATGGAAGACACATTTCCTTTGATGAGCACTAAGTGAGGACTGGCAAACACAAGATAGAAAAAAGAGAATAATCATCATTATGCAAATGGCGATTTTATAGTCACCGCTATACACCAGACTCTGAACCATGTAAAGCTAAGCTCTGTATTGCAGTCTTCCCAACAACCTTATGAGGTAAGTGCAATTATTAGTTCCATTTTCTAGATGAGCAAACAGAGGCTCAGAGAGGTAATGCAACTTTGCCAAGGCCACACAGCTGGTAAGTGGGAGAGTTATCGTTTAAATCCAAGACTATTGGAATCCAGTCTCAAATTCTTAATCACAATAAACTAATGCCTAACTTATTTACCTACTTTGAGCAGGGTTGGCTGTGGAAGCTGTTAGTTTAATTTCAGACATTGTTCTCAGAGACATGACATCATTAGTAATCTCTCGAATAAAAGATGACACAAAGACCTCCCTGGGACGCACTGACCGAAGTCACTCAGGTTCACCTATACATCGGCCTGAGTTGTAATTTAGGGAAGAGTGGGTTTGGATGGAGTGAACTCTAAGAGATCAGCACTGCTTCTCATATACCTCCACTTTTTTTTTTTTTTCAGACAAAGTCTTGCTCTGTTGCCCAGGCTGGAGTGCAGTTGCGTGATCTCAGCTCACTGCAACCTCCACCTCCTAGGTTCAAGTGATTCTCCTGCCTCAGCCTCCTGAGTAGCTGGGACTACAGGTGTATGCCACCACGCCCAGCTGATTTTTTTTTTTATTTTTGGTAGAGACGCGGTTTCACCATGTTGGTTTGGCAGGTCTTGAACTCCTGACCTCAAGTGATCCACCCACCCTGGCCTCCCAAAGTGCTGGGATTACAGGTGTGAGCCACCGCACCTGGCCATACACCCACTTTTAAGAAAGAGATCTGATAAAACAGCAACTCCAAGTACTGTAAAATAAAAAATAACAGATCTGAGAACTGTGCTTTGTCAGGCAAATAATGTTTTAGTTCTCAGTTTATTCACGCATATTTTGCTTTACTTGTTGTTGTAGGGATTAAAATGGAGACTTTGGAAACCCAGCTTATATATTTTGATCTTCCAAAGCATTTCTGAAAAAGCAAAATGTTTGGGGAACATAAGACAGCTTTGACCTCTAATTTTGTGCCATCCAATTCTGGAGGCTCATGGGCTGGGCTGAGGTGGGAGCAGAGTGAGGGAGAGGGGGAGGGATTGCTGGGTGGGGTTATTGAGGAAGAAAATATTCTTTCCCATCTTTGGATTTGTGGTTTGTCTGTTTGTGGCTCACTAGGGTAGGGGACCTTTATTTTCTCCTTCCAGGCAAAAGACTTGATGAAATCATCTCTCTCTGCTTCTCCTTTATGGCAATAATAACAATATTAGCCACCAAGCAGCTGGCGCTCAGGGCTTCTGCCTCTCAGCCATGTTGCCACATGACAAAAACAAGTGGGAGAAAAACAAACCAGCATGCAGACCCTGGCTAGATGCCCCAGTGTGCCAGGGAAGCGCTGGCTTTGAGCTGCTCCAACTAAGAAAGAGAAGATGGCTTTTGTTTCTATTTTATCTATTGGGACAAAGTTGGCCACTGAATGTGGTACCAGTATGGAATGGGGGCAAAATAGTAATGAGGGACGGGTGGAAAGTTATTACCCTAAAGAAGACTGGCAGAGGGGAGGGGGGAAATGGACCCCTTTTCAGTCTGGCAGTTGCCTGTTCCCTTAGACATGGTCTTTGTTGTCTAGGCATGCATAGGCTGTGTCTGGGGACTTGCTCAGGGTCACTTAGCAAATCAAGGATACAGTTAGGGCTCCTGCCTCTTGAAACCCCCTTCTCTATTGGTCTGGATGGCAGGGTAGTAATCCGCCCAGCTGCTTCGGGAAATCAGACCACCCTGACTCATGACCCAGGATAAGGTGGACAGAAGCCCTAAAGCAGTGAAGACGCAGCACTGGGATGATGCCACTCTTCGGCCAGAAGAGATGGACCCCAAGCCACCTCAGTTTAGTCTCTGATCAGGAACTGAAGCAGACAACCATGGCAAATGGGGCAGGCAGAGGGAAGCAGAGCAATCCATTTCGCATTTTCCCCATGCCTCAAATCAGCTCCTTTCCTGGAATTCTGGAATCCACAGGGCCTTCTTCCCATGGACTCCATTTACTGCTGCCCTGTGTATCCAGGATCCAGTCTGCCTTAGCAACATTCTTCAAATGGCATAAAGGTCTTTGTGTCTGCTTACCCATGAAATATCCAGGTGCTGCATTCATCAGCCTTGGTAATGTAATTCTCAGGCAGGAGTCCAGAGCAGCCGGTGGTTAAGGACGTGCCATAGATCCAACCCTCGCTGGTGCTGGTCTGCTCCATTGGAGACATGAAGATGAAGTCCCCGGGGACCAGCTCCAGCTCATCGTCATTTTGTGGGGTATAGGGGTAGATGACCTGTAATGTCTGGAAAAGGAAGAGAGGGTGAGTGAGCCCCATGCCTCACCATTCTCCTGAGCGCCTTGAGGGCAGGACTGTATGTTCTGCATTAATACTGCACACCTCCAGAGGGCGATGTGCCCAGGAGCCCTTGGGGTCTGCAGGCCCTGAGTAGATGTGAATTCCTATCAGAGAGCACTTCTCTCTTCAGGGTATTGACGGTGTATGCCTGGTGCTAGAAATGGTTTCATACTTTTCTTCAGGCATGTCTAGATTTCCCATCAGGATTCAAGTATCGTTTTTGGAAATTGACCTGAAATCCTGTAGGCTCTCTGGCCAACTGCTGTATAAATGGACATGGACCTAGCTTCCCTTGCTTCATCTGATAGTCACCATGATAGACACCTGAAACCCAGCTCATGGAAAGCCAGTCTTCCATACGGGGGTTACAGAGGGGCCAGGTGGAGTGTCTCTCCTCCAGGAAGGCTCAGGGAATGAAGTACCCCCTTTCTGTGTAACATAGCTCTTTATTTATGAATTATTATTATTATTATTTTGAGATAGAGTTTCACTCTTGTTGCCCAGGCTGGAGTGCAATGGCATGATCTCAGCACACTGTAGCCTCTGCCTCCTGGGTTCAAGTGATTCTCTTGCCTCAGCCTCCCTGGTAGCTAGGATTTCAGGCGGCCGCCACCACACCTGGCTAATTTTTGTATTTTTAGTAGAGACAGGGTTTCACCATGTTGGCCAGGCTGGTCTCGAACTCCTGACCTCAGGTGATTCCCCTCTCTTGGCCTCCCAAAGTGCTGAGATTACAGGTGTGAGTCACCATGCCCGGCCAACTTAGCTCTTTAAACCAGACATGGTTCTTGCCTTAAAGGAGTTTTCTTTAAACCTATAGTTTTAACAAAGATCCTGAAAGAAAAATGTCTAGACATCAGTGTCTATGTCAGCATGTAGCCAGCTTTCATCAGATGGAGAAAACGTTCTTACTTTGGGCTCCGAAACAGCCCCCAGGCCAAAAACAGGCCATGCCAGTTGGCTATTTATTCTTTATTTCTTTTTGCCTTCGTTTCCTGGTATGTATTAACATCACAGGTATAGGCATGAAGGTACTGTAGAGAACATTTATTTTAGTATTTTTTGTTACTAATAGTGGGAGACCTCAATAGTAAGGAAAATATTTCCTATCTTATTTGTTTCACAAGGGACACAAAGACGGAGAAAGCTTTAACAGCTTTTACTGTTTTCTAGGGTCTCAAAGCCGTTAGTTGAAGGCTAAATATTCTGGTCTCCATTTGCATATTTCTAACTTTGGCTTCAGGCTTCAGTTTCCTCATCTATAAAATAATACTTAAGCCCATAAAAGTTAAATGAGACAATCTAAGAAAACACCTTAGGACAGAGCCTTGTGCACCGAAGGGGCATAATTATTTCTACAGAACCAGAGCACCTGATCTCCCACGTCACATCCTTCCTTCCAGCCGACCCTGATCCCTGGACTCTGTGCTGGGTAGGCCTGTGAACTAATTGGCTGGTTGATGTCAAGGTGATACACCAGAACATGTTATAAAGAGAGAATTTCCTTCTGGAAATCGCTAAAGAAAGGAGCCAGTAAAGGTGTGATTCTTTTCAGAGGATGAGAGTGATTGTGCAGAGAGCTCATTTGCACCGCTGCATTTCCGATTTTCCTTTTATGTAGGGCACCTGTTTGTTTCCCTAATTCTGACTTCAGCATCTTTCAGTTCTAGGTCTTCCCTGCTCTGATTGCCTCCTTATTCTTCCTGTCCCTTTGCCTCATACACACTCAAACCACCTCCCCAAACAAGCCAGGAAGGTTTTCTGTGGGATTGTTAAATCAGCTTAAAGGGAAAAACAATTCACGCGAAATCTCATAAACTGCAAAGCTAAATGTGTGACGTCCCATGAAAAGGAACATTCTTTTTTTTCTGGGACAAGTGGAGAAAGTCACCGAGTCACAGGGAAACAAGCCTAAACTTGTGTTCCTTAAATGTTCAAGCACAGCATGGTCTTGGCTAATAATGCCTTTGGCCCAGTAGTGCCTTTCCCTTGAGAAACTCATGCGATTTCAGAGAAGTCCTCATTTGTTCTATCATGTGGGGCGGTGGGGGGGGAGCGGGGGTGGGTATTCATTCTATCTCTAGGTTATCCCCAGGAAAACTGAGGCACAGCTAAGGTTACAGACAAATATGTCCTAGGCATAGGGAAGCTGGACAATAAGTAGCTTCGATTTATTGAATGAACAATAAAAGAATTAAGGCATTGTAGCAAATCTAAAATTACAACTGGGACCCATGTCCCCAATGCCCTTTCTCACTCACCAAAAGCAGATACAAAACCTTAGCCTAAGTTTGAAAGATGTGAGAACACATGCCTAATTTATATTACATTCTACTTATTCTTTTGTTTTATGTTTGCCATCTACTTGTAAGAACTCTTTTTTTTGTGTGAGACGGAGTCTCGCTCTGTCGCCCAGGCTGGAGTGCAGTGGCATCATCTTGGCTCACTGCAACCTCTGCCTCCCGGATTCAAGAGATTCTCCTGTCTCAGCCTCCCGAGTAGCTGGGACTACAGGTGTGTACCACCAAACCTGGCTAATTTTTGTATTTTTAGTAGAGACGAGGTTTCACTGTGTTGGCCAGGCTGGTTTCGAACTCCTCACCTCAGGTGATCTGCCTGCCTCGGCCTCCTAAAGTGCTGGGATTACAGGCGTGAGCCACTGTGCCTGGCCTGTACTCATAAGAACTCTTGAATCCAGGACCGGCACTGTGGCTCACACCTGTAATTCCAGCACTTTGGGAGGCCGAGATAGGCGGATCATGAGGTTAGGAGATCGAGACCATCCTGGCTAACATGGTGAAACCCTGTCTCTACTAAAAATACAAAAAATTAGCCAGGCGTGGTGGCAGGTGCCTGTAGTCCCAGCTACTTGGGAGGCTGAGGCAGGAGAACGGCGTGAACCCAGGAGGCGGAAGTTGCAGTGAGCCGAGATTGCACCACTGCACTCCAGCCTGGGCGACAGAGTAAGACTCCGTCTCAACAAAAACAAAAAACAAAAAACAAAAACAAAAACAAAAAACCTCTTGAATCCACCTCAGGTATGTTTTTCCTCCTTACTACAATGGGATGGAACTCAGTTTGCTGAATGAAATGCAGCCACAGCCCTGAGTGAATACAAGAGCCGAACTGCCTTTGGAGCCCTTTTTATTCTCACTCACAATAATAGCTGCAGCAATTTTTCGTTGCTGTTGCACCCACCTTGTGCTGGGTATTACATTAGAGCCTTTCCATACATCTTCTTTATTTAGTCTTCATAACCATCTAGCAAAACATTGTCACCATTTTACAGATGAGAAAACTAAGGACTGGAGATTTATATAAGTTGTCAAAGTGAATTTAACCCTTGCTAAAGTGATGGAGCCAGGATTTGAAGCCAAGTGTGCTAGACTCCAAAATTGATGCTTTTTGGATCACCCTGTCCTTCCTCTGGATTTCTATCGGTTGGTATATTAAACTGGCATGGCCCAATGTAATCACTAACACGGAAGAGCCCATGTGAAATACAAATGGGATTCGCGTGTCCAAATCGAGTGAGAATCTAAATAGCAGAGGAATGAGGCCTTGGAGTTTTCCTAAGCATCACGGTGCCTTGCCAGAGTGTCCTTGCCTAAACCACTCTCCTTCTCTGGACATCTGTTCCCTCACTGGAACAATCAATCAAAACTGCCTCCTGGGGGCATGTTGAAGAAGGCAGGCAAGAAGAGGGTTACGTGTGCAGACGGCTCAGGTAGGACCGAAAGACCTCACGGGAGAGGTCCAGTCCAAAGGGGCCGAGGAGAGCTTTATCAGAACGAACGGTAATAAATGAGCTTTTACAAATAAGAGATAAAAGAGGCCAAGTTATTTTTAGAAAATAATTCCCGTGGGCGCTTGCTGCCTTTTTCCTTCCATGCCAATTGAGCAGAATGTGGGTCAGGCAGAAAAGCAATTACCCTTTGAGTTAACTGGAGGGCAGTGTTGATTAGAGGATATTCCTTGTAAAATTCCACTGCCACCTTCCTTCTCTTAGAAAGGTGACTTCTCAGAGGCCATCTGCACGCAACCCTTGACTTTTTTTTTCTTTGCCCTCAGAAGGAGTCCAACCAGTCACACCTCCCTTGTTATCTTCAGGGTTCGTTCTACGTGACTCTAGGAGATGTCAGAATTCTTAAATAAGATCAGGCCCAGTCTGCTCAAGGCATCTTACAGAAACCTGCATCAAATGACTCAAAAGGAGGACATCACGTTCCCATCAGCAGAGTCAGACAAAACTGCAGCCCCTGACACTCACAGGCGCATGCTTAACCCTGAACCTCTGACTCATGGGTTGGCTCTTCTACCACTTCCAAAACAATGAGCTTGCCTGCTCCCAGCCCTGGGGTTCTAACTGTTTTTCATGTTTTGTTTTTTAAAGAAGTCTAAAAGAGATGTTAAAAGGCTATGTAAACTAACAAAAATACCAGTTCTTTGGCTGTTTGAAAAATTGGGAAACAAATATAAGTATTGCTTAATAAATGTAGTTAAGTTGGAAGGCACATTTTTAACAAACGATGAGGTCTTTTGTGGGTGGGTAGAGATACAGTCTCACTATGCTGCCCAGGCTGGTTTGGAACTCCTGGTCTCAAGCAATACTCCTGCCTCAGCCTCCCAAAGTGCTGGGATCATAGGTGACAGCCACCATGCCTGGCTATGATGTAGTTTTGTTTCAGACAGGTTGCCCTTCTTTATTGGTCAAAATACATGGGCTCTTGCTTCATCTCTAGCCCTAAATTACTAAGACACTAATGTTTTTTGTGTCTCAGCTTCTCCTTCAGGATAGAAAAAGACACTATTGGCCAGGTGCTGCGGCTCACGCTTGTAATCCCAGCACTTTGAGACACCGAGGCGTGCAGATCACCTGAGATCAAGACCAGTCTGGCCAACACAGTGAAACCCCGGCACTACTAAAAATACAAAAAATTAGCCCAGTGTGGTGGCGGGTGCCTGTAATCCCAGCTACTAGGGAGGCTGAGGCAGGAGAATCGCTTGAACCCCAGGGGCAGGGGTTGCAGTGAGCCAAGATCGTGCCATTGCACTCCAGCCTGGGCAACAAGGAATGAAACTCCATTTAAAAAAAAAAAAAAAAGGCAATATTATGCTTCCAAGATGTCACATACTTGTCTAGAAGGCAATGTTGATTCCCTCAAAGGAAGGGTGCTAGGGGTGTACCAATCTTTCTTCTTGTGATGGAATTCAGTTTTCTCACTCAGGCCTCCCACTGGGATGTGCAGAAACTCTCACAAGAGGTGACTTGAGTTTTCTTTTCATGTGTGTCTGTTCTCAAAGCTCCTTGAGGACAGGACAACATTTAAAAATTCCAGTATGCTCCATGGTACTTTGCATGATACAGATACACAGCAAATATCTGTTGATTATGTCTTTGCAAGTGTTTTTGTTTTTTGTTTTGTTTTCTTTGGTATTTATATGTTCTTCAACTCACCTAAGGTCAAAATGATGTCTTCCATTAACACCATAAATTTATATAATATTAAAAATTTTCCAATATATTTTTTATTTATTCTCTCCCATTTCATTTCTTTTTTGCTGGAGTTGGATTGGCAGGGGAGACAGAACTAGGGGGATGTTACCCAGATGAACCACTTGTGACCCAGAGAGGAGGGAGGCAAGCTGGAAGCCTCCCAGTGAGGCAAGCAGAGGCTGGACACAATCCTGAGCCAACGGACTCTCTGTTAGGTGCTTGCTCCATTTTTCCCCTGTAGGTACCCATCTCCCTGCAGCAGCGAGCTGCTGATTCTGATTGCATCCCTGCACCTGGTAGCTTCTGGAACCACAGTGAGACATTACCTCATGGTTAGCAAATCGGATATCCCGAGAAAATATGGTAGCCACCCAGTCACACCCTAGCTTGACGTCAATGTTCTGGGCCAGTTTCTCTAGGGTGGGTAGGTGGCTGGCTTGGAAGTGGTAAGCCAGGGTCACATGTAGCTGCTTCTTATGAGGTTCCACATGCACTTCTGGAAAAAGGAAGAAAAAGGTCAGTAATTAAAAGGTGGTGATGATAGCAATGGTGAAGACTTAAGGAAAGGCATAGAAAGGTACCCTGAGAAATTCTGCTTCCCACATAACAAAGAAGACAAAAGACGTTTCTCTCCTTCACAGCAGTAGAATAAGGGGGTAAGGGGATGGCAAGAGATTCCGAATCAAGCCACTGTTCAAGAGATAGCCACCATACGGCTTTCCTCTAGGAGCTGCGGGTCAGCTGAGGGCAGTCCTTTTAGTTAAGTCCTTCTCACAACATTCCAGTTGGTGGTCACCAGCCCCACCTTTCAGAAGAGGGCACTATGACCTACAGTGATGAAATAATTTGTGTAGAAATACAAAGCATGTTTTATAGCTGCGTGACTCCCAAAGCTCTATTCCCTTCATTTTGGAATCACGTGTCTTAGCTTCTGGGTGAGATTGATGGAGAAATGAGGGGAAAAGATGGATATTTTCAAAGTTTAATGCAGGGTTTCTCTCAACAGCATTTTGGGTTGAATAATTATTTTTTGGGGGGGGTGGCTGTCCTGTGCATGATGGGGTGTTTCGCAGCATCCCTGGCCTCTACCCACAAGACGTCAGCAGCACTCTCCAAGCTGTAACAATTGAAAATGACCTCAGACATTGCCAAATGTACCCTGGGAGACAAAATCACCCTTAGTTGAGACATACTGGTTTAAAGTATACAGACTGTTATTCTAAGATATCCCAAGAGACAAAACAAAACAACCCTACCTATAGGAGGGAATGGCTTTTTTTTCTCTCTCTGGTACTTTTTTTTTTTTTTGAGACAGGGTCTTTCTCTGTTGCCCAGGCTAGAGTTAAGTGGCATGATCATAGCTCACCACAGCCTCCACCTCCTGGGCTCAAGTGATGCTCCCACCTCAGCTTCCTGAGTAGCTGGGACTACAGGTGTGAACCACCATGCCTGGCCTCTTTTGTATTTACAATGAGGGAGAATCATCTACTGTACAAACTAGAATAATGAAGAAGTTGCAACTAGAAGAAATTAGGGAATTTGAGAATTTAAGGAACTTGGTCAAGTCACACAGAGAATTAGTGGCCCAAGATAGAACTAGAAATTGAGCATTTCGGTTTTAAGTACTTTTTCTTTTATACTGCATTGCCTTTCTTTGGTGTAAGCCCCATGAAACAAGGTTTTTGTCTCTCGCTTACACTGTATCCTTACTCAGCATATCATGCAGGTTTTCAGTACTTGTTAAATGAATAAATGCACATGAATGAATCTCCCTTGACCACTTCAAATGGAGGAAGACACTAAATCTACTTGATGATATCTGGTCCTGCCAACAACTGGAGAATACCAAGTTCCAGGGCAAAGACATGGTGGCCGGCTTCCCATGCTGGGTAATAAGGAGCGGGACCAGCTAAGCTGCGCAGGGTCATCCAGTTCTCCACATCCCCACCAGGGGGCCACACAACAGCAGAGAAACGAAGCCGGCCAAGTTCTTCATGACAGCAGGATCTTGGAGAGGAATTGGCTCCACCCGCGTCCCACAGGGAAAGCTGGGGCTTCGACTGCTGCTCACTCAGTATGCACTCCAAGAATCTGTGCGGCCCTGGCTGAGGCTTGCTTTTCTCATTTGTGAAGGATTTGGGTTTTGCGGCTTTGACATTAGTTTTGGTCCTTGTGGGGATTTAGTGGTTCTGACAATAACTACTGTGGGATGAGAGAAAGCCATTTCCTTGAGATTGAGGGATAAGAGCAGGAAATAATTTGCCTCTCAGTTATGCTCTTTCTCTGAAATATTAAGCTCCTATGAAATGTCAGGCTTCACTGAAGTCAGGACCCGGAGACTAGTCCCGTCGCTGAGGGAGAGGAAGAGGTGGGGGTGGGGGTTGCAAAGTCTAAAGAGGACCCCTCCCCAGGTACAGAGGGGTCTTAAGGTCCTTGTGTTCCTTCCGAGAGCACTGTGATCCTGCAGTGATACTGAGCCCCGATCCCACTCATAGGTCCCAAGTCCTGTGTGGTGCTTTTCTGGTAAAGAGGAATATGGAACAAAGGGCCTGAGATGGTGATGAAAATAGCAGCAGGGAACAATGGCAGGTGAGGGATAGGCCAAAGGCCAAAAGGCTAAGGAGCAAACTGCGGCCTTGCTCAGGTCTTCCCCCTCTCTGGCACTCCCTAAAATTAGGGGTAGGGGAATTGTACGTCTCCTCCAGCTTTGCACTCAGCACTCGGCTTCCACTGTGCATCCTGCACCATCCACTCTGGTCAGGGCAGCCTCCCCACTGTCCTCTGCTCACACCATCTCATGCCTGCCTGCCTGTGCTCCTGCCACCCGCCCGCCTGCAGGCCTTTCCTCCATTGTCCTGATCAACATCGTCCCAGGGCAAGTTTCCTTCCTTCCGTGAAGGTAGAACCACCCCTTTCTCTTTTCAGAGCTGATGTTACACAGGGCCTGGCCGGGAGAAACCACTTCTTGTTCTCTTCCCTGTAGCACTCCTCATGTAGGAGAAATCCTCATAGTAGGTGACCAGTAAGTACCTGCCAATTGTGATTTCATGCTGGAGCGAGCCAAGAGGCTCTCCCCCCACCAGATTGTCTGTCTGTTTCCCTGCTGTCATTGAGCTAAGTGAGCTTGTCCACACCTGTAGTCAGACAGGAGAGCTTTGCAAACTTCTCCCTCTTTTCACCTCCATCGTGTCTCCTGCCTTGAGCACCCCCTTAAGCTAATTCCTTTGACAGGAAATCTCAGGTGTCCTGAACTAAGAGCTCCCATGAGAAGAGCAGGAGACATTTGGAAGGGGTTACATTTTTAGACAGACTCTTGGGGCTTGGGGTCCTGTCTAATGGTTTTCAGCAAGTTGAAGGGTATTGGTTCAGTGGATTTTATTGTGATATAATACGAAGTGCTTCCACTCTTCTCTCTATCCTCTGCTACCCACTGAGAAAAGATCTGGATTGTCATGGAGTGAACAATGAGACCCAGATAAACACCTACATGGGCGGGAGCTTGGGAGGGAGAAAGGATGTTTCTTTAATTCTGAATTAGGAGGAGATGGTGGTGCTACAAAGAAATACATTTCTAGTTCAGTATGGAAGTCATTTGTGAAACTTCAACTTGGGTGTTAGGGAATAAGCCTTAGACGGTCTCTCCAGGTCAGCAGAAGAGGGGTTGAACGTTTTTACAAGGGAGCAAGACGTGGGGTGCTGCAGGAAAAGGCTGTTTTTTTGTCACACGTCCATTCCTGCAGGGTCCTCCACCTCCTGACCCCATCCTGCTCCTCTACCACTATTTCCTATCCTTTTTCCTTTCCAACTCTTTGATTGACAGGGCCCAGGGCTGGCCTGGCAGCTGTTTGCTCACCGGTTTTGGATGCAGCCTCTGCAGCAAAGTCAGCAGCAAACTTCTTGAGGACCTCCGCACTGTCTTCCTTTACAAAGAGGCCGATGAAGTTGGACGACGTATAGAGCTCCAGGGGCAGCGGGGCCGAGAACTTACATTTCCAGCGACTGACCGTGGTCTGCAGGGCTTCCCCCAGGGCATCCACCTTGCTGTCCTCGCACTGGCAGGGAAAACAGGCAGTCTTCACTCAGAGACAAGGGGAGATGGAAGTCTGCTGCTACTTAACATTGGCATCCTCTCCCCAGAGACTGGAGGAGGCTGATAATGCAATTACTTAACCACTACCCCTGTCTGTGGGGAGAGAGGAACTGCAGACTTCCAATTATTCAGACACAGATTACCCAACTGGTGGATTAATGTGGGGAACACATGACCTCTTCCCTCCTTTCCTTGCTGTGAAGTGGCCCCCGTGAACCCAGCCAAAATGCTGCAGGACTGGTTGAGCCGAAAGCAAGAAAGGGGAGCGAGATTGGGGAGATATTGGTCAAAGGACGTAAAACTTCACTTAGGAGAAATAAGTTCAAGAGACCTATTGTACAGCACAGTGACTATAGTTCATCATAACATATTATATGCTTGAAAATTACTAAGAGAGTAGAGTTTAAGTGTTCTCACCACAAATGCCTGATAAGCATGCGAGGTAATGCATGTACAATTAGCTTGATTTAGGCACTCCACAATGCATACATATATTCAACCATCATGTTATACGCCATAAATGTATATAATTTTTATCAATTAGAAAAAAATCAGGCTGGGCGCAGTGGCTCATGCCTGTAATCCCAGCACTTTGGGAGGCTGAGGCGGGCAGATCACTTGAGGACTGGAGTTTGAGACCAGCCTGACCAACATAGTGAAACCCCATCTCTACTAAAAATACAAAAATTAGCCAGACATGGTGGCGGACGCCTATAATCCCAGCTACTTGGGAGGCTGAGGCAGGAGAATCACTTGAACCCGGGAAGCAGAGGTTGCAGTGAGCCAAGATCACGCCACTGCACTCCAGCCTGAGTGACAGAGAGAGACTATATATCCATAAAAAAAAAAAAGAAAAAGAAAAAAAAAATCAAAGTTCTCCTTGCTTGTGAAAAAAAAAAAAAAATGAAGGAATGTGACAGGAGAGAGTGCAGCATCCCAGGAGAAGCTGCGTGTTTTCTACTATTTTGTATCATCTGTACTTTTCTTTTCCTCTTAGATGATCAGAAGTTGACTCTACATCCACCCTCATGATAGTTGGGAAGAATGAGTCCCAGAGAGCTGTGACATCATCCTCCTACCTTCCTGAGAGCATTGGAAAAAAGAATGAACGTCTCTCAAACTCTGAAGGGTTTTGAGAAAGATCCTGGGATGACTAAGAGGAAATGACAGTCACTTTAATTTTCAGAGTGAATGGTAAAAGAGAAGGTGTTAGGAACATTATTATTACCTGAGAGAGAGAAAAAGAGAGAGAATATATCTGGGGAAGAAAGCAAAATATTTTTTATAAAAATGGTTTAAAATGCTACCACTTTGTTTGGTCTTGAATATATGGAGATAAATCAACTCTTCTCTATTACCACAGAGAGCTAAAGTAGACAAAATGTATTTACATGTGTGATAGTGAGGGGGATTATATTTGGTCAGTAGAGGCCAGGCATGGTGGCTCATGCCTATAATCCCAGCACTTTGGGAGGCTGAGGTGGGCGGATCACTTGAGGTGAAGAGTTCAAGACCAGCCTGGCCAACATGGTGAAACCCCGTCTCTACTAAAAATACAAAAATTAGCCGGGCATGGTGGCATATGCCTGTAATCACAGCCACTTGGGAGGCTGAGGCAGGAGAATCGCTTGAATTCGAGAGGTGGAGGTTGCAGTGAGCCGAGATCATGCTGCTGCACTCCAGCCTGTGTGACAGAGTGAGACTCTGTCTCAAAACAACAACAACAACAAAAATTGGTCAGTAGATAAGCTTTCTGACAGCTAGGATTATACACTAGGTAACAATGGCAAGTAAATATCTTTGCATTCTCTAGAAATATATAGCGGGAAAAAAAAAACTTGTGGACAGGAAATGGCTTTCCCTGTCTATAAACTGCCTTTGTTGTTCCCTGCTCTTAGTTCCTCCTCTTTGCTTGTCGTAAGAGTGGAGAGGGTAGACAGCAAACAGGTGTGAAGCTAGATCAGTGATTCTATTCCAGCAGCCAGACCAGTGTGTCCCTCACAGAGGGTTACAATCTGGTGCTGCCCCCATCCTGGGGTGCTCCTGGGCCTCAGCAGATAAAACTAGGAAGCGTTGGGGTGAGGGGCCCATTGTGGACCTCACTGATCCCTTGAAGGTCCCTCCAGCTGTAGGAGCCTGTGACTATTCCTGCTGTCTTCCTGCGAGGCCTCCCTTTGCTCCAGGTCCCAAAGGGCCGGCTGGGATCCTAGGAGCCAGGCTTCCCAGGGGTGGGGGCGCTGCCGCTCACCATAAAGAACTGGCAGAGTGTGATGTGGGGGAAGATGTTGTGTGCCTTGTTCTTCCCGCAGATCTGCTTCGACTGCTGCCAAAAGTCGGAAAGCTTCTGTGCTAAGGGGCCGGTGGGACGGAGGTAGAGGACGTACTCCCGGGGCAGGGGGTCATCCAGGAAGGGGTCACCGACATGGGAGAATAACCTGTAAGACAGAAGTAAGCCAACAAGGTGTCGCTTGAGAATAATGGGAGGGGAAAAAAGAACTGAGAGACAGATCCACCCTCCATGTGCTCCAAATCCCCGGCACAGCGCGGGGAAGGGTTTTCATTCATGATTTAAAAATCTACTTCTGGAAACTCACACTTCATAACCAATTCTCAGATGCAGCAACTTCTGTCTTCCTTCTTGTCATTTTGCCTCCTCATCCTACAACTCCCTAAAAAAGTCCTAAAACCGCTCTCCAGGAAGCATTCTTGGATCAACTCCAAATCCTTTCCCAATCCACTAGGACCAACCCAGCCTGTCCCTCAGGTCAGCCTGTAATTAAACCCATGTCCCTCCAAAGACAAGGGAAGCTCCCAGAGAGGTAACCTTGTAGGACCCACCCTGGGTAGGGATACCCTGGAAGATAAGTAGGGTACTTTTCTAAATGGATTTTCTCAATATCCATACCCCTAAAATGAATCTTTAAGTGACTGGAGCAGGGACAGATCTTATGAGAGAGGCTCTATCTGGGAATTACTTAGAATTTTCTTTAAACAGCTCCAAGGAGAAACATACCCTGGGGCCAGGGCAGAGGAGGCAATTGACTTGATAAACGCACTTGCCACAGTCTTTTGGCTCCTGTCTCTTCTGGAAGGGTCCATTAGAGAAAGTCTGCACCTCCCCACTCATCCACATGCACTTTGAGTTAATTATATGCTATTTTCTCAATTTATTTATCTCATACCAACCAGTCACATGCTGCCTGAACACTTCTTCCTCCCGTGGATGCCAAGGCTTTTTGTCTGAAAGAAGAAATCAAATTTCTATTGTTAATATTTTTAGCCTCCTCTCCCTGCAGTGGCAAGAGCTGAGTGTGAAGGAGGCGACATCAAAGCCTGTGTTCCACTCAATCCTCTGTGGTGGGGAGTAGACACCTGCAGCAGGTTTTCCCCCAAGGGTCATATCAAGACATATGGAAGTTAGGACTTGTAATTAATTTCCATGTGATTAGCATCAGATTTGCATGCAGTCTGACAGCCCAGGCAGTCTATTTTCAGCAGTTTCCACATTAGAGTTTTATTTTTGCTTCTCTAAAGGTTGTCATGTCTTGGTTTTTCCTCCTTCCTCTTCACCCACTCATTCTTAGTGACCCAGATCCCTGACAGAGCAGATTCTTGTTTTCAGCCCCTTTGGCAGAAAGTATTAGAAGTGGTGCTGATGGTTTTCTTTTTTCTTTTTTCTATTTTTTTGAGAGAGTCTTACTCTGTCACCCAGGCTGGAGTGCAGTGATGTGATGATTGTGGCTCACTGCAGCCTCAACCTCCTGCACTCAAGCAATCCTCCCGCCTAAGCCTCCCAAGTAGCTGGGACTACAGGTGCACGCCACCATATTTGGCTAATTTTTTATTTTTGTAGAGACAGGATATCATTATGTTGCCCAGGCTGGTACTAATTATTATTAAGACATAGGGCTAAAAGCTCACAAGGACAAATGGTTTGGATCAATTCATTGCCTCCCTCTACCCACTTCCAACCACCACCAGGCTGGATCCATAATCTCCAAGTATTTTACAGACATCTTTGAGGATGAGTATCAGTGGATTAAAGGGAATGGCCAGAGCAGTGCAGCTATCATTCTCGCTTCTGGAGAAACAACTCAAAGCATGACTAACTGTAGCTAAGTATCCATAGGCTGGTTATAGCAGTGAAGCCCTGTGTACAAACTTACAAGTGGAGCTCTTCTTAAAGTATACACAGGTCTCCAAGAGCCAGATAGTTCTGGATTTGTATCTAGCCTTGCTATTCATCCATCCTTTCATTCATTCATGCATTCATGCTTACATTTATTCAGCAAACATCTATTGAATCTCAACTATTTTGTCAGCACTGTGCTAGGCTCTAGGAATACAGTAATGAACAAGACTTATGTGATCCCTGCCCTAAAGGAGTTTTCTGTCTAGTAGGCATGTAAATATTAATTATACAGATAATGATTTAATTACATTGATGTTAAGTGCCATGGAGGGAAAGCATAGGGGACATAAGAACATAGGACAGGGAGATCTAACCTGGTCTGAGGGGCTGGGGAAGGCTGCACTAAGGATGGAACATTTCAAGTGAAATCTGAGGGTGTAGACACATCTGGGTGGGGTGGATGGGGCGCGTGGTGGTCGTTGATGTGGAAAACACCTGGTACATCTATTCTATAGTGAGATGTAAAGATTAAATGAGCCAGTGTAGAGAAGGAGCCTTGGACAGTGTCTGACCTATCATAGGTGATCAATAGGTGCTCACTCTTGTCCCTTCACACTACGTTGATTCAGGATCCTTGGGAGAGAGAAGAGATGAGTGGGAATCCAAGTTACACTGACACTCTGCAAGCATCCTTTCCCCAACTGGCTGCTAAACTCACCCCCTCCTTCCTTGTCCTACCCTTCTATGGAGCAATTAGAATGACCGATGCTGTGAGAATTGCAGGGTTGGATTGGAAGGGACCTCAGAGGTCATCTGTGAACCCAACTTCTTCATTTGACACAAAGAAAAACTCAGGTGGAAAGAAGTGATGAAATGCGCTTAAAGCAGCCTGGCTGGGGTGATGGCTGAGCAAAGGCCAGCCTCTGTTGTTCTGCTCCACAGAAAGACAAGTTAAAGACTATCCCCTTCCCCTATGAAAGTCTGCGCACAGATACCAAATGATCAGGATAAGGAAGTCTGCACAGCTAATGAGAACAGCACTGTAAAAGGCAAGCCTACTTACAGGTTGATGAAGTTACGGAGAAGCAAGACAGACCCCTCTGCTCCGCTTGGAACAGCTGGTGCAGAAAAGGCTGGAAGCACAGAGACCCACACACGCTCATTCCCACACTTTGACAAGGTGCTCAACTGCTGCTGGGTTGCAGCCTTGTCTGTTTCCTCACGACTTACTAGACAATCAGAGGCCACACATCTCGCTTTTTTTTTTTCAGTACAGAAGCCGTGTATGCACAAAACAACACAAATCATGACCTTTTAGAGGTTAGAATCTCTGAGGAATTAAAGTCACCAAAAAAGGACCCATTGTTCCAAAAACAACTGGGAAAAGGAAAACGCATTTGTGGCACCAGACAATGTGCTATTTATATAAGGAATTCAATTTCTTTTTTTCTACACCCTTCCCCCAATGAAATATATCCGAGTGAAATTTAATTTATTTCTTCCTAGGCACTAGGAGTATCCCCTGGAAATGAAAGATCTAATTAAGTGATGGTCTCTGTAACTCAAAAGACAAGTTTTGGAAAGAGTTCAAAGAAAAAATTGAAAAAGATAATGAAAGGTTTGGGTGATGAGATGATGATGAAAGGCTAAGGAAATCCAAATTCTTTGTTCTGAAAAGCCGAGATCTGAGAGGTCCCTGGTTTGGTGGAAGGTTATCGTATCTGGTACACATGCTCCGGGGAGGCTTGGCCAAGATAAAATAAGCACAAAGGGCTCAAGTTAGCTACCAGGAGGGACTTTCTGACAGCCATGTACTTTAAAGTTTTTATTTTTATTCTTGAAAGCTTCAAGAAAGCTGTTACCTATCTGAAACAGGGGTGTGCAATTCTCCAGGCAGGAGGCTGCACGAGGAGTAAAATCTCATTTTCCCTAAGGTCATGAGCCATAGACAAACCTTGCTGGCCCTTCACCCACTGCCAGGCTGGCATCGATTTGGGCTAAGTGTGTTCCTACAACTCTGCCCACAGAACAGACTGAACATGGGCGCGGCAGAACATGTGTCTCCCTCTCCACTCTGCTGAGGAATGACTGTTGCCATACAGCACCCACCTCCATGGTCCACCCATGGGGCCAATGCCAAGGGCAAGTGGGAGTATGCGGAGTGGACCCTAAACCCCAGACTGAGTCTGCGCATCTGCTATCCTCCGGGTGACTCAGGACTTGGCAGAGAGTTTACTCAGACACTGTCTGAGACCTCGAGAAGATAAAGGAGGCATATCCCTTTAAACTAAAATGCACCCATTGGATGATAGCAACAAATTACAGCAATCAGTGATTTAAATGGAACCTTCTTGTTTAGAACTGGTGAAATGTGAATTGTTGAAGTTTTGTCATGTGTGAACCTAAATTTGACTTCTGATCCTAGCCCTAACCTTCCTGATTATGTGTAGGGCTCATTTATAGCAGAATATGAAAAAGAAATAGTGTAAAAACTCTCCTGCCTACTAAGGATGGAGAAGAACAGCACAAAGAAAAGAAACACAATGGCTAATTAAAAAAACCCAGGTGAGCAGTGGTCCTTCCCACAGGGGAGGGAACAGCAGTGCCCGCCAATGGCCTTGCAGTGCTCCGGCGGGATTCTTCCTACTTTCTGCCCTCAGCTTGGAGGATTTTTGAATTCAAGGTTGGTCTGGCCCCAGGGTCACAGAGATATCTCTCATGACCTTGAAGGAGGTTTGCAAGGAAAAGTCGCTTTCCTGTTAGTCTGCCTGAGACAAAGCAGCTTTCCTTCTTTCTGCTTTCCCTCCCTCCTCTTCCTCCTTCCCTCTCTCTCTTTCTTCCTTCCTTCTTTCCCTCCCTCCTCTCCCTTCTTTCTTTTCCTTCTACTCTCTTTTTTCTTCTTCTCCTAAGGAACGCTTATCAGGAAACCAAATGAAAACCAAAAACAAAACCCCTGAATTATCACGGGATGTACAAAGAGGAGGAAGGTATGGTCCCTACCCTTAGAGAGCTCACAGCCTCAGAGAGTCAGATACAAAAGCAGCTTCTTACAATGCAATATGCCAAGGGCCATGACGGAGACGTGCAGGGTGTCAAGAGAGCTCACGGTGGGCCCACCTCCGTAGTGGGGAGTTCCCAAGCCTGAGGCTCTCAAATTGTACACCAAGCTACTCTAGGTCAGAACGCCACAGCAGACTCAAAGAGGTGCCACTGGATATTTTAAATGTTATAAGAGAAACACAGCAATACTCATCATCTGTTGAACACCACATAAGCTTCTAGCTTGAGGTAGTTAGAGTTCACAATATCAGACTGGGCTGCATTCTTGAGGTCCTATCTTGGTGAAGCTGCAGTTTTAGCAACTGTTGTAATAAAAACCAAGTATCCAGCGAAAATCAATGTGGAACAGGCAATGAGAGTGGCAGTGCCCCAACTGATCCTAAGGCTGGGGCAGTTGTGCAGTGCCCCACAGACACACACATCCCATTAGTAAGTAGCTGTGGTTATTTAAGAATAAAAAGGTGATTATTATTTTAGTGTGTGTGTGTGTGTGTGTGTGTGTGTGTGTGTGTGTGTGTTTTAACACAGCTCTTAAGTTGCCAGGACATAAATACTTATTAAGGTGTTTAGATCTAACTACTAAATAAACAGAACTGTTGGTATTTTTGTTGGCCCACAGGCTCTATGTAAAAATTATTGGACACTAAGGGGTTGTGGGCTGAGAAAGTTTAGGACTCTTTCCTAAAAGAAATGATGCTTGATCTGGACCTTAAAAGCTAAGTAAGAGGCTGGACACGGTGGCTCACGCCTGTAATCCCAGCACTTTGGGAGGCCAAGGCGGGTGGATCACCTGAGGAGAGGAGTTCGAGACCAGCCTGACCAACATGGTGAAACCCCGTGTCTACTAAAAATACAAAAATTAGCCGGGCGTGGTGGCGTGGTGGTGGGTGCCTGTAATCCCAGCTACTTGGGAGGCTGAGGCAGGAGAATCACTTGAACCTGGGAGGCGGAGGATGCAGTGAGCCGAGGTCGTGCCATTGCACTCCACCCTGGGTGACAAGAGCAAAACTCCATCTCAGAAAAAAAAAAAAAAAGCAAAGTAAGAGCTGACTAGAGAAAGAAAGGAAAGCAGAAGGACATCTGAAGTAGAGAGAATGGCACCAGCAAACAGATGAAAGCAAGAGACAGCACTGCATGTGCAGGAAAATCCAAGCTTGGTAATGCTAGGGCCAAAACTGTAAAGCTGGATGAGGGTAAAGATAAAGGCCTTTGCAGATACCTGAAAACGTAAGTGGGAGATCACTCGCAAAGGCCTTATGCGTCACTTTAGAGCTTGGACCTGATCTCAAATTAAGCTAGAGAGGCATGTTCAGATTTGCTTGCATTGAAGGATACATTTCAGAGAGATAAGCTGGATGCTGGGAGGCTAGAAGGCCTTGACAATAGGTGGGAAGAACACATTGAGAGGTTGAACTGAGGCAGTGACAATGAGGATATTGGCAATGATGTTTCGATGGTTGACTGAATAAAGCTGAGACTGATCTGGCACTGCAGCTTGAATATTTAGTGGGTGGTGGAGACACTCTCTGAATGAAAATGCAGGAGTAGAAACAAGTTGGGGCTGGGGGTGACAGTGACAGTGAGCTTAGTATTGTTCCAGGCGAATAGTGGGACCAGGTATCATTAAAGAGACACAACCAGTCTTGTTAGCTGCCGTTTTCTTTGTTGGCTTGACTGCACTTTCTTGTCTCTTTGCGTTTGTAATCCAGACACTTCTTTTGGGCCATCTATTGAGCTCCTATTTCCTGTCTAAGGAATACCTTCTGCTCCCAAATCACTCAATGCTATGGTCAAAAAAAAAAAAAACACTTAAGACATCCCCGACTCAGAGGGATAGGTTATCCCAGACCAGCAGGTTCTCTAGGGGTGCTCAGCATATGCCTTCAGAAGAGAGTTCCCCTATTTTAGTGCCATTTGATAAAACTCAAATATCTGACACCTGCAGTAAAAAGCAAGAGACAAGATGTAGGATAACGGAATGAAAAACATATTCCCTCAAAATAGTAAGACTTTGATTCAATTAAGTAGAAAACTAATTGGTTGAGCTTTCCAGTTACTTGGAGCTGTATTGTCCTTGACTTTGCATTGCTGGTGGACTCACATGCGTGGCGGTAGGCACTGTACCTGCTCCATGCATTGGTTCTCTGTGACCAAGGACTTGTTCACTTAGGAAATGGGAAGGCACAGGGTCAAGCATGTAATCCTTCAAGTGGATGAAATTCCCTATGCAACCAATATTAAATTATATCTTTCCTTCATGTAGCTAAGATGATCTTACATTTGGAAACATTTAATACGAACTACAATATTTTAAAAAATGTTCTCAACCTCCTGGATACCACTTGTTAAATTTTCCACACCTAACAGTTTGAATTCAATTAAAAGATGACCTAATTAATCAGATGCCTCATTCTTCTCCCTCAAAATCAGTTTAAAAGTCGGCAATGAACTGGGGGATGGGTAAACTGAGGTAGAACCCAACTCCTCTTTTCCCTGGTTGAAGAGTCCAGCCACACAGTGGTCATTGTTGCCACAACGGAAGATGGAGGTATTCTTTTGGGGTATATTTGGAAAACAACACTTTTTCATAAAGTAGTTTTAGGTAGAAATACCACAGCCTTTTGTTGTGCTCTGTGAACTGCTGAATCAGTCATGAACATCCTCACAGGATGCTCTGAGGCTGCTCAACAGAGTGCCTGGGGCTGGCGGCCATCTTGAGAACAGAGGGCACACAGGTGACTCTCCATCTATTTGTTTCTCTAGTAGAAGAAAAATGAGGATAAGGGAGTCTATCATAATTGAGGGTCTTTATGTACCAGGCACTTCAGACTTTAAACCTTTATGGCATGGCATTGCTTGACCCCACCAAGTCTCATGTTGAAATTTGATCCCCAATGTTGGAGGTGGGGCCTGGTGGGAGGCGTTTGGATCATGGAAGTGGATTGCTCATGAATGGCTTGGAGCCAGTCTTCTGGGAGTAAGTTCTCACTCTTTGTTTTCACGGGAGCTGGTTGTTGAAAAGAGCCTGGCAGCTTCTCCCCTCTCTCTCTCCCTTCTTCTCTCCATATGTCTCCTTCCTTTGCCTTCTGTCATGAGTGGAAGCTTCCTGAGGTTCTTGACAGAAGCAGATGCTGGAGTCATGCCTCCCATATAGTCTGCAGAACTGAGAGCCAAATAATCCTCTTTTCTTTATAGATTACCCAGCCTCAGGTATTCCTTTATAGTAATAAAAATGGACTAAGCTACCTCATGACAAACTTATGAAGCTGGTATTGTTAGAAACCTCCATGCACCTGGTGGCTCTGCCCTGAACGGCCAGCAGTCAAGTCATCTCTGGTTGTCCCGTAACAGGGGTTGGTTTTAGACGTTGTGATTAAAAGTCCATAAATCAGTGTACTGAGTAGTTGTCAATCTTGAGAGGGTCAGATGTTTAATTTTGTTTTGTAAATATATGAGTAAATAGGCTGGGCACGGTGGCTCACACCTGTAATCCCAGCACTTTGGGAGGCCAAGGTAGGTGGATCACTGAGATCAGGAGTTTGAGACCAGCCTGGTCAACATGGTGAAACCCTGTCTCTACCAAAAATACAAAAATTAGCTGGGCCTGGTGGTGGCTGCCTATAATCCCAGCTACTTGGGAGGCTGAGGCATGAGAATCACTTGAACCAGGGAGGCAGAAGTTGCAGCAAGCCGAGATTGTGCCACTGCACTCCAGCGTGGGCGATAGAGTGAGGCTCAGTCTCAAATATATATATATACACACACACACACACACACACACACACACACACACACATACATATATATCTCTATCTTTTTCTTTTTTAATATACTCATATATATATATGAGTAAATACATGATTCAGTACCCAAAACTCCTGACTGCAATATGGTATTTGAAACCTCATGCCATCCAGACAGCCCTCACGGACACAGCATTTCTGCTTCTCCACAGAGCGCCCTCTTGACAGGAGAGTCATTGGCCGTGGTGGTGGGAAGGACACTGTCTGTATCTAGTCACCAAATGGAGCCAATCAGGTCTGAGATATCTACTTCTCTGTTCCCTGTACTTTCTCAGTTAAGCAATGTGGCAACAGGACTGAAGGCAGCTTGAGATTTGTGGAGGGAAAAATCTCTCCCAAGAAGGATGCATGAAAATCGTCCCAGATAGCAAACTACTCAGGAGGGCTCCCAGGCTAGCAGTCATTTTTATCCTATTACAGATGAGGAAACTGAGGTTTCAGGCCACACGACAGTCATGCAAGTCAACCGCTACAAGTCAAGAGTCATTTATTCAGCACCTGAGGTCCATGTTTAAGGTCCAAATAAACGCAGAGACATCATTAAGACATTGGCCTTGCTCTTGAGGAGTGCACTATGTGAAGGTCCCCAGGTTTGTAACTCAGCTGCTTCTGACTCCAGAGCAACATTCTTGCCCACCCTGCCTGTCTCTACAGTACCTGTCCCATCTGGCTGCTTCTCTTCCTCTGTGAATGCTGCCCAATGAGACCTGACTGCACAGTCAGAGCTTTGAAAATCTCCTTCTTAGTCCTCTGTGCTGTGTGGCTTGGGAAAAGCGAGCTTGCCTCTCTGTGGTAAAGTTTTGTCCCTTAGTTAACCGATAGCATTCCCTTGAAATACAAAAAGAGCATAAGGGGCCGGGCGTGGTGGCTCACGCCTGTAATCCCAGCACTTTGGGAGGCCGAGGCGGGTGGATCACGAGGTCAAGAGATCGAGACCATCCTGGCCAACATGGTGAAACCTCGTCTCTACTAAAAAAATACAAAAATTGGCCACGCATGGTGGCACATGCCTGTAGTCCCAGCTACTTGGGAGGCTGAGGGAGGGGACTTGCTTGAACCAGAGAGACAGAGGTTGCAGTGAGCCGAAATCGTGCCATTGCACTCCAGTCTGGGTGACAGAGAGAGAGACTCCATCTCAAAAACAAAACAAAACAAAAAGAAACCTTTACTATCAGAGATTACTTTTTTTTTTTTTTTGAGACGGAGTCTTGCTCTGTCACCAGGCTGGATGCATTCTCACTCACTGTGACCTCCGCTTCCCGGGTTCAAGCAATTCTCCTGCCTCAGCCTCCCGAGTAGCTGGGATTACAGGCATGAGCCACTATGCCCAGCTAATTTTTGTATTTTTAGTAGAGACGCGGTTTCACCATGTTGGTCAGGCTGGTCTCGATCTCGTGACCTCGTGATCCGCCCACCTCGGCTTCCCAAAGTGCTGGGATTACAGGCGTGAGCCACTGCGCCCGGCCTAGAGATTACTATTAATAGAAGTCTGGGCTCTTCTACACCCACAGCTGAGTCTCCCCCAGACTCCTGTCAGCAGGACTACTCGGGGGAAGGGGCTGGAGACATGGGTGGGTGGTGGGAGAGTAGAAGCACAACTGAGTCCAGAGGTAGGCAAAATATGCCCATGCAAATGCATGCCAGAGCCAAGCAAAGATGTTTGTTACTATATCCTATTTTATTTTATTTACGTATTTATTTATTTTTATGTATTTATTTTTGAGACGGAGTCTTGCTCTGTCACCCAGGCTGGAGTTCAGTGGCACGATCTTGGCTCACTGCCAGCCCCGCCTCCCGGGTTGACACCATTCTCCTGCCTCAGCCTCCTGAGTAGCTGGGACTACAGGCACCTGCCACCACGTCCGGCTAATTTTATTTTTTATTTTTTGGTATTTATTTATTATTATTATTTTTTGAGACGGAGTCTCGCTGGCTCCGTCGCCCAGGCTGGAGTGCAGTGGCGCGATCTCGGCTCACTGCAAGCTCCGCCTCCCGGGTTCACGCCATTCTCCTGCCTCAGCCTCTGGAGTAGCTGGGACTACAGGCGCCCGCTACCTCGCCTGGCTAATTTTTTGTGTAGTTAGTAGAGACGGGGTTTCACCTGTTAGCCAGGATGGTCTCGATCTCCTGACCTCGTGATCCGCCCACCTCAGCCTCCCAAAGTGCTGGGATTACAGGCATGAGCCACCGCGCCCGGCCACTATATCCTATTTTATATCACTTGTGCTGCTTCTCCTAATTGGCAACTATGTCTATATTCCTGGCAGAATAAGATAGGCAGTTCATGATAGCTCTTGACTCATGGAGGCCTCCATTTCACTTGGAGATGCTTCTCCCTCAACTCATTCCACTGAGAAGGACCCTGGGTATCCACAGCTGCTATCCTGCCCCTCTCCTTTCGCTTCTTCCCTTAGGACAGGCAGCTTTCACAGCCTAGTGAAAGGCCATCACTTTTCTGCAGTGCACCAGCCACGCTGGGTGATTAATACAGGAGACTGCATACCTCAGGTAAGGCCTAACCTGTTACAATTTTAAGCTGAGCAGGAAATGATGTGCAGAGTGGCCACAGGCAATGGCATAGGAGTGAGACTATGTTACATGAAGCTGTGTAAAGGGAGGGTGAAGACACTAAAGCCACAATCATAGCCCAGGAGCAGCCTGGGCACCAGGTCCAGGACTTAAAACATACGTGAGCTCCCAGGCATGAGGCTTCCAAAAGACTTATATGGAGATAAGGGCTAGGCACAAAGCATCCAGTAACCCAATGGGCTGAGAGCCAGAGATCCATCAGGCGGTGGTTGCCAGAGTGGTTAATTAATTATCAACCACTTCTAGTCTGCTAAACTTCTTCCTCCACTGAGGTGGAACTCAACCTCATGAAAAAGTTGCCACTCCTCTTCTAATGTACCTGCTGTGTCCTGTCATGGAGGGGTGTGAGCAAGCAGCCAGGCCAACTCTTTGTTCCCCTTCACCCTCTAAGTCACTTGGATGAGCTGGAATCCTTGAGTCTCAGGTCAAAGCAAGAGTCCCACTCTCCAGTGTCAAAGCACTGAGCCCAGGGCTCAGTGGGAAGCGTCGCAAGTGCCCGTCCTTCCCTGGAAACCCAGTGAGAAGTGGCCAATAAGCCTCTCCTTAGGCACAATCATGGAGCTCTACTCCAGACCCTTGGTGCCTTCCAGGCTGGAATGGGGCTTCTTGGCATTAGAGGAACTTGAGGATATTGAAAATTTCACTGCCTCTCTGTCTTAGGGCCTGTGCCCCTGACATTTACCTTGGCTAAATCAGCAGAGGCTTTCCTTCTTATCTTCCAAAGACAAAAATGAATAAAACCGAACCTAGTCTCTGTGGGTGCAAGTCTAGACATGAAAAAAAAAAAGGGCTTTTATGACTATAAAACAAAAAATCCTGTTAATCTAAAAAGGATAGCTTCCCCCTACATTTTTTTTTTTCTATGCAGCAGAACTGACTTGCTTCTAGGCTTTTGCTAAATACCCATTCCTCTTGGATTCTACCTTTTTTCTTTGGCAAAGGTTCAGTTCCACCCCACACTAAAATCAGCATGCTTCCTTTTTCTCTTCTGTTGGCTTAGGCTGGTTCCAGGAATGGAGTCTACTCCGTGTGCAGAGCAGTTGGGTGTGAGGATGGGCAGAATTAGAGCCAGCCTGATTCCAGGCACTCCAGTGACCAAGGATGGAAGATGCTGGTAGAGTAACCAAACTAATTCCCTGAATTCACGTACTACAGCACCTCTCATCTACCACTGTCTGTTAGTTGAGACTTCAGTTTCTGATACGGTCACTCTTTCAGCTACCAGTGGCCAATAAGATCCACGCAATTCAGTCCCACCTTTCATCAACAGAGGTCAAGTAAGTGTTGGGAAGCCTTGGGGGAATAGCTAAGAGCTGCGCAAGCCAAGGAGGGGAAGCAGTGGTATTTCAGCCAAGCCTTCCAGGCTAAAGCAAAATCAGGGACTGGCCACATACAGCTGCTCTAGCAGGTTCTTGCAGGAGCTGGAACATGGGTATGTGTCTTTTTCCCAAAGGAAGTCATTTCTTACTTGGTGCTCTCGTTTTTTTCGTTTTCAGAAAGGAAGTGATTACAAGCCCACAGGGAGATCGAGAAAGATGTGACATCGATAAAGTGTTTTGAGGTCCTCAGAAACAACCGTAAGTGATAGTGATTCCTTGGCTGCAAAGGATCTTAGGACCATCCTGCCTATTTCTCCTTATGGCTAGATAAGACTGTACTTTAGACCATCCATGACTTTTGAAGGATTTTTCCTCTTCTCATGGATATTAAGAATAGGAGATCCAGCAATGTCTCTTGGTTGCCTAATGGCCCTTGCACTCAGAAAGTTTTTCCACGAGTCCAAACTCCTTCCAACGACACTCAAACTTACGCCACCCTTTTCTGTACCCGATAGAGTTGGTCACTCTTTCCTACATAATAAGATTATTTATTCTATCACTTTCATACAAGGAAGTCCAGCTACTTTTTATCACCAAGGCCAGTAAAATAGGCTTGCAAAGAGCCTGGGCAGTTCAGCTGAACAATCTCATCTCCGAAGTCTTGCCCCCTCTCCCCTAGCCTTCTCCCCATGAGGCTGAGGGAGGGCAGTAGAGAAGCCTGTCAGTAAATATCAACCATAATGGCTCTACACATTTCCTTTAGAGGAAATGAAACTAATGGAGAAAGATATATTGATCACAAAGACTCAATTTCAGAATCAGTCTCCTGGTGGTGAACCCTTTCAGTTAGGTGGGGTTAATGGCCTCTGCTTTCAGCTGTTGTCCAGTGTGAGAGCTGCACATCCCACAATCAATGGGATAGCAAGCCTGCTGGGGACATTACCACCAAGGCCAGCCAATGGGGAGAAAAAGGCTCTGGGTTTTTTTATAAAGCTAATCAGAGAAAGGGAAAAAAAATTTCCTGAGCTATTTGGGGGCTTAAGTAAGTCTTCAGCTGAAGGCCTCCAACCTGTGGGGGAGGCCTTTCTCTCCTATCAACAAGACTCTGCTTTCCAACCCATAAAGAGGCTGTTAGGCAGCCCTCCTTAGGGGGTGGTTAGCAGGGAAAATGCTGTTTAGGTTTCCCGATGTTTTTATGTGGCAGGGCCCAGCAGCCCATATAGGAGGCCTTGTTTTGTTCTCGCTAAAAAGGGGCTGGAACTCTGGCCTCTGCTGTAGGGAGGCAGCAGTTTGTAATTGGGAAACCAGCCATTAGACCATGGGTGGTGACATAATAAGACACATTTCTCTTTGCCTCTGTTATGTGTCCCTCTAGCATCTAGACAATGCCTTTCTGCTCCCCAAGATCAATGAGTTTTTGCACAGGGGCACAGGAGGGACCACATTCTTGGGAACAAAACTCTCATTAGCGATGGGACTGTGGACAAGTGAATTATCCTAAAACTCACTTTCCCAATCTCTTAAATGGCGGTAATAACGGCCTTACAGGGTAGAATAATGATTAATATCACATAATGTATTTGAAGAGCTCAGCACAATGTTTGGCATATATTAGGTACTTAACACAAATAACCTTTGCACATATGCCTGTGCATTATTATCTAATCAATCTTTGCAATTTTCCTGGAATAATGTCTGTAAATTCCATGCTAATAGAAATATTTTGAGACTGGGGACCAGAAGACCCAGATTCTTTCTCTGCTAAAATAATCTACAACCATCTGGTAAGGTCTTAAGGAATGTATGGGATTCAGGGAGAGAGAAAACCTCCTCAGGTAAGGCGATAACATAAGGAAAGGTGCAGAGGTAGAAACCATCCGGGAACGGGTGACGGTGGCAGGAGTCTACTGAAGAGCGCACATGACGCAGATTGTTGGGAGCCAGGCAGGGGAGTTTAGATTTGATCAGGAAGAAAGTGGGGAGTCAATGAGAACTCTCAGCAGGCGTGGAGAAGAAGAAAGCAACATTTCCCACTGTTGTCTTCTAGGCTGTCAATGGAGGGTGTGCATTTTTGCTGAGCGGAAGTATCCTAACAGAAGAGTGATAGCCCTGAGCTGGTGTCCACAGTCAGGCTCTGGGGAGAGGCTGGCCAGGGCTGCCTTCTTCCTCGCAGATCCTCGGATCAAGTCACTAGCGCTATCCCTGAAGCCTTTACTCCCCAGTTGGCAGAGTAGTAACATCACTGCCCACCTGAATATCTCTGGAGGGAGTAAGTTTCAAAAGCTCTCTCATTTGTATGCAGTGAACTATTATTATTTCCTGAGAAACAGAGGATCAGAAGCCTGTCTTACCCAAGGACAACAGCAAGCCAGGGGCACGGTGATTCCAGAATGAGGTCACAGATGTTATTAGGTCGGTGCAAAAGTAACTGTGGTTTTTGCCATTGACGGTAATGGCGAAAACCGGCCAGGCGCGGTGGCTCACGCCTGTAATCCCAACACTTTGGGAGGTGGAGGTGGGCGGATCACTTGAGGTCAGGAGTTCGAGACCAGCCTGGCCAACATGGTGAAACTCCATCTCTAATAAAAATACAAAAATTAGCTGGGCGTGGTGGTGCATGCCTGTAGTCCCAGCTACTCGGGAGGCTGAGGCAGGAGAATCGCTTTAACCCGGGAGGCAGAGGTTGCAGTGAGCAGAGATCATGCCACTGTACTCCAGCCTGGCAACAGAGTGAGACCCTGTCTCAAAAAAAAAAAAAAAAAAAAAAAAAAAAAAAGGATCTGGGAGAAACAGATGAAAATGAAGAGTGATTTCAGGTTGCAGATGACAACAGAGACTAGCTGTTTTTTCTCTTATTTCCACCCCCTTTTCTCTCTAACCCACTAGAATCAGCTAAAAATACTTAAACTTGGGTAATTTTTAGTCCTTCTGAAACGGTTTCAGCCCAAAGCTACATAGGAGACTCTGGCTAACGGCTTTGGTGGGTCAGAGAAAACGTATGCAGACCAGACAGAGCCACTGTCACTCTTCTGTAACTCTTCTTGGTAAGTAATTTGTTAGCAACACTTATTTATGTTTTATTTTTTGGAGTTGGTGTCTCACTCTCACCCAGGCTGAAGTGCATCAGTATAATCACAGCTCACTGCAGCCTCGACCTCCTGGCCTCAAGTGATCCTCCTGTGTCAGCCTCCTGTGTAGCTAGGACTACAGGTGTGTGCCACCATGGCAGGCTATTTTTTTATTTTTATTTTTGGTTGTTGGTAGAGATGGGGGTAAAGAATATGTGAGTAAACACAAAGAAGTCACGGACTTGGATAACTAAGCTGAGGCCTTTCTACCAGGAGGATGGGTTAGTATCATGAGACTCTTGAGAAGACCTTCCAAGGAGAGTGGGGAGATGCCACTTAAGAGAAACCCTCCTCTGCCACCTCGGCCCTGCCAACTGACACTCTCGTGAAGATTTGAAACTCCTCCAAACCAGACTATAGGTCAGATTCTACCAAAGGAAATACCGTCATGGCAAAAACTCCTGCGCAGTCAAACCCATCCTGCTGGTCATTATTTCCAGAGTTATCAGTTATCCAGGGAGACCGAAATCCAGGGTAGAGAAACAACTGGATGGTCTTGGGGTTCATGGTATAAAGAGATGACCAGTATAGTTAGGTATGGAATATGGTATGACAAAAAGAGATTTCCAGTTTACACTGCTGCCATCCAGGATTCAACGTAAGGCATCCCATCCTACTTTTTAAACTCTTCATCTCCAAAAACATGTTTAGACTCCTTAGCATGGCATGCTGAGTCCTCCATGGCCTCACATCTGTCTCCTTCTTCAGTTTCACCCTCAAACATTCTGCTCCCTGGTTCTTCTCTCACACTTAAAACCTTTCTCTGGGGCTGGGTGCAGTGGCTCACACCTGTAATCCCAGCATTTTGGGAGGCCAAGGTGGGTGGATCACAAGGTCAGGAGTTCAAGACCAGCCTAGCCAACCTGGTGAAACCCCGTCTCTACTAAAAATACAAAAAAATTAGCCAGGTGCGGTGGTGCATGCCTGTAATCCCAGCTACTTGGGAGGCCGAGGCAGGAGAATTGCTTGAACCCGGGAGGCGGAGGTTGCAGTGAGCCAAGGTTGAGCCACTGCACTCTAGCCTGGGTGACAGAGCAAGACTCCATCTCAAAGAACAATAACAAAAAAAAAAAAAACTTTCTCTGTTGGTTCCTTTTCCTGCAAGGCTAACTCCACCCTCAGTTACCTGGCTAGCTCCTGCCTATCCTTTAACACTCACTTGCATTTCATTTCCTCCAGGAAGTGGTCCCTACCTGTCTGGGCACCCTTACCAGCCAGGCGGTTGTATCATAGCACCTTCCAAATTATATTTAAAAGATCTGTCTTTGCAATAGACCATGAGCTACTTGAAGCAGAGACCATTTCTTGT
Organism: Homo sapiens; assembly: GCF_000001405.40. Lineage (NCBI taxonomy): Eukaryota > Metazoa > Chordata > Mammalia > Primates > Hominidae > Homo > Homo sapiens. The sequence continues at coordinate 122,760,118 of NC_000011.10, read as the reverse complement.
TTTCTTTGCATCTCTAGTAGCTGGCACATAGTAGGTGTTAAAATTTTAAAAATATGAACTTCCTGAAGATGTTAAAGGTATATGTATATCAGTGTGGCAGACAGACCCTTGGTGACACCTTAGTAATCCTAACTTCTGGTGTTCACTCCTTTGTATAATTCCCTCCCCTCAAGTGTAGGTGAGACCTATGACTTACCTCTATATGGCAAAGGTGATGGAATCACTTGTGCTATTCCATTATGACACACATAAGACACATCTAAGTCAGGTGTCTCCAACCCCTGAGCCACAGATGGGTACTGGTACGTGGCCTGTTAGGAGCCAGGCTGCACAGCAGGCAGGCAGGCGAGTGAGCATTACTGCCTGAGCTCTGCCTCCTATCAGATCAGTGGCAGCATTAGATTCTCACAGGAGCACAAACCCTACTGTGAACTGCACGTGCAAGGGATCTAGGTTGCAGGCTCCTCAGGAGAATCTAATGCCTGATAGTCTGTCATTGTCTCCCATCACCCACAGATGGTCCCAACTAAGTCAGGGGTCTCCAACTAGACGGTCCCACCTAGTTTCAGGAAAACAAGCTCAGGGCTCCCACTCATTCTACATTATGGTGAGTTGGTTGTATCACTATTTCATTATATATTACAATGTAATAATAATAGGAATAAAGTGCACAATAAATGTAATGCACTTGAATCATCCCCAAACCATCACACCACCACCCGGGTCAGTGGAAAAACTGTCTTCCACAAAACCGGTTCCTGGTGCCAAAAAGATTGGGGACCACTGCTCTAAATGACTCGCTTTCCTGCTGGCCAAGGAGAAGCAGCATGTTGTGGACTGCCTATGAAAAGACAGCCACGTGGCAAGGAACTGCAGGCAGCCTCGTTAGGACCTGAGAGTGGCTTGTAGCCAACATCCAACAAAAAGCTGGGGCCCTCAGTCATATAACCAAAAGGAAATGACTTCTGCCAACAATGTGGGTGAGCTTATAAGTGGATCTTAGTCAAGCTTTCTGGTGAGAACACGGCCTGGCCAACACCTTGACTGCAATCTTGTAAGACTGAGCAGAGAACCCAGTCAAGCCATGCCTGGGCTCCTGACCTACAGAAACTGGGAAAATGTGTGTTTTAAGCCACTAAAGTTAGAGTGCTGAGTCATAAAAAGTGAAAACACCTAGCTTTTCAGGAAGAGTGAAATAGGAAAGGAAGAGTGAGCATTGGCTGAAATGACCTGGTATGACCAAGCTCAGCACTAAAGGGTAACCTAGGCATTTAATGCAAGAGATGGAAGATCCCAATCCCATAACCAGTGGAAATTGCTGATCTGAATTCATTGCATTTCGCTCCTGCCATCAGTTAAAACTTGATTTAAGTCCTTCTAGGCTGAGAGTTAAAGCTTGGCAACTTAAGGGAGGGAGTAGAGTGGCGTGGAGTGGCAGGTGCATCTACTTATAATCGCACAGACCTAACCCATCTAATCTCAGTCCCCACATATGTAAACGAAAGGAGATTCACACCAGCTGTTAGGGTTATGTGACATGCTTAGCTCTGAGTTTGGCACAGGGTCGGTGTTCTACGGCCACTGGGTGCCCCCTCCGCCCCCACCACTGACTGCCCTTTCCAGCTGTCCCGACTCTAAGCAGGCTAGGCCTGTCTGGGAAGCTCCTGGAGGGAATCTTTTGGTAAAACAGTTCCTGGCAGATGCTCTGGAGGCTTACTCTGCAGCTGAAATCTCAGGAAATTCTACTCTGCCCGTTCCACCACTGCTAAGCTGCTAAGAAAGGTTACGCTCAATTTCCTGAAATTATTTACTGCATCCCCCTTTATGGGAGTACTTTACATATTATAAATGGGACTTGACCAAACACGCCAGGAAGTGAGAGGGGTCCAAAACTCTCTAGCCAGCCGTGTGTCTGCTGGCCCAACTACGATACCCCCCAGACCGGCCCCACCCCCGGCCACATCTTCGCCTTCCTTCTGGGCCTCAGTTCCCAGCGCTCAGGGAATCTGGCAATTTGGCACTTGGTAAAGACACCTAAGCCCTTGCCAGACGAAGGGCCCCCAGGAAGCTTCGACTCAAAAGGAGTGGTTGAGTGTTTAAAGAAGGTCTTGTCGGCCTGGTGCGGTGGCTCACGCCTGTAATCCCAGCACTTTGGGAGGCCGAGGCGGGTGGATCATGAGGTCAAGAGATAGAGACCATCAACATGGTGGAACCCCATCTCTACTAAAAATACAAAAATTAGCTGGGTGTGGTGGCAGGCGCCTGTAATCCCAGCTACTCAGGAGGTTGAGGCAGGAGAATGGCTTGAACCTGGGAGGCGAAGGTTGCAGTGAGCCGAGATTGCACCACTGCACTTCAGCCTGGCGACAGAGTGAGACTCTGTCTCAAAAAAAAAAAAAAAAAAAAAAAGGGAAAAGAAGGTCTTGTCTTCCCATTGGGCTTCTGAGCACTCAGAACTCTTACCCCTCCTGAGCCCTCCTCCCTCAATGCCTTAGGAGGGAGGAAAACAGGGACTGAAAGGTGATTATTAATTGTATACTATGGATTGAGAATATACAGCCCATTTGTTTAACACAACACAGCATGAAATATCTAGATGTATCAGGTATATGCTGTCTTCATTCATTTGTGCTTCTACGACAAAGTGCCATAGACTGGGGTGGCTCATGGACAATAGAAATGTATTTCTCACTGTTCTGGAGGCTATCGGACCAAGCTCAGGGTGCCAGCATGACTGAGCTCTGGGGAGGGGCCCCTTCCAGGATGCAGACTGCCAACTTCTTATAGCCTCACACAGTGAAAAGAAGGGGAGAGAGCTCTCTGGGGTTTCTTTCACAAGGGGACTATCCCGTTCATGAGGACTCAACCTCCTGATATCATCACCTTGGAGGTAAGGATTTCAGCATATGAATTTGGGGGGAACACAAATGTTGAGTCCATAATATCTACAGTAACATGCCCAGTACTGCATCGGGACATCCCTTGGTGTGACAGTAAGTGCATGTGCGTGTAGGCAAAGATACTTAGGTTCTGATTTTAGATCGAATAATAGTATATATATTAAGATACGATATTTAGGATACGATGCTCACAGAATTTCAGGCCTTGGAGACTAAGATCACTTACTTCAATCCTCTCACGTTACAGATGAGGAACTAAGACCCGCGGAGGCAAGTGATTTGATGGGGACAGGAAGCCAGGTCTCCTAACTCCCCAAATTGTGCTCTTGGCACATTACCATGCTGAGTCTCTGTCTTTTTTGCTTAGACTGTGCTTCTTAATTTCCACTGGATCGAGTGCAACCTCTTTGGTCCAGTGTTAATTTGCTGAGAGGCTTGAGGACCCCCTTCATAGGGAGCAGCCTAAGAGATGACCACTCAGCTTGCCTTTGGCTCTGCAGTATGGTCATGGCAGGGGAGATGGGTTGTTCCTGTTCACAGCTTAGCCCTCCTTGCCTGAGGTCTAACTTCCTCCTTTGACTTCCTCCACAGTGGCTGCCCCTAGGGCCTACCACAGCCCTCCACACTGGGGCACCACAGCCTTTGATAGAAGCTAGAACCATCAGTAATGTGAAAGAGGCAGAAATGGCCCCTTCCCTGACATTTAGGAACCAGACACTGGAAATAAATGGGGTGTAGAGGGGATGAGGCAGGAAAAAAAGGCAGTGTAAGAAGGACTGTGTATCTTGCACTGTACTAGGCACATTTGCTCATGTAGCAATATTTTATTTAATCCTCAGGGCAGGCCTTGAAGGCAAATTTTAAAGACCAGGAAGCTGAGGCTTAAAGAAAGAGGCAGTATTAAGCTTCAGCTTACAAATGTGCAAGGGTAAGAATCCAGTTACTGGCTCTAATTATCGAGATGTAGTCAGTTTCACATTTCTGGACTACAAAGAGGACTCAATTCAGCTCTAGGTAACTCTCCATGGTTGTCAAGGCCAAAAGCTCTTGAGAATTTTCCTCATAGTTCATTCTTATTGCCACACTCAAATGCTGCCCCTGAATACAGTCAGCCTTGATTCCTGTTAGGCCAACACGTGTTAATGCTTATGCCTAAATCGGGATGGATTCCTTCCGTCCTAATTAATTGACCCTCTTCCATAACCAGCTCATGAACTGCCCAGGAACTCCTGTGTTCAGTGCCTTCCGTGGTAATGGGGAGAGGAACACTGCAATGTTTAGGTACAAAAGACTCCTGTAATTAGCTCTAAGCCCCAGGAAACAGACAATCAAATTAATCAGTGAGTATGGGAAAAAAGCAGATTATAATTAATTACCTATGTTTATGCCAGGGTTATCTTTAGCCATAAGTTTTCTTTTTTATCTTAATAGATACCCAATCTTAAAATTATCGGACCTCGGGCCTGAGTCGACAAAGCCTGAGTTGACAAAGCCTAATTTGACTTCTGTCCCCAGTTCAGAGGAGGATCCGAAATGAGTCAATTCTCCCTGCCTTGCTTCCTCCTTACTGATATGGCCTCCCTCACAGAGTGGGAGGGAGAGATAAGCAGCTCAGGGCTGAGAGCCGCTTTGGTACAACCCAGGAGCAGAGAGCATGCCTTTTCCCTGCAGAGCCATTTTCATTCATGGTGGAGGCTTTTTTGAACCTGGCCAGGCAAAGCTCCTCGGTGTCAGACCAGCACTCCATGTGGCCACACCCTCCTGTCCCGGTTGTTCCCTCTGCTTGCCAAAGCGATAACCTGATCCTCGCTTTCCATAAGATAGAAGAAAATGTTCAAGTCTTTTCCACAGAAGGCTATAAGCCAAAAGGCCAACTGCTATGTGGGTTACCGGAGCCTTCTGCATGGGCGAGGTGGGAAACCGAGACTCTGAGAGATGGGAGTGGAGCTGCACGTCCTTGTGCTCATGTATTAAACTGAACTCCTGGTGACGTGCAATGTGAGAATGACAGTGGGTATTAGCTTTCACTACATATGCTTAAGAGCTCTGGGGCATCATTGAAACCCACACAGAGATTATTCAGCGTTGAACCATGAAAAGAGAGAACCGTGTAGTCTGACTTCTCTCCATTGCATGGTGGAGGGAACCAAGGCTTAGAGAGAACAATGGCTTCTTTAAGGTCCCAGTGACTTGGCGCAGAGCTTACATTTAAGTCCGTGTCAAGTGCCCATTCCACCGCTCCAACGTGAGCCTTCTTTCCACCCCTTTTGACTATCGTGCAGCTCTAGGAGGAGGACCGAGCTGGTGGTAGAGTCAGGGGTCTAGTCCTGCTCTGTCACTAGCGGTATGACCTTGGGCAAGTCCTCCAACCTTCCAGGGGTCATGAAAAATGAAAAGGGGCTTACGTGGATCTCAAGGGCCCCTTCCAGCTCTGATAGCCTATGAGTTTCTGTGTGCTGCGGATTCTCTTCTTTTTCTGTCCACCAGAGGGAGGAAGTTGGGCGGTTTCCTTAACCTTAGATCACCATGAGTGGCTGAGGTGTGGGCTGATGATGAAGAACAGCCTTCAGGGAGTAAGGGGTTCATGGAGAATCCTCAGTGGGAACCAAGGCCAGATGCCAAAGCAGGAATCACACTCACAACACCCAATGCAACATAAAGCAGCCATTTCAAACTCTAGCACCTCCTTCCAGGTGGCAGCCTCAAGCCTAATGCTGTTCATCCCAGCTAGAAGATACCAGACACTCACTATCCAAGCCACTCATGCATGGACTGACCATCCAGATGTCCTCCCAGATGTAATACAGGTTGGGATCCTCCAATTACTGTTCTATGTTCACTAGTAAAGACCCCAAAAGAATGATTCTTCAGGAAAATGAGTTACCAATTTTAGCTCATCAGGAAGACAGTTTCCTTGAGCAGAAGACAGAGAAGCCTGAAACATCCGTCTTCACTTCTGGAGTGGCATTGATAAGCCAGAAAGGCAGGCTCCCTTTTTCCTAGGAAAAGACTCATTTCCCCTGTAATTTGTCTTTGTTAGCAATTGAGGGTAACCTTTGGAGTTCTCCTCACTATTGACTGTAAAACCATTCCATTAGACGTGCAGCGGCCAAAATGCTAACCACTAGCCACATGCTGAATAAAACTGAACATTCAGTTCCACATCACACTGGCCATGTTTCAGGTGCTAGTGGCTACCATGTCAGAGAGTGCAGATATGAAACCTTCCCATCATCACAGAACATTCGGCTGGACATCGCTGCACTAGGAGTTTCACAGGGAAGGCACTTGATTTGTCGAATGCATTTATTGAATTCATGGATAGACAGTTTAGATAGGGCAGGGAATACTGTAGTATTCCCTGGTGAAGGCATGTTAATCCTTCAAAATTATGCAGCAGGTTTCTTTTAAGAAACTCAGGGTTGGCCGGGCACGGTGGCTCACGCCTGTAATCCCAGCACTTTGGGAGGCCGAGGCAGGTGGATCATCTGAGATCAGGAGTTCGAGACCAGCCTGACCAACATGGAGAAATCCCGTCTCTACTAAAAATACAAAATTAGCCGGTGTGGTGGTGCATGCCTGTAATCCCAGCTACTCGGGAGGCTGAGGCAGGAGAATCGCTTGAACCCGGGAGGAGGAGGTTGCAGTGAGCTGAGTTCGCCATTTCACTCCAGCCTGGGCGACAATAGTGAAACTCCATCACCAAAAAAAAAAAAAAAAAGAAAGAAAAAAGATAAAGAAACTCAGGGATTTTTCTTTTCTTTTTTTGAGGTGGAGTCTCACTCCATTGCCCAGGCTGGAGTGCAGTGGCACAATCTCGGCTCACTGCAACCTCTGCCTCCTAGGTTCAAGCCATTCTCCTGCCTCAGCCTGCTGAGTAGCTGGGAGTACAGGCACACGAAACCACACCCATCTAATTTTTGTATTTTTAGTAGAGACGGGGTTTCACCATGTTGACCAGGAGCCAGGCTGGTCTTCAACTCCTGACCTTAGGTGATCCGCCCGCCTCGGCCTCCCAAAATGCTGGGGTTACAGGCGCGAGCCACAGCACCTGGCCAGAAACTCGAGTTTTTTTTTTTTTTCTAGTGTTCATACTTGAAGATGTTTTTTGAGCATTCATATGTATTTTCCTAGGCTGAGCGCTACCAGGAATATGAAAAACAACAACAATAAGAGAAGAGGCAGCTGAATGTATTGGGAGGAACAGAGGATTGGGAAAGAAAAGACCCAGGTTCTAGCACGGGTTCCAAACAGAAGGGCAGGTGAGGTCCATCAGCCCCTTTGAGTCTCAGTCTCTTCAGTCGGTAAAATGAGGGTAATAATAATACTATCCTCAAAGGTTGGTTGTTTGTATGAATCACATGAAAATATAACGGAACACACTCTGGAGACTATCAAGGGTTAGATGTCTGTGTTACTGACCTTGCCCTCAAGTCGCTTTCGAGTCCCACTGTCATAATCCTTGAGAATATTTTAGCTGCCTCTTTCAACGGCTCTCCCTGCCTTGGGATCATACTTCATTCCATCATGCATACCTCCAAGAAAATAATTCTGCCAAAATACCACTAGGATCATGTGCCAATGCTGCAAAGACTAAAATGGATCCCTACTGCCCGTAAGATCAAGACCAAACTCCTTCTTGTATTTGCTGCTGCATCGTGCCCTGTTTGCTTAGGAAGCTGCTACTTCATTTTGCAGGAGCTTCCTGAGGCGAGAAGCCTTATTCCTGTTACAAGTGTGACCCAGGTCCCACCCATGCCTTTCCTTCTTCTAGCTCTGCAAATTGCACCTGGTCCCTTGAGTTCACTGTCTCTAACTCGCGCCCCCTATAACCCTATCATTCTTAATGCCCACCTGGCCTCGCACATTATAACATGTTCTCCCATGTGGACTTTTTTTCTGATTGTTTTGTGTGTCTTATCTCCTCAATAGCACTAGACAACACTCAAAGAGAGTGTGCTTAGGCAGTGCTTGGCATCTTAGGGGTACCAAGGGATGGGGAGGGATGGGGATGGATGGTTGACCCTGAAGGCCTGGGGTTAGATGGGGCCAGATTGATAGGGACAGCGAGGCAAGACAGGAAGAAAATTTGGTTTGAAAAGACAGTTTAGCTTTATACAGGTAGACTATACTATTCCTTCAATGAAAACCCTGTTTTAGTATAAAAATTTCAAATACCTTTTGTTTATTAAGTTAAAATAATTAATTTTCCCTTTTTTTATACTTTAGGTTTATATAATTCCAGCCCAGCCAAAAGGACATAGAGTTTTAGTTACTTGTGGCTCTTCTTTGGAGAGCTGACTACTTTTGGTTGTAGCAATTGGTCTCACCCTAGATCAAACCTCCATGACTCATCTAGAGGTTTCTCTCACTGGAGAAGGCTGATGGAGCTAACATGAGATACAATGATGGATGTGATGTGGAGCACAGTTTCCTAAAATCAGCATTCTAATGAATAGTGGAGCACTATGGTCAGCCAGGATTCTCTAGGAAAATAAGCCAGGCTCCCAGTCCACTGCAGAAGGCCTGGGTGTGTGGCTCCAGACTCCATTCCCTTCATAATAAACACCATCTTCCCAGGGGAGAACAGGTTGCAGCCAGGCAGCATTGCCTGTGTGAGGCCTCAGCCAGCACAACAGTTCTGGCCGAGTATAAACAGAGCACCCAATTAAAACACCTAATTATAGGGTAGGCTGGAGCCAGGAGGTGGGCTCTGTTGGTGGCCCTGAAGCCGGCTGCTGGCCAGGCTGCCAGCATCTCCCTGACAAGCCACATCCAATTTCAGACTGCAATGAGCCTCCAATGGACAGATGACGACAGAGATGGGAGGGCAGAGAAGGAGTGTGACACACCTCACTGCTTCTTAGCTCCTGGGGCGTGGACCGCATTCTCCCAAGGAGCATTCAGGAGGCTTCTGGGAAGACACTCCTCAGTGCAAGAGAATTGGAATTTCACATTTTAGGGACCCGATTATCTCATCCACACAGTGAAATAATATCTAATTTTTCCATTATAATAAGATAAATGCTGCCAGGTGTAACTTAAAAAGCTCTTTGTTGTTGGCCAAAGCACTGCAATAAATTATGCACTTTCCCAAAACATGAGAGGCCGGGAAGCGTAAACAACATGGCCCAAAACCCAGGCGCGTGGTACGGTTCTTTCCGCCTACCTGCAGGTACACATCCGTCTTGTCAGGCACTGAAATGCTGATGTTCGCTCAACTCTATCTCAATAATCCCACTGTCAGTGTTCAATGCACCTTTCTCAGGGAAAATGATAATAAAATGAGTTTCTGTATCCTTCTGTCAAGGATCTCAAGGCATGTTCACATGATTGCCTGTTTCTCCAGCCTTCCTAAGAGGCTGACAAGAGGGGCAAGCATTTGCGTCTTCCTGGTGGAGAAGGAGGGGACTCTATGTTCAAGTGACTTGTCCCCAGCTTCTCTATCTTGACAGAAGTAGAGCTTGGACTAGGATCTTAAAACGCAAGCAATCAGGATCGTCACTCTGAGCTTACTAGGTTAGCCTTCAATGCATTATGAAAAATGGACTCTAGAGATGCAAAACGGCTATTAACCACCATCAGGTGCAAGGCAGGCAGTATCTGGGTTCTTAACTTCTCCAGATTCATTTCATGAGGATCCTTTGGAAATAATTCTTTTTCCCTTTCTCTTCAGGATGGATGGAATTTGGTTCCTTACCTCATGGAGAGTAAAATAATCAGTCACTTGCCCTTAACACACATAATACTAGTGTGCCAGTAAGCTAAGGTGAAGTTGTTGTAGCTTTGGGGGTTTGGGTCAAAATCACAACAACATTCTGTGGGGGTAACTGAGGGTACATTGTAACTTTGAGTGTGTCCCTCCCGGTTCCACCCAGCCGATGTGTTCTTTAAACTTGTCCCTCCCAACCAGCCTGAGCAATATGCCGGAAGTAAAGAAGAAAGGTGGGGGGGCCCTGCAACTGAGCCCTATCTCAACAGTGGGAGGAGGCCAGTGGTGATGAGCCGTTCCCCTAGCCCAGGCAGCATCGGCCTGAGGAACAGGTGTTGCACTCAGAAACACTGAATATGGGGTCACAGGATCTGACTTTGAGCCTTGGCTCTGCTATTTATCAGCAGGATTTGAAGAAAATCTCTCTGGGCATTGGCATCTCATCTATAAAAGTGGTTTAAGAATGATTACCTTGGCCAGGAGCAGTGGCTCACACCTGTAATCCCAGCACTTTGGGAAGCCAAAGCCGGCATATCACTTGAGGCCAGGAGTTTGAGACCAGCCTGGCCAAGATGGCAAAAACCCATCTCTACTAAAAATATAAAAATTAGCCTGGTGTGGTGACGCATGCCTGTAATCCCAGCTATTTGGGAAGCTGAGGCACGAGAATAGCTTGCGCCCAGAAGGCGGAGGTTGCAGTGAGCCGAGAAAGCGCCACTGCATTGCAGCCTGGGGGACAGAGCGAGACTCTGTCTTAAAATAAAATAAATAAAATAAAATAAAATAGAATGATTACCTCTCAAATAGCGATTACTCTGTTAGAGTTAGAAGACAGTGTGGTGCAGTGGTCAGACCCATGGACTGATGCACAGTCCTGGATTTGAATTATGTTCCCTTGTTCACTAGCTGTGAGGCCCTTGGTCAATTCACTAAATAGAGCTAACCCTCAGCTTCTGACAATAGAGAATGGAACAATACAGAGAGGGTTGTTTGGAGGTTTTTACAGACTCAATGCGTGGTGCACAGTTGGCACCCAATAAGCCTTCTTTGTTAATATTACAGATGTAAGATGCAAAGCACAATGCAAATGCAAACAATTGTGATTATTTTCTAGGTTTAAGGCAAGTGTTGCCAATACATGAAGTGCTTTGCATATAGTAAATGCATAATAAGTCTGTGCTAATTATAGCATCCATAGAAGCAGTTTCGCTCTGGAATGCAGCTCAGAGATTAGTATCATTTGCAATAACTACATTCCAGGCTGCCAGCCCCACAAATTAGACACCAACTAAAGACATGCAGTACATGATTCAGCTGTATCTCAGGGGAGGGCTTCTGATGACAGCCAAAGCCACAAGGGATCCGATCTGAGTACTTTCGATGTGTCAGCAGAAGGCTCTTCCTCTCACAGTGATGATGCACATACTGCTATGTGTAGTATGGGGCACACAGTGTGCTGGGACCTCTCCAGGTCCAGGAGAACATAAAGCTGTCGTGGACTGTCTTGGCCATGAAAACATTCTCCATGTAGGCGTAGCCAAAGTTGAGGGTTCTGGCAGAGGTGATGTGTTCTTTAAAAAATAAAAATTAATTTAAAAAAAAGAAAGAAAAAACAAGGGCTCTCTTTCCTTCCGTGTACTCACTCTTTTGCTGACATCCAAGGGACTTGTTAAGTGGCAAATCAGTATTAAGCACAAGCGTGTGCAAGAGACCCAGGGACTGTGACACAGTTTGGGGTTGGTAGGCGCTTAGAGTTGGGTGGGCAGCAGGCCTTGCATTTAGCCTCACGTCACTGCGACCCTTGGATGGACACTCACAGAGCTCTTGTGTCTTGTTCTGGGTTCACAATCTTCTGTGGACGGGAGGAAATGGAGGTATTCAAAGAATCAAGGAGAAGATGAAAATGTCAAGAAATGCTTTGTAGTAATAAATTGCATAAACGTAAATTATTTAGCCCAACCTAAAGGAAGCTAAACTGAGATTAAATGACATTAACAACAGGCTGTTTTCCATTTCCACTGAGGGAAAAGCAAGTAAGGAAGAGAATTCTCCGAGTGCACAGGGAGCTGGGATGGCGCGTGCCCGTCTATAGGGGCAGCTGGGATGAAACCAGACTGGAGGTATGTTGATCGTTACTGAATCTGGATGAAGATACATGGGGGTTCATTACACTATCCTCTCTGCTTTTGTGAATGTTGATAATTTCCAAAAAGTTAAAACAATGAAAGAAAGATGGCAGCTGCTACTCAACTCCCACCTACAGCTGAAAGGCAGAATGACGGTCTGAAGTTGTCCACACCGATTTGTTTGGAATGATGGATTTTGTCAGTTTTAAACCACTATGTGAAGTCGCTCCACCTTTTCTTATTTGCCACAATGTGTTTCTTCCAACACAAGGGAGGTATTCTTGCTCTCCTTTTGCAGGATCCTCCTTTTGCAGGATTGGGGGACTGAGTGTGCAGACTTTTGTCCCAGTTAATGATTTCATAGCTGCTGCTACTTACAAGCTTATCATGTGTAACGTGGTGTATGTACTATGCTCTTTACCTGCATTGTATCATTTAACCCTCACAACAGTCAGCTCATTATTATCCCTGTTACACAAATGAGGGAACAGAGGCTTTGAAAGGTTAAATAGCTCACTCAAGGGAATATATGGATCTTAGGTCACAAAGGCAGGATTTGAAACCAGGCAGTTTGAGTTCCTCTCCATGCCTGTGCTATGAAGCTTACTTAAACTTTGGCATCCTCCCTTTGTACTTTCCAGATAGAACAGCTCTAATATTTTCATTGCGTCTCTATAAAGAAAGCTTTCAGAAGCTTAAAGACGTTCCCCAGCTTTGACTCTGTCTCCAAACGTACAGGAACCCAAACCACCCAACATCACTCCAGCTGCAGATGCTATTGTTTATAATATGTTATCCCGCTTCTTTCTCACAGCAGTCCCAACGGGGGCTCAGTCAAGTCTCATAACTCTCTAAGGACACAGAGCCATGGCCCAGCCCACACTCCCCAGGACTCTGGTGTATTTTTCTCCCCTCCTATCTGATGCTGCCTCTAGGTCCTAAGCTCAGCACTGTCCCCACAGGGTGCCTTACATGCACAGTGAGAGAATAACATTTCCCCAAACTCCTTGGCTGGTGTCATCAGGACAATTCCACTCCACTGGTTCTGGGTCTATTAACTCATTCTGTTCTCAGTGCATAAGCTCTTGCTAAGACGATTTTAGGGGTCCTATTGGCTGCTGGTTTCACTCTCCCTTTCATTCTCCAATTTATAGTCCACCCTCCACCAAGACTAGAATAATCTTTCTTAACCATTAATCTAGATCACATCACTGTCCTGCTTAAAATCCTGCAGAGGTTCCCCATATCCTTGGCCATGCCTGTGCTGGCCCCTGTCAGCCCAGCTGCCTCTCCGGTGACCACCCCCACCCCGCAGCCTCTGCTTCAGCCAGGAGCCTCGGCAGTTTCCAAAACACACCCTGGTGTTCTCTCTGTTGAACCTTTGCCCACTTTGCTTTTTCTGCTGGGATTGTCCACATTCCCCCTTTTCTGCCTAATGAATTTAAAGGATGACTTTAGGTCAAGATTTCACCATTCAGCGAAATCCTTTCTGAATCACAAATCCCCCCTCACGGCCCCTCCCACACTTTACCTATCCATCACTCCCAGTGGACTGTAAGCTCTTTGGAGATAAGACTCCATATCTGTTTAACTTGGTGCCTTCAAAACTGAGCACACGGTAAATGCCCTGAACTATTCATGAAATAAGTACAGAATGAATAAATCCTCCCGACTTCCCCACCACAGATAGCAGAGCAGCTCTCTTCGGAAGTCTCATAGCACTCTCTACCATTCTTCTATTAGCCCTTCCAGTCTTATCTCTAATTATTTCCTTCTATGTCTATTTTTCCCACTACATTGGAAGCATTCTTCTCCATTAGACTCTGAGATCTTCAAGGGTAGGAGGTAAAGGCCTGAGCACAAAGCCCAGCACATAGTAGGTGTTTAATTTATTGATTGAATGAAGTGACGCTTTCTTGTCAAACTTAATCACCCGGAGGCACCATCTTATACCTCAGATAACTTCCGCGTCAATACAGTGGTTTGAGTTTGTTCACGCTGAAGCAACCTTCCACTTGTCCGCCCACTCATATCTTAGGGGATCCTCCCCTCCTCTACCCTTTTGGCATGGAACCTCCCTACCGAAAGAGCTCTGTGTCACCCATAGACGTGTGAGTTTCAGTCTGAACTTCCTTTTTCAGGTTATTTATAAAAACGTAAAAGCTGCCCTACTCAATGCCAGCCACTGTTGAAACACTATCCTTTGCATGGTCCCTGGGCCTTAGCTCAGTCCTAGGTTGCCATCTTTGTAGTGTATATCTTTCATGACACAAGGGCGGGCACGGAGCCTTCATCTAATTATCCGTCTGCCCACCCACCCATCCGTTCATCCATCCCACACATGTTGAACATCTAAGAAGGACGAGGTCCCGTGCCAGGCTCTGGGAACTTCAGTGATAGACAAAACAAAGTCTCTGGCCTCAAGGAGCTCAGCTGAGACAGAAAACAAACACAGAGCAAATAATCGTAATGCTGTGATATACGTGCTCCCCCAGTCATTTAAAGCATGCAGGTGGGTCACCTATCGGGAGATGACCTCTGCCCCAGAAGGGACAGGATTTGAGCTGGGCCTTGATAGATAAGTGGGATTTTGCTACCCAGACAAGAGTGACGGAACAGCGGGTGCAATGGGGGAAGGGACCCAAGAAGTCACAAGGTGGTCACAGGAGTGAGAGAGGGCATGGCAGGGGAGATGAAGCTTATCCATTTATATTTTCTCACTAAGGGAAAATTTTTGTTTTCAAAGCCTGTGGGTCAATAATATCTTTGTAAAGGAAGAAAGGCATATTGATTATGGCCTTGCCTCTCCCAATAGCCAGAAAAAGCCGGAGTCTCTTCTACAAAGCTATGGAAAGAGCTGGAAACGGAATCCATTCTTTCATCCAAGATTTTCAGCACCTGTCACATGTACCTATGTATTCATGGGACTGTGATCATGCTCCCCAGTGCTGTACACTCCCTGAGATCAGAGACTTTGTTATGATCTGTGTTGCCACATGGTAAGCACCCCATAAATACTTGCTGAATGAATGCACTGACCCCTGCCAGCTACCAGGAACTGTGCTAAGTACTGGGAATAGGAAAATGGACTAGACGTGCTGCCTGCCCATCCAGCTAGGAAGGCTGACAGTCTAATCTGTTTGTTACGTGATCCAGTTTCTCAGGAATGCATTTTTGGAGTGGTAAGAAATTATTTGTTTTAAAGTTTGAGAGAAAAAAAAGATACAAGCTGAGAGGTGAGTCTTTCAGTGTGGATGGAAGGCCTCAGGCAGCTTCCAGGACGTGCTTGCAGATGCCAGTGTTACCCTGCTCCTTGCTTTTGCCACTCAGGCAGACGGGCTCCCTGGGAGGACCACCGCTCCTCAACACCCTCTCCCCAGACCCCAGACCAGGCTGGTCCCCTGCAAGGAAAGTCCTCTGCCTCAGCTGCCCTTCCCCGGGCTGTGCGGCACACTCACGTGCCCAAGTGCGCGCGCGCGCGCACACACACACACACACACACACACAGAGTCACACATGTGATCATACTCAACACACATTCTCCCCTGGCCACACACATATATAATCACACACGATCACACAGTCACACACATGATCACTCATATAGCACACATGTGATCACTCACACACTGACACAATCACACACAAAACACTCACATCAGGTCACACACAGTTGCACATGTGATCACACCCACAACACACACTCACAGTGACACACATTTGATCATACACTTGCGTTGTCACACACATGGTCACTCATACAACACATGCACACAAACACCCTCACACACAGTCACACACAGTCACACACCCACACAGGCACTCTTAGACATGATCACATGATCACAGTCACAACACGAGCTCATAGATAGGCACACATGCTCATGCAACACACACAGTAACACACACATGATCATATACTTATATAGGCACTCACACAGCCACACACCGATACACATGCTCAAATGCACACAACACGTGTCCATGTACTCACTCAACCACTCACAGTCACACGCTCACCCACATGCACAAACACATGCTCATACAGTCACACCTACACTATCACACTCAAATTCACATTTGCACATACACATTTATGTGCGCACACAGGCTCACACAGCACAAACTCACACAGAACCTCACACACCCAGACACACACACAGCCTGAGCCATTCAAGCGGCAGTACTCACATTTTCCATCTATTGGTGGTTTCAAAACAGGAAGCCTGCGTGGGAAGGGGAGGTGCTGGTGAAGTGAGAACCGCTGTAAAGGGGCCCAGGTGCATGGGCTGGATTCAAAAGGGACATCTCACTGACGCCTGGGTCTCCCTCACAGGCAGGAGAGCTGGGCTGCATGAGGCCCTGACTTGGCTCAGCTCCTGAGCAGCACCAGCTCTGGTGGGAAAGGTACTGAACGCCTGTCTGATGCAGCCACCCTGATCAAATCACACCTCTTCCTCGCCAGGGGTTTTCTGTGAGGAAGAAGGGAGCACCCTGCACCTTCCTGCCTGCCAATATGGGGCCCTCTCCTTTGGAAACTGCTTCTTCCAAGAGCCCTGCTAGACTTACTCGTGCCTGCCACGCCACCTTGCCCCTCAGGCCCTCTGCCGCTTACTCCATCACGCTCCTTTGCAATGGAAACATTCTGCTTTGTGCCGTACCCCAACCCCACTCCAAAGTGAAAGAGACCAGGGACCTGCTTTCGAATATTCACATCCTTGCAGCACTTTGTGTTCTACAGTTTTTTCATAATTAGCATCTCTTTCAATCCTCAAGACAGCTTCATGAGGCTAATAGTATACCCATTTTACAGATGAGGAAGCTGAAGGCAAGAGATTAAGTCAGCCAGGCATGGGACTTAATCAGTCAGCCAGGAATGGGTTCATTCCTGTAATCCCGAAACTCTGGAAGCCGAAGCAGGAGGGTCACTTGAGCCCAGAAGTTTGAGACTAGCTTGAGCAACATAGCGAGACCCCCAACTGTACAAGAAGTAAAAAAATTAGCTAGGCATGGTAGTGCATGCCTGTAGTCCCAGCTACTTGAGAGGCTGAGTGGGAGGATCACATGAGCCCTGGAGTTGGAGGTTGCAGTGAGCTGTGATCATGCCACTGCACTCCAGCCTGGGCAACATAGCAAGACCCTGCCTCAAAGAGAGAGAGAGAGAGAGATTAAGTCACTTGTTCCAGGGTCCCAGAAGTAGACTTTCTGATCCCAACTTTCCATTTTCAAGGCTGTCATAACTCCTATCTCCCACTCTGGCTCTTCAGGTACCTCAGAACGGCCACAGCAAAAACTGATGGCAACAAGGACGCTGAAAGGAGAGAAGACTAAAGAGAGGAGGAACAGAGAGCTGCCACAGGGAGGGGGCACCCAGGGCCAGGTGGGCCATGGAGGCACTCACTCTATCCCATTTCTCACACACCACACACACAAAAAACTCTAGCCGGCCAGGCTCAAGCTCAGGCGGTGTTCAGGAGGTGGGGTCACTCCATTTACATAATTGAATTGCTGGAGTGGCTTGGAACAGATTTCCACAACACACAGAGAAAAAGGTTAAGGGGAAGTCATAGTATGACATTTCTGGGGGTGAATGACATCTCCGGAACTTCAGTTTTTCCCTTTCTCTGAGAAAAGTGATTTAAAACATTTTCCCACAGTAGTGCCCTTGCAAAGGAAAATGGCCTCAATGCCAGGCAGCTGAGAGGGAACCCTTCGTGCTATATTCCTGACCAAGGGGGTTCTGGAGGGGAGAGTGGGGATGTCGGCAGGCCGCCCTCCCAAACTAGCCTAAGAGAAGGCCTAGTGATGTCACACGTGTGGCTGAAAGGAGACAAGAGTGGACCGCAAAACAAGCCCAGACTGGCTTTTTCCGCCAGGCTAGCACTTCTGTAGCAGACCATGGTCTCCTTTTCCTGGCCCTCTTCCTTTTAGGTTTTACATATTTAACAGCCGGGACCCATAAAATGGAGCATCAGAGGTCATAGGAAAAAGGATGGGTTAGACTCAGGGGAAGCCCTGGAATTTCCTTTCCTGGAGATCTTCAAGACTGAAACGAGAGACTCCTGTACTTAGGATGGTTTCTTGCACTTCTTGGCTCGGTTTGCTTCTCCTGTCTGCAATACTGTCCAAATCTCTTTTTCTCCAAGTCCCACCCTTTTCTAAAAAGGTTCTCCCGACCCTTCCAGGCTTGAATAATCCCTGAGGTCAGAGGTTAAGACCAAGGCAGTCTCGCTGACTGACAAGTGAGGAAGAATCTTCCTGGAGGAAGCGGATCCCTGAGAAGACCTTGGACTGTGTCCAACTCCAGATTTCGTTGCCGCTGTGCTAGTTTTGTGAGGAGGTAGGGAGGGGTCCTCAGGATTCTGCTCCACCATCAGACCAGAGAGGCTAAATCTCATCTCATGAGTAGTGAGAGTGAGCCAGTTTCCAGAAGAGATCTGGCAAAAGGAGAGGGGAGTCCTCCTAGCGGGGTTGGACTGCTTGGGGTTGAGTGAAATACTTAGGAATTGCTCAAGGCTGGTTTCCTTGGTCAGCAGAAGGGTCCAGGAAGCAGAACCCGTGGGAGGGAGGGGGGAAGAGCAAAGGAGGGTTGCTGACTCCAGAAGAGGCTCTGAAGCAGCCTGGCCACCCAAGTTCAGAAAGTTCACGTTTCTGGGGCCTGGCTGTCGTGAGGGCCTTATGGGAGGGAAGAGGAGCAGCTGGATGCCTTGCTGCTTACAGGTCTGTGCTCTCCCAAGCAAAGCATCACGGGGCCTCATAACGCAAATGTCTCGGCCTTCCCACCAGGAGACCCGCGAGGATTTCAGGCTTGGAGTATTCGATCACTCACGCAGTTCCTCTGGAGTGGGATGTTCACTGACCACTATGTGAACTGACTTAGATCTTAAAGAGACGGGCTTGAAAGGAAGCAAACACAACCTCCGGTTTTGCTCATTCACTGAGTTCTAACACGAACCCGAATGTTCATTTATTGGTAAACAGCCAATGCAAAGAGTGCTATTTTTGTTGATTTATGTCTTTGTGGGTTTGGGTTTGTTTCTGCTGTTTGAAACACTTCGGGGATACATCTCATTTAAGATCCAATTGAAAATTTTTAAAATTCATTATGAAGGAAAAGAGCCGAACATGAAAATATTCTATGAACTGAGAGTAAATTGAATATTTTATTCTGTGAAGATCTTATAAAATCTGAATCACATCACAGCTTTAGTCCTCAAACTAGCTGAGAGGTTAAGTTCTGAATTCCTCAATTTTTATATAAAAAATAAACTTTGTCATTTTTAAGGTGAAAAGAGCGAATAACCTGGAAATACTTTTACGTAATTGGGGCTTACCTTGAGGACAGAATTCATTTATATGTTAATATGCGCTTTGAAGTAAGAAGGAATCAAAATCCCTGCGAACGATTTGTTTTTAATTAGATTACTAACCTCAGTCCCCATTTTATGTACACATTATGTCCCACTAAAGCAGGACTTTTGCTAAAAAATGCTCTAAAGAGTGGGTTCTGTTTCACTTTAAAAGTAATATAGTGAATTTTTATAAAAAATGAACATGCAGAGATGTTTGTCTACAACAACCTCTATCTTGGTGTTCAGTATCTCAAAGCTGGCCTCAACTGACCTTTCTGCCTTCAGCTTGCCCCCTTGCCCCACACACATGTACACAGATGGCCTGCACACATCTGGTATGGCAGGGTCGCTTGCAAGTACAGACTCAGGAGTGTACAGGATGGTTTATATTCAAATTATAGCTTATCACTCTGTTATGGGCAAGTTATCCAACCTCTCTAAGCATCAGTGATATCCCATGTACAATGGGAATAATAATAGGACTGCCTCATATGGTTGCCGTGTGCATCAAGTGAAATAAAACAAGTACTTAGCACCATGCACACAACACATATTGTGCTTTCAGTAAACAGCTGCTGGCATCCTAATCCTGGGACAACACACGGTTCACCCTTTACAGAGCCAGCCATTCTCTTTCAAGTACATGCTCTTTCATCAGGAAACATGTCAGGAAAGCCCATCCCCTTTTCTTCACCTGGGAAGATTCAGTTCACAATTCAAGGTGCAGTTCAAATGCCAGATTTGCTGAAAGTTTCTTGTGACCTCCCAATTCCCACCTGCATGATAGCCAGTTAGTAGCTCCAAATTAACCTATTCACAGTCTACTTAAATTATGTCTTTAGATCTTGCTTTGCCACAAAATATGGGATCCTTCAGCGTGTAGAACTGAATATTATTCCTCTTTGCACTGCAGATGCCAGGCACCAAGCAGACACTCAATATTTATTAAATGAATATGACAAAATGGAATCAAATGGCATCTGCGAGGATGTCAGGACGTATGGAACATATGGCTTTACAGAAATACAATCCATATTACAGCTTTTCTAGAAACTAGTTATTTCTGGGTGGACATGAATGTAAGGAAATCAGCTATCATAGAAGACAGGATAAAAGGAGAACACTGAAGAAGAAATTAGGCAATGGCTTCAGGGCTGTGCCATCTGTCTGAAGGATGTGTTATCCATCTTGTAGGTAAATCCCATAAAGCTTAATGGGAAAGTGATACTTTTGAACCACTGCCCAGCCCCAAATGTAAAAACTCTTGCATCAAGACAATTTGGTACACAGCAAATGAGCTATGCCAATTTGTCAAATCAGAGAGTGAGCAGAGATGAAAATTTAGCCCTGCACTTGGAAGGAAACTTTTCAGAAGACTGTTTTTTCCTTCAGTATTGCAAAGTTAGGAAGAAAATTTATGTCTCCTGAAAATCAGAGGAGAGTAAGACATTCCAATACCCGACCATGGATACCCACCAACAGCATGGAGCTGTCAGGAGGAGGATAGAGCGTGAGAAGAATACTGTATGCCAAGCACTATAGTAGGTACTTGATAGAAAATGCAATGCCCAAAAGAACCTCAGAGAGAAATCTTATTATTCCCATTTTATTAGTGGAGAAATTGAGTCTTGATGAGGTTAAGTGACCTAGCCAAGGTTAAATGCTTACAAGTGATTTTTTTGCTCTCTATTAAAATTCCTCCCCCAGCCACACACTGTGGACAGCTCTTTTCTAAATCTTCCTCCTCTATAATCCATACTTCTCTCTATTGTTAGAATAATTTTTCTAAAACAGGTTGAGTTAAACTTTCCACTCCTCAGTCTGGGCATCGTAGTGAGACCCTGTCTCTACAAAAAATTTACAAATTACCCGGGTGTGGTGGCACATGCTGTAGTCTCAGCTACTCAGGAGGCTGAGGCAGGAGGATCCCTGAGCCCTGTAATTTGAGGCTGCAGTAAGCCGTGATCGTGCCACCACACTCCAGCCTGAGCAACAGAGTGGGACCTTGTCTCAAAAACAAAACAAAGCAGAACAAAACAAACCCTTCCACTCCTGTACAACTGTCCATGGCTCCCTTATATCCACACAAAGCAAAATTCAAATATTCAAATTCATAAACGTAACTTTTTTTTTTTTTTTTTGAGACAGAGTTTCACTCTTGTTGCCCAGGCTGGGGTGCAATGGTGTGATCTCGGCTCACCACAACCTCCTCCTCCTGAGTTCAAGCAATTCTTCTGCCTCAGCCTCCCAAGTAGCTGTGATTACAGGCATGCACCACCACGCCCAGCTAATTTTGTATTTTTGTAGAGACGGGGTTTCTCCATGTTGGTCAGGCTGGTCTCGAACTCCTGACTTCAGGTGATCTGCCCACCTCAGCCTCACAAAGTGCTAGGATTACAGGCGTGAGCCACTGTGCCTGGATGAATGTAACATTCTTTACAGGCTCAACTCCCACCGTAGCTCTTCCTGCCTCTTCCTGACCATTGCACTTGACCACATCTGTTGTCATGCTGTGTAACCCCATGGCTCAGGCTTCTTGCCATGCCTGTCCTTCTGTGTTGCTTTACTTTATTCCCACTGAAAGCCTGTCTTCTCCTCTGTCTTCTATCTCTTCCTCCCTGGAACTGCTTCTTTGCATTTAAACAGCCTCTCTCAAGTGCTCAATTGCACTTTCCCCTTCAGCTAAAAGTCACTCTAATTTGGCACTTCCCCACTAACAAAGTCCCTAATAGTTATTCATGCCATTGAATAATAATGGCTAAGATTTACTGCACATGTATTAAGACACCAATCTAAATACAATGCAATCGTTCCAACTTATGGATGAGGCTCAGTGTAAATAACTGGTCTAAGGTCACTTAGTAAGTAACAGTGAGAATCTGAGTCACCACACTCTATTCAATGGGATTTTTGTCTCTTGACCTCTCAACGGCATTTCCCATTAGGAGCCCTCCCTTTGTTCTCTACTTTTACTTTCCTGATTATGCCCCTTTGGTTTGTCTTTTGCCCTTTTCTCTAGTGGCTTATTCTCAGTTTCCTTTGTAAACTCTGACTTCTCTACAGGCACTTTAATTGCTAGTATTCCTCAGGAATCTGTCCAGTCTTTCTCCATACATTCTACTCATTCTCTCCGGGTAATCCCAGCTCTTCCCTGGGCCATACCTCCAGCTTCTACATGCTAAGGATGCCCTTAGTCTCCAGGTCCCTCCAGTTTCTCCTGCTCAACCCTCTGGCGTCCTGACCTATTCCTTACTAGAAATCTCCACTTGAATATCTTGCTTGCACTAAACCTCATGTGTTCAAAAAGTGAACTCACCTTTTTCCCCGCCAATTTTGCTTCTCTCCAGAGTCTCTTGGCTCAGGGCAGAGCATCCATGCAATTTCCCAAGTTTCATTCATGCAGAATGAAAAAAAAAAGGGCTAGGGGAACACAGAGAGAATGCTGGGAGAATTCAGGAGTTTATGTAGAAGGTGGGGCTTTAGCGACGCTCCTCATTCTTACTGAGCATCTACCTCACGGCCTGTACTACACTTAGCACTGAGATCAACAGGCTAAGATCCACCTAAGATCCATCCTTGACTTCTCTCTTTCTCTCACCTCTCCTATCTAATTCATCATTAGGTCCTGTCCATGTGTGCCTCCTAAATTTCTTGGACACTGGTTCTTTTTTATCCCTTGTTTTCTCTCTGTGTTAAGCCCCATCACCCCTCGCTTTGACAACTCCGGCAGCTTTAACAAATCTCCTGCTTCCGGTTTTGCCCTTTCCAATTTATTCTCCAAATATACAATGATAATCATACACTCTTCTTCTTAAAACAACCCAGTAGCTCCCTATTTCCTCTAGGGTAAAGTTCCAGAACCTTAACATGGCTAATTTGCCTGTATGCTCTATTTTCTGGCCCTTCCCTGGTTTACTTTAGGCTACCCTCTTCCGGCAACATTAGATTTCTTTCAGTTCCTTGAACGTGCCACATTTTCTCACAGCTGAGCAGTGGGCATGCATTCTTTCTTCAGGAACATTCTTTCCCTTCCCTACAGTAATATCTCTGCCCACCTCTCAATCTTAGCTTAAATCTTCTATGTTGCTTTCCTTGATCCTTTATTTCCTTTCATTTCTTCATTTCATTCCATTTCATTTCATTTTGAGAGAGGGTCTCACTATGTTGCCCAAGCTGGACTGAAACTCCTGGGCTCAAGCGATCCTCTCTCCTCAGCCTCCCAAGTAGCTGAGATTGCGGGTGTGAACCACCACGCCTGGCTTCCCGATCCTTAAATCTCCCAGTTACACATTCTCATGACACCCTGCATTTCTTTCCCAGCATGCATTCTGCTTGTAGTTAATTACTTATTTGATGTGTGTTTTCCTTCTCATCATGTGTGCGTGTTAGCCTGTTGATCTCAGTGCTAAGTGTAGTACAGGCCATGAGGTAGATGCTCAGTAAGAATGAAGAGCGTCGCTAAAGCCCCACCTTCTACATAAACTCCTGAATTCTCCCAGCATTCTCTCTGTGTTCCCCTAGCCCTTTTTTTTCCATTCTGCATGAATTAGTATTTAGAGTTTTATCTGTCTCTCTCCTCCATAAGCTTATGAACTTCTTGGAGAAAAAGGCCAGGTCTCCCTTCTGCATGCCTTAACTTCTAGCATGATGCCCATGCTGAGAACTTGTAGTTCTCAGAACTAAAAGCATCAGAATATAGAATGAGGTTGTGTCCGAAAAAACTCTAGGGATGAGTTACACAGTTCTGAGAAGAAATGAAAGAACACCGAGAAGCAGAGGGAGTTGGGCTTTAGCAGTAGATGTTTTTATCTGTGCACTTGGAGAACTGGCACAAAGCTGAAATAACAAGAAGTTAGGAAGCATTCTTGACTTCTCTATCTTTCTCTGCCAGGTACCAAAGCATCCTAAATGAGGCTGAACTGCACTGCCTTTCCCCTTTCTGAACCTCCACTGTCTTGGGCCAGAATATCTTTGTCTCTTACCTGGCAAGTCTGCTCTGGTTTCCTGTCTTCTCTCCCATTTTATACACCATCCACATTGCTATCAGTTATTCTAGAGCTCAGATGTAACCATATTACCTCTGCTTAAACCTTCAGGGACTCCCTGTTACCTACAGGTAAAATCCTTTTCAGATGGTGTCCAAGGTGCTCCATGATGGTGTCCAAATCTATGTCTCTAGGCTCAAGCCGCCACTTCGCTCTCATGCCCCCTACATCCCACAACTCTGAACTCTGCCTCCCTCATGACCTCATTTTCTTCTTTGCCTTTGCACATGCTGGGCCCTCTGCCTGGAACTCGGCTTCCCCACTTCGACAAGTAGATAGATGTCTTCTACATACTTTTCTATGTCCAGATCAAATATTTCTCTGTGAAATATGGTGGAATTAGTTGTTGCTACTAGGGACTCTCAGAACTCTCTGGGCATTTCCCACACTGTGTATTCCTTTACCGAACCCAAAGAGGACAGGGCAATGTCTTTTTCTTCTTTGAACCTCTCGCCTCTATCACATATTAGGTGCTCAACAAATGTTTAATAACTAAAGGAATGAGGTCTAGGTCTTTGTGAATTGGGCTGGTGGAACAGGACTTCCTGTTCATCTAGCATTGCATTTCTTTCCTTAACTAGAAGAGTGTGTATTTAGCCTGTCTTTGTGACAAGCTGTTCTGGTTAGGAAAGAGTTATATTACACTAGCTTTCTGTTACCCACATGTTCGGGACTGTAAATTTCATTGCCCATCTAGTGTAAGAACTGCAAATGAAGCAGTTTAGTGCACTAAAAATACTATTTTAAGTACATTCCAAGGGCAAATAAACAAACGAGAAATATATGCTATTGGGTATTATCCATGTGATTGTTCTAATGTCATTTTGCTTGGAATTTATGCAGTTCTTCTCTACTCAACCTCTTAAGTGCAAATAATTGAAGGTTGTCAAAACATTTGAAATAACTCTGACCCTCATGTGTACAATAATAATAAGGTGCAGAAAAAGTACTGGCCTCCAAAAAGGGGAAAAGTTCACTCCTGAATGGCTTAAGTAAAAATAAAATGAGTTTATATAAAGTTTGCTAGGAAACAGGAAGTTAGAAAAAACTGTGATAAGGAAAGCCATAAAGAGCAATGGTGACCTAGAAAAGACAGATCTGAAAATGCAGAGGGAAACGTTTTGACACAGATGCAGGATCATTTCTCTAAGGGTTTTTTCTTTTTCTTTTTCTTTTTTTTTTTTAAGATACAGCTTAAAAAGTGAGGATTAAACTCATCATAATTCTATAAGATTAAGCACATCTGATGAGGGGGGAAAATGATTATTCACTCTACTGGAATTGCCTTAATGAAACCGTCTTGATGAAAGCTGCATCTTAAAATACTCATCCAGTGATGAGGACTTATTTCAAGATGTAAACCAAGGCAGTCGTTGGAGTGAGGCTTGCTTGTGAAGCACACCACATCTTCAGGATGCTGAGCTAAGCCAGATTACAGTGTGCTCACCAAGTGTCCCTCCCAGATGGCTTTTCTGGACAGCCAGTTCCCACCCTAGTGGTATACTGGAAGCCACCAACAACTAGTAAATCTATGAACACCATTCAAGCAAAGACATGGGGTCAGAGCACAGTGGCTTCAGACCTTGAGCCTCTTCCTTTCTCCTTGGGAATCCCCGTCTGCTCAGGCCAAGTCCTTTCCTCAGGCTCAGCCATGTCAAGCTCTTTTCAATGTCTTCCTCTTCACTGTAGCTGTTGATAAGGCCCACAGTTGATCACCAGGCTATCAGCCCCTTTTCTGTGCTCATGAAAACCAAAAGCTTTTGAAGTACAAATCTTAAGGGAGGAGACATTCAATTTTGGCTGGGCGTGGTGGCTCAAGCCTGTAATCCCAGCACTTTGGAGGCTGAGGCAGGCAGATCACCTGAAGTCAGGAGTTCAAGACCAGCCTGGCCAAGATGGCAAAACCCCATCTTTACTTAAAACACAAAAAATTAATGAGGTGTGGTGGTGCACACTTGTAGTCTCAGCTACTAAAGAGGCTGAGGCATGAGAATTGCTTGGACACAGGAGGCGGAGGTTACAGTGAGCTGAGATCATGCCACTGCACTCCAGCCTGGGCGACAGAGTGAGACTCTGTCTCAAAAACAAAACAAAAAAAAAGAGAGGAGACATTAAATTTTGACTGCTCAAATCTGCTGTAAATTCTCTTGTGCATCATTCAAGATACAAGTCAACTGTCATCCTCTAAGATATTCTAGTTCTTCAATAAGACAAGACATTACTTCTTCTGAGTTCATGCAGTGCTATACATACCTCTATTATCATATACTCTTATCATTACAATAATAATCTGTTGACATATCCATGGGTGTCTGTAAAGCAAAAATTCCAGGGCTACTCAACACATGTGTGGAATGAATACATCAATGAAGGCAGCTGCGAATGGAGGATTATGGGAAGTAGATTGTCTGTCAACACCCATTAAGAAACAAAAGCTAAACATGTTGAATGGCAGGAATTACTGATGTGAAACTTGGATCTGGGCCATGCTTTGGCGCGAGGCACTTGAACCACATAAACAAGCAAACTGGATGGCTGGGATTTGTTTCTAGTGACTTATCGTTGACATACTTGTTGATGTTAAGACTCCTCTTTCCAAAGTCAATACCTTCATCCAATCACTGCCAGACATCTTTCCCTGAAGAATTTTTTAAACTGGACACCAGGGAACTCCAGAAATAATAGAGATTGAAGAAAGCACTTTGTATTCGTGATGATCTGAATTAAAATTTAATTGGGTTTGAGATGGAGTGAGTGGGAAGCTGCTAAGGTTAGTCTTCCACAGCAAAGGAGGGAAACATTCTCTGCTGTGTATGAAGCCAACACCCCACCTCTACACTCGACTCCCCATATCCAAAGACCTTTGGCATTTTCTGTTTAGCACAAAGGCTTCGAGTCTTTAAAGAGAGAAAAGCCAATTATATGACCAGTTGGGTGGGGAGACCCTTGCTCTGCTATCCCAAAAGGCCTTCAAAAGCTTTCTGCTTGATATTATGTAGGTATAGTGACGGGTACATCATAACAAGCCAGGAATTTTAATGATTCATTGAGAGAGATACTAACATTCCACTGGAGGGAAGGAAGGCAGGTAGGATTCTGCCACTATTTGAATAGGAGGAGCTATTGATTAGAATCTATTGTTTGGAATCCAGAACACTGCCTGTCCCTTTGAATGAGGATGGGAAATTCCAGGGAAAACCTTTTCTGATAAAGTTGTTGGTTTACACAAGTGTCCTTACTTTAAGGCTATTTTTAATTAGCTTGTTAGTTTATCTAATTGAGGGTTGTTGGGGGTGGAAAGATGGGTGGTGGAAAGACAAACCACGATTTCATCTCCATTATAAACACAGGAAATACGTGGGGCTACAATAGGACTTTACAAGTTGTATTTTACAAGTTGCAGGAAATACCATGGAAGAACACAAGCCTTCCTTAAGGCAAGATGAAGTCCAGCCCAGAGCAAAATTCCTGTGTCTCCATTAGGAAACAGAGACTTACAACGTGCAGGGCCTGGGCAAGAGTATAAAGAGAGGCCCACATACACCAATGTCTAAATGTTTACAAATAATAAATCAAGCGAACCAACTCATAAATATGCCTTAGCCTCCAACCTTGGCCAATATACCTTCATAACAACCTGGTTAGAGGCTCAGACTTCTTGCCATTGTGTGTCAGGGTATGGCAACCTGGGAAGAGCCAGCAGCCAGCCGGCCTTGGTCTGTTCTCCTGTGGTCTGCTTCCATCTGCTTTTAGCTCAGACCCTGGCTTCTGTGGGGGTACCAGGAGGGTCCTCACATGTATGCATATGGGTACCCCAAGAAGATGTCAAAGTTGTGTCCACACCCCCACAAACAGAAGCTCCTTTGTCATCCTCAGGGCTAGGGCTGTCTGTCTTTGGGAGACTAGAGATGGGGGAGACACCCCGGAAGCAGGTTCCTCATCATTTGTGTTCCTAATATCCAGAGCATGGTGTGTGTGTGTGTGTGTCGTCGGGGTGGGAGACACATAGGCTCCAGGGTATGCACATCTCCTTCAAACTAAGAACTCTTCACTCTGTACTAAAGAACGTGGCCATGGGAAGACCAGAATGCAGTGCTCTAGGCTAGGACATGTCTGGGTACAAAAACCTCAGTAGTGAGTGTGACAAGAGAGCAAACATTTAAACAAACTAGTAGAGCAGTCCTGCCTTATCTGTGGTTTCACTTTCCAAGGGTTCAGTTACCAGTGGTCAACTGTGGTCCAAAAATATTAAGTGAAAAATTGCAGAAATAAACAACTCACAAGTTTCCAATTGTGTGACGTTCTGGGTAGCATGATAAAATCTTGAGCCATCCAACTCCATTCCACTAGGGACATGAATCATCCCTTTGTCTAGTCTGGATACAGGCTGTGGATGCAGTAGTGAATCCACACTGTTTGCACTCTCCGCCTGTTAGTCACTTAGTTATCTAGTGACTAGATATCTAGGTTATCAGACCAACTGTCCCAGTATTGCAGTGCTTATGTTCACATGACCATTATTTTACTTTATAATGGCCCCAAAATGCAAGAGTAGTGAGGCTGGCAATTTGGATATCCCCAAAGAGAAGACGTAAAGTTCTCCATTTAAGTGAAAAGGTGAAAGTTCTCAACTTAATAATGAAAGAAAAAAAATTGCATGCCAAAGTCACCCAGGTCTACAGTAAAAACTCATCTTCCATCCATGAGATTGTGAAGAAGGAAGAAGAAATTTGTGCTGGTTTTGCTGCCACACCTCAAACTGCAAAAGTTATAGCCATAGTGCATGATAATTGCTTAGTTAGGATGGAAAAGGTGTTAAATTTGTGGGTGGAAGACATGACCTGAAACAGAATCCGATTGGCACAATTGGGTCTGGTGCTCTCTGCGCTTTCAGGCATCCACTGGGAGTCTTGAGTATCCCCAAGGATAAGGAGGGGCCACTGTAATAGGAAAATCACACTGTAGAGACTATGGGGATTGCAGACATGGCAGAACCTTTAGGGGGCAGAAGTAGTGAAGGTTCCACTGTCAGGGAGGGAAATGAAAGACAGCAAGACAAGGACAGAAGGTGAATAAGAATCCAAATATTGGCCAGGAGCGGTGGCCCATGCCTGTAATCCCAGGACTTTGGGAGGCCGAGGCGGGCGGATCACCTGAGGTCGGGAGTTCAAGACCAGTCTGACCAACATAGAGAAATCCCGCCTCTACTAAAAATACAAAATGAGCCGGGCGTGGTGGCACATGCCTGTAATCCCAGCTACTAGGGAGGCTGAGGCAGGAGAATCACTTGAACCTGGGAGGCAGAGGTTGCAATGAGCCGAGATCGTGCCATTGCACTCCAGCCTGGGCAACAAGAGCAAAACTCTGTCTCAATTAAAAAAAAAAAAAAAAAGAATCCAAATATTTGCATCACAGCGGGCTGAGAAGGCAAGCTCAGTTGTGCAGCGATGTGCAGTGCTGGCCCTACACCTCTGTGAGGGGGTTTGGCTTAGGATAGGCCTCTCTGGGTGTCTGAGGAGGCTGACCTGAAACAGAGATGGTCTGGCAACATGAATGGAAAATACCAAGGATGGCATGGAGTTCACGTTGGCCACTGTGCCCGGCCAAGTCCTTGGGTCTCTTAGGGGACACATGGAAAGGCGGGAACCTCCCCACAATGTGAGTGCAATTGTTCAAGGACCCGTGTGATGTCACCCACACCCTGTCATGTCTGTGGAAGCCACTTCTTCCACAGCCACCAAGCCATCTCGGCTCACTGCAAACTCCACCTCCTGGGTTCAGGCAATTCTTCTGCCTCAGCCTCCCAGGTAGCTGGGATTACAGGCGCACACCATCATGCCCAACTAATTTTTGTATTTTCAGTAGAGATGGAGTTTTGCCATGTTGGCCAGGCTGGTTTTGAACTCCTGGCTTCAAGTGATCCACCTGCCTCGGCCTCCAAAGTGCTAGGATTACAGGTGTGAGCCACTGCACCTGGCCTTTTTTTTTTTTTTTTTTTTTTTTTTTTTAGATAGGGTCTCACTCTGTCACCCAGGCTGGAGTGCAGGCATGATCATGGCTCACTGCAGCCTCGAACTCCCATGCCCAACTGATCCTCCCAGCTCAGCTTCCCAAGAAGCTGGGACCTCAGGTACGAAGCTAACTGCCTGGGTAACTTTTTAGGGTTTTTTTTTTTTTTTTTTTTTTTTGTAGAGATAGGGTCTTGCTATGTTGCCAGGCTGGTTTCAAACTCCTGGGCTCAAGCGATCCTCCCACCTGGGCCTCCCAACGTGTTAGGATTACAGGCATGAGCCACTGTGCCCAGCCTGGAACATTTTAAAGCAAATCCCAGGTATTATATCATTTTACTCCAAAATACTCATAAAGATTTATTTACCCTAGAGTATTTTAAAACAACCCAGACATTAGCATGCATCTCTGATAAGAACTGTTTTATCTTTAACATAATCACTTGCCTTTATCATATCTAACATTTATAATCATTCTTTAATATCACTGAATATCAAATCCACATTCATTTTCCCCTGATGGTCTCAAAAATGTCTTTTTCCAATCAGTTTGTTTGAATCAGGGCCAATGAAGGTCCTGACTTCAGCAGGATGGAAAGCCCCAGTGTGTGGCTCAGGCACCAGGGCCTCTCACACCCCTTCCCCTCAACAAGAACCGCGTGGCATCTCAGCTGAACTGGGCCACAAGACCAAAAGTGACAAGGCTTCATCTTCTGGGCTTTCTGGCCTCTGGAGAAATAAGTCTCAGTGGGAACTGCAGGGAGCTGGCCCCTGTGGCGTTGGAGTACTCACTCCGCAGTCCTAGTCAGAGAGCCACTGTCCAGAGCCTCCCAGTCCTCCCAGGATTTAGGTCACTGAGCCACAGTAGACCTGCAATGAAAGTGGGTTCCTGCTCTCTCTGGTACTCCCTCTACTTTTCATGATTTGATCTTTCTAGTTAAAGGCCAAAGACAAGCTGCATGGGGTGATAGAGCCGAAAGCAGGGACGGCAGGCTGAGCACTCTCTGTCCCCGTCTGACCGGGTGGCCTTGAGCAAGTCTCTGACCAATCAGTTTCTTTACTTCCAAAGTGAGAGGGAGGGATTTAACAATCCCTAAGACCCTCTAGCTCTGACATTTTATGACTCTAAGCTCAAAAGCCACCAAATGACTTTGTTTCTGCCCCTGTGCTAGATGTTAGAAGTACACAGATGTCTCTCTTCTTAGATGATAAACTGTTTAAGGGGAGGGGCTCTATCAGATTTTGTCATCACCAGACTCCAGCACAGTGCAAAGCGCATTCTAGGCACTCAACAAATGTTGCTGAATGGGGTACCCAATCCAACAACCAATTCTTGAGCATCTACAGTGAGCCAAACACCATGTTAGGCTGGGGAATCACAAAGATCTCCCTGGGGAGGCTAATATTTAAATAGGGAGATGTTCAATGGAGAAGAAAAGTTTGATAATTATAAGAGAAGTAGCTATGGGTCTTAACAGCTCAGACCTAAGATAAAGAAATTGGGCTGGTGGCCCCCATCTATGAGCTTCCTGCTCCTCAAATTTTACCCTGTCAGCTACGCTTAATTCCCAATCCCCCGACCTGCTTCAACAGGAACACCATAAAGAGTGGTCCTAGGACAAAGAAAAGGCAGAAGGATGTCTGTGCCAACTTGCAAAAAGGAGTATCTCCCAAGTAGCATCCGGAATTCTTTCCAGGGTCAGCCTAGGGAAGCCCACAGAAATGACGTGGACGGCTAAATATTCCCCATGTAAACTCAACGACTCTGCATCCTCATGGAGGACAGGCATGTAGATCCTCCCAGAACAACTGCATAGTTTCACCTCAAGATGGGCTAAGGCCGGGTGTGGTAGCTCACGCCTGTAATACCAGCACCTTGGGAAGCTGAGGCAGGAAGACTGCTTGAGCCCCGTAGTTTGAGACCAGCCTGGGCAACACAGGAGACCTCATCTCTAAAAATAATAATAATAATAATAATGATAAGATGGGCTAAAACTACAGGGCAGGAGAAGGTCCCCAGTGAGGTGGACTTCCTCTAGGTAAGGAGCCTTCAGGATAGGGACTGGGCCACTGCTGCCATCTGGCCCAGCTGTGCGGGGAGGGTGAAATGACTGTTCAAAGTCTCTTTGGGTCTTTGGGTGGAAACAAGGATTTCTTGAATTCACGAAGCTGGCAAGGCTTTGAATCACAGCCCAGAACTGAGTTCCGCATTGCCAAGTCCACGTCTGAGAGAAAACAGCCTTATGCTCTACCTAAGAAACCAGATAAACACACTGCCTCAAGAAAAGACTTCCAGGAAGCGTCCCAGCAAAACAAAACCAAATCCCTTTCAAAACAGTGACCAGGTCCCGTGGTGTCAAGACGATAGCCTCGCTGTCCTTGTCTCCTGGTGCCCATCTCGGAGGCCTCCACGGGGCTTGCTGGGCCTGGTGCTTCACTCCCTACGTGGGGACAGGCGGGCCCTGGAGAAGATGTCATTAAAGTGTAATTTTAGAAGTGAAGGCATCTTGGGGATCATCTAGTTTCGCCCCTCCCTCAATTGATAGACAACTTCCTTCCTCTGAGCCTCTCCTGCGACCCTTAGAGAACGCAGGAAATTCACCACAGTAAGCAAAGACATGATGTCTTTATGACCAGGAGTTTGCAATTCTAGCTAATTACAGCCAACACTGGCTCGCTGCTGCGCTATGATTTGGAGTCTTAAAGCTTCTGTGTGGCTCAGCACTTGTGGTGGAAGAAAAAAGAAAAACGAAAGAACTCTGCAACAGAAACTGGGGGAGCACTTGCAGGCACATGTGTGCAGCAGGAGTCCCCGGCAGGACGCGGCTTAAAATCAGACACACATGGCCTGGCCAGAAACTGGGGCTGCTAATTAAGGCTCAGAAGTTTTGAAAGGAAGAGCTGGAGGGGAGGAAAAAAACCCAGCAACTTGTTAACAATTAGCAATCGGAATCCTTTTTTAAAAATAAGTCCTGGGACCCGTGGACAAGAGGGAAGTATTTTGCTGAGAAACCATCAAAACAGCACTACTCTGAGCATCCCTTCTGCCAGAAAGCTCAAAACGGTTGATCAATGTGAAATTACTTATTACTTTCCCACATGGGAGTCAGGGCGGACAATATTGTCCCTCATTTACATAACAGGGAGACAAAGTCACAGCAAAGCTTCTGCTTCCCTTTATTTCACTCTGGAAGGAATAACTGGACTAGCTAGAAATCCCTTAGCAAATATGACTTTGATTTTTCAAAGACCTTGTTGATACATCCTACAAGTGAAAGGGAAAACAGGAAGAATCTATGATCCCATTTGCTCATAGTTGCATAAAGAAATGTTGGTGCTGGGCACAGTGGCTCATGCCAGCAACTTTGGGAGGATGAGGTGAACAGATCACTTGAGGTCAGGAGTGCGAGACCAGCCTGGCCAACATGTGAAACCCCGTCTCTACTAAAAATACAAAAATTAGCCGGGCATGGTAGCAGACACCTGTAATCCCAGCTACTCGGGAGGCTGAGGCAGGAAAATTGCTTGAATCCGGGAGGCGGAGGCTGCAGTATGCCAAGATCGCGCCACTGCACTCTAGCCTGGGTGATAAAGCAAGAACTCAGTCTCAAAAAAAAAAAAAAAAAGAAGAAGAAGAAAGAAAAGAAATAAATGCCGAAAGGTGATCTTTTTATAGTTCATAAGCGTAATGACTGGGTGTTCACGTGCGTGTTTGAGATGTGCCACCCTCGAACCTTGTTACGATGTCGGTATATTACCCATCTGACATGAAAAGAAAAAAAAGAAATGCTAGAAGGATACCCAAGAAACAAATAAGAGTGGTTTCTTCTGGCAGGTGTGGAGACAACAGGGTGGATGAGCACAGAGGGAAGGGCAAACTTGTGTGTAAACCTTCCTATCATTTTGTTCTTTGAACCATGAGCATGTTTCCTATTAAATAATAAAATTAAGTGCAAATATATTCTATAGAAAAATGAAACAAGGGGCCGGGTGCAGTGGCTCACGCCTGTAATCTCAGCACTTTGGGAGGCTGAGGTGGGTGGATCATGAGGTCAGGAGTTTGAGACCAGCCTCGCCAACATGGTAAAACCCTGTCTCTACTAAAGATAGAAAAAATTGGCCGGCGTGGTGGTGCACACCTATAATCCCTGCTACTCAGGAGGCTGAGGCAGGAGAATCGCTTGAACCCGGGAGGCGGAGGTTGCAGTGAGCCAAGATTGAGCCACTGCACTCCAGCCTGGGCGACAGGGTGAGACTCTGTCTCAAAAAAATAAAAATAAAAATAGAAAAGAAAAATGAAACAAGCAATGGAGCCCCACTTTTCCTCCTGAGTAGGCTACATTTGCAGGAAATCCAGTACAGCATGCTCCTCCAACACTGTCTAAAGATGAGCTATGGAGAGGGAGTATAATGTCGCTACTGCACCTACAGAACGATGGGGAGACCAGACACCGGAAGGGCTCTTCTCCAGGGTACCCTGAATGTCGTGGGCTGAATCAGCACCACATTTTCCAAACCCTTGCCTCCTGACCACGGTTAAGGTTGGGCCCTCTCTGAAATGGTAGATACCTTGCACTCACATTTAACAAGGGCGAGGTACTCAAGTCATTGAGTTTGTTTCTTTTCTTTTCTTTTTTTTTTTTTTTTGTTTATGGTGCTATGCTCATCACAGCAACTAGAGTGATTTTATTAAAATCCAAATTTGAGGCCGGGCACGGTGGCTCACACCTGTAATCCCAGCACTTTGGGAGGCCGAGGTGGATGGATCACCTGAGGTCAGGAATTCCAGACCAGCCTGGCCAACATGGTGAAACCCTGTCTCTAGTAAAATTACAAAAATTAGCTGGGCATGGTGACGGGTGCCTGTAATCCTGGCTACTCGAGAGGCTGAGGCAGGAGAATTGATTGAATCGGGGGGTGGGGGTTAGGGGGTGGTGGGAGGTTGCAGTGAGCTGAGATCGTGCTACTGCACTCCAGCCTGGGGGAAAGAGCAAGACTCTGTCTCAAAAATAAATAAATAAATAAATAAAATAACATACAAATTTGAGCCTGTTCTTCGAACACTCCCAGTGAGTCCCAAGTGCCTTTCCTCCAGGCAAAGTCCTCATCCCTTGGCATGGGGCTTATGAGTCTTAGGATCTTAGGATGCCGCTCACTGGACTCTCCACTTCACCTCCCACTTCCTTTTCATGCAGCACATTCCCCACTTTCTGTCATTTCCTGCACATGCTGGAGTTGTCATGCCTCTGTGGCCCTGTGTGTGCTGTTGCCTCTCTCTGGAATGCCGTTCCCCTTTCCCCCATCTGGTGAATTGCTAATGACATTTTAAGATCAAATGCTACTACCTCCTCTAAGAAGCCAGTTCAGGCCTGGCCCAGCCCATCCATGGCACACAGCTGGCCGCTCCTCTGTGTCCCCGCAGTCCTCTGATTTTTCCTCTATTACAGCGTTCCCTATGTCAACAGCAACTTTACATGGCAGTGGTCTGTTTTCATGCCTGTCTCCCAGCAAACTGTGAACTCCTGCAAGGTGGGCCCCTGGTGGTTGCCTCTATGCCCTCTATGCCACAGTGGTGGACCCAGAACATGATGTTTGTCAAACAACAGTGAAGTTAGCACTTATGCCGCAACTTCTACATGCCTGCCCCGATTCTAAGCACTCCACACATAATAATTCATCTGCTCCTCGCCAAAACCTGAAGAAGTAGGTACCAGTGTCATCATGATCTTACCGATGAGTACACCGAGGCACAGTGACAATTACAAAGCTAGTAAGTGGCAAAGCCAGATATGGAATCCAGGAAGTCTGCCTCCAGAGCTTAGGCTCTTAACTCTATGTAATAATATCTATCAATAGATGAATGAACGAAATAACCAGAAATCAAACTCCCATTCCTAAGGCAAAGGTCCTCCAGGTTCCAATTTCTAAAATCCCAAGAATAGCTGCCACACTGGGAATCTGGGATGAGGGGACCACCCACCAAAGTCCACATAAGCATTTAAACTCCGGGAGCTCCCAATGACACAGAACCAGCTAGGACAAAAGAGCCCTGCTCTCAAGTTACTTTTACACACTGACATAGCCTCACCCAGAAGCACCAGAAAATCCACTCAAAGTTTCCCATAGCCACCCCCAGGGCCACCCTGCCTCCTTCCTATTACAATGAAACTTGAGATTTTTGAGGTTTCTTCATGATGATCTAGCTCCAAAACACAATGCACATGGAAACAGGAAAGGTTTACCACTAACTCTCTAAGCCACCGGCCCATGGTTTCTACCCGGTGCTCTTTGGGACTCTTTCTTGGAACTGGGCTGAAACATCCCTTGGGCCTGCCTGCCACTGTTGTCTGATGGGCCCAGATAACTGACAAGGATGGATACTTTGAGACACTTGCCTGGGGCCTGCCTTTCCACCACCTTCTCCAAATCTGCTTATTGCTGCTCGCAGGGAAGAACAGATGAATTTGGCCTTTTGCTGGTGAGCAAAGCAGAGTATGAGAAGAAACCAACACCCCTGGGACAACTGATAGATGGGAGAATGCGTCTCCAAGGGAGATCACGTGGAAATGAAATCAGGTTTGGAGACAAAGGCTTTAGGCTGGAGACTTGGCTCTACTATTCACTAACTTAAGGACTTAGGTTATTTACCATATTTGAGTCACATCTGCAAAGGAGGTTAACGGCTTCCTCATGTGTTGTGATGAACAAATGAAATATTATATACAAAAGGGCTTTGTAATCTGAACAGTGGTTTCCAAGCCTGGTTAATTGTCAGAAATGACAAAGGATTTTTTTTTTAATTACAGATTTCTGATCCTCTTAAGCCTACTGAATTAAAATCGCCAGGAGGAGCCCAGGAATCTGTATTTTCAGAAACTTTCTGGGAGCTTCTGAAGCATAACCACAACTCTAAAGCTCTGTGCAAAGGCTGGCAGTATTATAGCCCCATGGCGAAAGAAATACCAGGTCTGGGCCGGGCGCGGTGGCTCACGCCTGTAATCCCAGCACTTTGGGAGGCCGAGATGGGCGGATCATGAGATCAGGAGATCGAGACCATCCTGGCTAACATGGTGAAACCCCGCCTCTACTAAAAATACAAAAAATTAGCCAGGCATGGTTGCGGGCACCTGTAGTCCCAGCTACTCGGGAGTCTGAGGCAGGAGAATGGCATGCACCTGGGAGGCAGAGCTTGCAGTGAGCCGAGATCATGCCACTGCACTCCAGCCGGGGGGACAGAGCGAGACTCCATCTCAAAAAAAAAAAAAGAAATACCAGATCTGAATATTATGCTTAAAGGGTAACCCCCTAGAGCTGTCAGACTTTCATGTGAAGAATTTCTAAGGAATGTAACTTCACTATGGATATTCAGAAAAGAAGCCCAATTTTCTACCAAGCTGGAGCTTAGAGACCAAAGAACTCAGGAAGAGCAGTTTTCTCCTTGGATATCTAGATGGTTCCTTCTGCCACTGAGCACTCTCCTAGACAAAGAACAGTCTCAAAATATCCAGAGACACACAGACATTTCCCGTCTCTCTCAGTATCTGGCAGAAGCAGGAGAACCAGAAAAAAGATGTTGCAAGTTAGAAATGGACCCGTGCAGCAAAAGACAATCTTCAAGTGTTTGAGACCTGTACTTGGGTTCCTGGAGTGCAGGAGAGAACCAGGACACCTATCAGTAATTAGGAGAGGCAGAATGTTTAAGTCAAAGTCTTGCAAGGCGAGGAAGCAAGAGAGCATGAGGGCGGAGCTCTAGGTCCCACTGGGCCATCCACCAAGGGCAGCCTTCAGCTGGTCACTACCCTCCCTGTGCCTCTGTCTTCATCTGTAAAATGTGATACAACTTGTCTACTGCAGGAAGCTTTGTGAGCTTCAAACAAAATAACAGATGCAAAAGGTTGCAGGGCCCTGGGAGAGGGCAAATACCATGTGATGTCTTTATTCTTCAAAAGTATGATGACTAATGCATTATACCACAGATATGAACATTCTCCCAAGAATCAAAAAGTCTGTGTAACTGGTTCATCCAATAAACAGTGTCTTCTATGAATGTCATTCTTTGACTCCTTAAGAAAAAGAAGCCTCTCTCTGCTAAGAGGCATCCCCAAAGAACAGAGTAGCATGTTTCTAAATTTCACCCAATAGCAGTGAAATGCATTAACGGATTTGCCAATGAGCTACTAAGCCTAAGAAGTTATGTTAGGAGACCTGGAAAAGAAGGGTTAAAAGTGAGCAACCTCACTAGGGTAAAAAGGAAAGATCCTGGAAGGCTTTTGGAAACCACTAAGTAACAAATGTAGCTCCCACCTCCCACCCACGCACCACTGGAAATAACTTTAAATAATGCATCTGAGAATGTCTGCAGAACAGGCAGTCTGGATTAAGGACTTTTAAAGGGATGGTGTTTGAACAAGGATTCTTTCAGGGAAACCATCTTGAGAATTACTGAACTCTCAGGCAAGCTCACTCTGACAAATATCCTTAAGCAAGCTTTGAGCTAGAGCTGAAATCCTGGTGTGGTAAATATCATCATACGGGAAAGCAATTTATAGCAAAAAAGATTTAGTGGTCCTCCCAGCCACCACATTCCCACTCCCACCCCCCCGTAGTGCTGTGGAAGATTTGCTTACTCTAAGTGAACAGAATTCCATAAAGAGCTTGGCTGGTCAGTCAGCATCTGTTGTAGAAACTGACCTAGAGTCATTCATTCTTTTTTTTTTTTTTTTTTTTTTTTGAGACACAGTCTTGCTCTGTTGCCCAGACTGGAGTGCAGTGCCGCGATCTTGGCTCACTGCAAACCTCCACCACCGGGTTCAAGCGATTCTCCTGACTCAGCCTCCAGAGTAGCTGGGACTACAGGCACACGCCACCACGCCTGGCTAATTTTTTGTATTTTTGGTAGAGACGGGGTTTCACCGTGTGAGCCGGGATGGTCTCCATCTCCTGACCTTGTGATCTGCCCACCTCGGCCTCCCAAAGTGCTGGGATTACAGGCGTGAGCCACCGCGCCTGGCCGAGTCATTCATTCTTTTAACATCTACTATGTGTCAGACATTTTTCTAGCCTTGGGGATATAGCAGAGAAAAAAAAAATACAAAGATTTTTGACCTCATGCAGTTTATATTCTAGGGGAGAGGACAGTTATAGTAAGCGTTTTGGAAAAAATAAGGCAGGGAAGGGTGGGAAGGGATTCCTATTTTGCATGGAAAGATTAGATAAAGGTAATGAATGAGTCAGGGAGGGAGAGCTCTGTGGATAGCTGTGTGAAGAGCCTTCCTGGAAGAGCAAGCACAAAGGCCCCAGGCAATGGCGTGTGTAGTGTATTCAAGGAACAAAGAATAGACCATGTGGCTTCAGCTGAATGGGCAAGGAGGTACATGCTAGGAAACAGATTCAGAGAGGTAGCAAGGGAACACCCTAGAGACAGGAAGGCTTTAGATTTAACTTTGTAACACAGAGAACGTTGGGGCATTTTGAGCAGTGGAGTGATTCCATCTGCCTTACACTTTGAAAGGATCTCCAACTATTCTGATGAGAAGAGACTACAAGAAAGCAAAAGCCAAAACAGGGAGACCAGTTTGGAGGCAATTGCAATAATACAAGCAAGAGAGAATGCCAGGGATTTGGATCTGTGGAAGCGGCGAAGCTGACAGATTCACTGATGGACTGGATGGAAAAAGTGAGGCGCTAAGGGTGACTCCAAGGCATTAGAATGAACATCTGGAAGAAAGAGTTATCCTGCTTGGAGATGACAAGACTGTGGGAGGACCCATGTTTGAGATGCCTATTTGACATCCATAGGAGATGCTGAGTACGGAGTCTGGAAAATGGGAGAGAGGACTGGGTGGGGGATGTAAGTGCAGGAGTTGTCAGCATATGGATAGTACATAAAGCCAGGAGTTTGGAGACTACTATGGGGGTGAGTTTAGACAAAGGAGAGAAGGGGTCCATGGTTTTCAGCTGAGGGCTCTCCAATATTTACAGGTGAGGAGATGAGGAAGCCAGCCAAGGAGTTGGAGCAGAAGCAGGCACTGCAGTAGGAGGACTAAGAGAGAAGAAACTCCTAGAAGCCAAGGGTCTTTAAGGAAGCATCGAGAGAGGACTGATCGCCTGCATCCAATGCTGCTGATGGAGGATGGAATTGCTCACAATATATGGCACTACTGTGGCCATTAGTGACCTTGATGACAGCAGCTTTGGGGGGCAGTGTGACAGAAGCCTGATTGAAATAAGTTTAAGAGAAAAGAGGAGGATAGGAAGTGGAAACAGCCAGTAGAGACAACTTGTTTGGGAAGTGTTACTGTTCAAGAATCTGATTTAACACTTTAGGTTTTGCAAGAAGAGAAACAGATGAAATGATCTTTCCAGCTACTAAGGCTGATTATTACTACCTTTGCTGGGAGGCTCCTTGACCTATGTGATGGGATACATAGATGCCTGGTTCTGATGAACTCATGATGTGAACCACAGGTTTTTCCCTCTCAGAGACTTATTTTAAGGAGGACGAAGGGGAAAAGACAAGGAGAGAGTAATGAAAGAAAGGGACAAGAAAAATGGTAAGAAAGACTTTTAAAGAGTTTCAAGCCATGTTAAGTTTCCTAAACCATTTCTTTTCCATTGCAAACATCACTAACATAACTCCCAAATTTCCTGGTTAAATTTAGCACAGATGTAAAATTTTGAGCACTGGTGGACATGGGTATCTAAACCAATCATCTGATGAGGAAATTGAAGCTTAGAGAAGGGAATTGACTTCCGGGCACTCCCAATTATTAGCCGCGTGGTCTTAGACAAGTTACTTTTAACCTCAGCGTGTTAGTTAATCCATCTGTAAATTGGCAGTGTAAGAATACCCATCACCAATCTAACGTAATCATGCTTAGATTGTTCGAACAGCAGCTATCACATGGTAATACTCAGTAAGTGTTTTTTATTTATTTTTGAGAGACGGTCTCAATCTGTCGCCCAGGCTGGAGTGCAGTGGATCAATCATGGCTCACTGCAGCCCCAGCCTCCTGAGCTCTGGTGGTCCTCCTGCCTCAACCTCCCAGGTTTCTGGGACTACAGGCATGTAGCAAAATGCCCAGCTAATTTTTTGTATTTTTAGGTGAGACGGTGTTTCACCATGTTGCCCAGGCTGGGTTATTCTTTATTTCTGTTGCCCAAGTCACGTGGAGGAATTGTGTCAGATTGGAGTAAGAAGAGGATGATTCTACCTTATCCCTCCCGCCACAAAACACACACATGCGCTATGAGTTAGCTTTTCATTTCTGACCCTCTAATATCCCTTTTTTGGGGCTCCAATCAAAAAGACTTTTCTTTATTCCATACTATGAATATAAAAAGTACTATAATTGAGGACCTGCTGGGTGCAGTGTTAATTTGCTTTTACATATGTCATCATACTTAATCCTCACACAATCCCTACTATCCCATTTCCCCCCTAAATATCCCATTTGATGGATCAAGAAGCCAGTGTTCAAAGCTTCAATAACTTGCCCAAGGTCACACGGCTGGAGATGGCAGATTCAAACCTGGAGTCTGAGACTCCACATCCTTTCACAAGTCTGCCCAATAATATAACACTAGTACCCAATGCCATGCACTGACTTAGTGACTTGCAAGGAATCTGAGGCGCCAGGGCTCTATGTTAAGTAGTTTTAGAACAAGAAATGCTTCATCCGAAATGTATTTTAAACATTAGACTAGGTAGGTATGCATCCACTTTCTTGGACGTGTTTAAAACTTGGGTGAGGCCGGGCATGGTGGCTCACACCTATAATCCCAGCGCTTTGGGAGGCCAAGGCGGGAGGATCACTTGAGGTTAGGAGCTCGAGGCCTGCCTGGCCAACATGGTGAAACCCCGTCTCTACTACTAAAAATACAAAAATTAGCCAGACTTGGTAGTGGGTGCCTGTAATCCCAGCTACTTGGGAGACTAAGGCAGGAAAATTTCTTGAACCCAGGAGGCGAAGGTTACGGTGAGCCAAGATGGCGCCACTGCACTCCAGTCTGGGTGACAGAGTGAGACTGGTGACAGAGTGAGACTTGTCCGAAAAAAAAAAAAAGAAAGAAAGAAACTTGGGTGAGAAATCCACGTACAGTTGAATTTATTCTCACCAGGCAAGGACTGGCCTAGTGTCATGGGGGGTGGGGGACAGTAGGGGAAGGGAACAGGAAGTCATTTGCTGGTGGTTGACCGGGCCCCCTGTGACTTCTCAGAGTTATAGAACTGCCACCAACAGTCACAGCAGTTCCTGGAGAACAACGAGAAACTTGGGGTCAGCCAGAAGGCACCTGTGGTGATATCACGAGGTACAGCGGTGGAAAATACACACTTTCTAAGGGGCTGTTTCCCCACTTTGCTGAACACAGGGTACCAGAGAAACTAATTATAGCCACTGAGGGCAATTGACATTTACAAGCATCCGTGCTGTGTGCAGTGCTTCTCCCTCTACTGATCTGTGGCCAGAGCCACGCCTAATGCATGTGGTGGAGGCCACAGGATCCAGGCAGCCTGGGTGTGACAAGGACATCCTCCTCCCTACCCCTTCTTACTGCCAGGAAATCTCTCACACTACTGCAGGTCTGCTATATTCTGATGTGATTATCTCCTCGGACTGTGGGGTAGCATCACTTCCTCAGGGGCAGAGAGGGAACCTGGCCCTTCCGCTATCGGTTAGTCCAGGAAGTGGTGGTTCTTAGGACAGGCAATGAGGATTTGGAAGGAAGGCCTTAGGTGGGAGAAGAAGAGAGAATCTCCATGTCTCTGGGCCTTGCTTTCTTATGCTAGTACTCCCAGGAGTCTGGCAAAACTTGAGGACTTTTCTGGGGGCGAGAGGACAGGGATCTCTGTCATACAGTGGTAGCTTTGAGGGAACCCCCTGAGAATGGGCTGGTCCTAAGCATAGTCCTGATCCTGAGCTGCTAGTAAAGTCTTGTTCAGTTTGTTACACCTTGGCCTCGGCTGTGCTATGGGAAATTAAGGCATCAATCTGTGTGACTACTTAGACAGGACGGGAGAAGGGGAGATGAGGCTATAATCATCCTGATTCCATCTAACATCTCCAAATTGTGAGGCTAGAAGAGCCATGACCGACAGCTTCTACCGAGAGAAAAGGCAAGGCTTTTGTCTTTCTCTTCCTTCCAGCAAAGCTTTCTGGGGCTCCCCTCTTTAGCCTGGTCTGCTGTTCAAGATTCAGAAAACTGAACTGGACTCCTTAGACAGGAATTTTACAGAACTGGGTGACATTGTGGTTGCATTACCTGCCTTCAGGTGGAGAAAGGACATGTCTGCAACCCAAACCTCCTTACAGAGCGGGGCAGACTGAAAGCTCTGAGCAAGGTCTCCCACAGGCAACCTTGCCTCAGGAGGTGAAAGGACATCCTGATGTCCCAAGTCTCTGGGTGGACAGCGATTCCCCATGCAAGAGGCCACACAAGGGATATTAGAGGGGCAGAGATGAAAAGCTAACTCACGGCATATGTGTGTGTTTTGTGGAGGGAGGATAAGGTAGAATCATCCTCTTCTTACTACAATCTGACACAATTCCTCCATGTGACTTGGGCAATAGAAATAAAAAATAACCCAGCCTGGGCAACATGGCAAAACACCGTCTCTACTAAAAATACAAAAAAATTAGCTGGGCATTGTGCTACATGCCTGTAGTCCCAGCAAGCTGGGAGGTTGAGGCAGAAGGACCACATGAGCTCAGGAGGCTGGGGCCGCAGTGAGTCATGGATTGAGCCACTGCACTCCAGTCTGGGCAACAGAGTGAGACCCTGTCTCAGAGCTCTCCTCTGCAGCTGAGATCCCCCTTCCTCTCGCAGTTCTCACCAGCCCCAGCTTGCTGCTACTACCGTGCAGTTTTTCTGCCCCCACAGAGGGACACTGCATCACGATCAGGAAATTCCACCTCCTCGTCCTCTCTCCACAGTCCCTGCTGCCTCTAATCCAATACTGGAAAGAGAAAGCTGAAACAGGGACAAAGAAAGGAAGCACTTGAATCTCCTCTGTTTCTGGAGCATTTTCAAATGACAGGAAAATGTAATTTTGACTACAATTCAAGGGGTTGAACACCATGACCCTCTAGTCCTTGGCGGAGGAGTGCTGCCTCTGTCAGCAAATAGTGGCAAAGCCAGGGGACCACGGTGGAGGCTGGAGACCTCTCTCTTTGTGGTTACAGAACCTGGCAATGGCTGGGAAGCCATATGTTGTGTTCTGAGACTCAAGCATAAACTTCTGCTGGATGTTTGGATTTTGGTTTTTTAATTATCCCCTGTTTTGAGAGAGACAAAAGGGGTGTGTGTCTATGTGTGCTTTGAAGGAAGTAGGGGAACAGATGGGTGGAGAGAATAG
The DNA here is from genome assembly GCF_000001405.40 of Homo sapiens. Taxonomy (NCBI): domain Eukaryota; kingdom Metazoa; phylum Chordata; class Mammalia; order Primates; family Hominidae; genus Homo; species Homo sapiens. The sequence continues at coordinate 122,715,619 of NC_000011.10, read as the reverse complement.
AAAGAGGAGAGGAGCCGTCATTACTGGGCTTTCGGATCCGTGTTTCTCCAGCAGTTTCTGCTGTGTCTCTTTGGTGACACATTGGGTAAATGGCCCTAAAAGATGATAGCTATGCCAAAGCTACAACAGCCTCAGAGGTTCTATTGATTCAGAAGCTTTCTGGATTGTCTCTGCCGTAGCATATGCACCACCTCATTCTTAACAGACACTGACAGCAGCGCTACAACTGTTTTGAAGGAGGCAACTTTTGATGGCAGCAATGCAAGGTCTGTCCAGACCATGAAGTCCCACCTCAACCGCCAATCAATAATAAGACATGACATCTTAAGTGTTATTTAAATGCTAAGCACTGTGTCAGCATTTAACATTTATCTCGGCTGGGCGCAGTGGCTCATGCCTGTAATCCCAGCACTTTGGGAGGCCGAGGCGGGCGGATCACGAGGTCAGGAGATCGAGACCATCCTGGCTAACACGGTGAAACCCCGTCTCTACTAAAAATACAAAAAATTAGCCGGGTGTGGTAGTGGGCGCCTGTAGTCCCAGCTACGCGGGAGGCTGAGGCAGGAGAATGGCGTGAACCCGGGAGGCGGAGCTTGCAGTGAGCCGAGATCACGCCACTGCACTCCAGCCCGGGCGACAGAGCGAGACTCCATCTCAAAAAACAACAAGAACAACAACAAAAAATTTATTTCATTTAGTCTTCAGAACAACTCTATGACATGGGTACTAAAATTGCACTCACTTTACAGATGAGAGAAGGAGAAGGTAAATACTTTGTACAAGGTTATGCAGATAATGAGTGCATCCCGGGCTCAGACACAGGCTTGCCAGACACCTCTGTTCTTCAACACCATCCTACCCTGCCTTCCCATCATCAGCTGACATTGCTTCACTCTGTGCGAAGATGGAAAGAGGAAGCACATTTCAGGCTTAATTCTCACCATCAGTATCTTCAGTTTTACTGATGAGGAAACTGAGGGTCACAAGTTGTGAAGCAATCTGTCCAAAGTCACACGACCGTGAAGCAGCAGAACCAGGAGTCAGAGCCAGGACTGAGTTCAATCCTTCACTCTCTCCATTTTACCCCGCTGCCTCTGGGCCAAATACCTGGAAAAAGAGGTCTGCCTCTCACTTGCTTCAGGTTTTAAAGTAAAAGCAGAAGAGGAAGTTCAGAAGGTGTTCTTCTTCAGTGTCCCCTAAATATGAGATTTTGAGAAAGGCTTGACCCTAAGGGCCAATAGGTAGCAATTTCAGGAAGGCCGATTTAGAGAGAATTGAATGGCCTTGTAAGGTAGTGAGCTCCCCAAGAATGGAGGAGTTCAAGCGCAGTCTTGATGACTGTGGCAACACTGTAGACAGCAATTGTTGTTTTGGCTGTCCAGTATCTAAGCACTCTTCTTATTTAGGGGAATCCCAATATGAGCGAAGGGGGAGCCCCACTAAAGAAACTGATGGGGCAGATGTTCTGTCTTTCAGCTTCCTGACAGATGATGCCCAGCATATGACTTAGACGAAGGCAATCAACTACTCCCATTAAAGACTTTGGAACCTAAGGTGACCAAGAGTGGAGGGGTCACGGCAAGTGTCTGCAGCAGTGTCCTTGACTCCTGCCTGTTTCCAGAGTCTGATTATCCATGCCCCTGATAGTTCTGTGAGCCACCTAAACTCGTTTCCTGCTTAAGTTATCCAGAGGTGGTTTCTAACCTGGATATAAACATCTGATGGAAGGCTGCACTGGATGAGGTCACAAAGCCAGCTGCATATCTGAGTTACTGGTGGAGTTCAGTAAAAATACAGATTCCCATGTTCCCCAAGACCTACTGGATCAGAATTTTCAGGAATAACCCTGAACATTCATTTTTTTTTTTTTTTTTGAGATGGAGTCTCGCTTTGTCGCCCAGGCTGGAGATGACTGACATGTGGCCAGATTTGGGAGTGGCTGAGATAAATAAACTTTAGGGCCCCCAAAATAAAATACTATGATTTTCAAAAAAACTCTTACCAAGAATTTGGCCATGGCTCTCAGAAAAATGCAACATGCCTATAGTTTCTTTATAATTGCTAACATAAAGCTTATCTTTTTGGACAAATCACACACACTCCTAAGAGGCTAAAGCTGTAATATATCTTCTATTTCCATAGGATATTCCTTCCAAGGCCTTTTGCATCTACAGATCTATTATCACAGTTGATGTAACTTCCCACCTTCCTCAGGTGGGTGAGATCCATGATTTCACATGCATTCGTCTGATGCCGCAGAGTCAGCTGACCACATGGCTTTTTACTTCCCAAACCAAAGCCTCTCTTCGTCGTGTGGCTATTCTTGGGATCTACAGTGCACCTCCTGTGTGCCCTAAAGAGAGCTTCATCCCATGTGAGCCTCAACTCCTCTGTGTGAAAATGAGGAACACTGGGCCGGGTGCAGTGGCTCACGCCTGTAATCCCAGTACTTTGGGAGGCCGAAGTGGGCGGATCACAAGGTCAGGAGATCAAGACCATCCTGGCTAACATGGTGAAACCCCGTCTCTACTAAAAATACAAAAAATTAGCTGGGCGTGGTGGCGGGTGCCTGTAGTCCCAGCTACTCGGGAGGCTGAGGCAGGAGAATGGCGTGAACCCAGGAGGCGGAGCTTGCAGTGAGCCGAGATCGCACCACTGCACTCCAGCCTGGGCGACAGAGCGAGATCCATCTCAAAAAAAAAAAAAAAAAAAAAAAAAAAAAACCACCCAGAGAAGAAAGATGAATGTCCAGTCAGCTTCCTGGGGCTCAGCTCAGAGATGTACATCCCTGTACCACTATTCCTCATTCATCCAGGAGCAAAATCCCCTCTTCTCCTGCAAATGTAACTGCTGTTAAGAAGCTGCACTTGGTAGTGGAGTTCTATATACTTCAGGGCGTTTGCTTTTGTTTGTGCAACACCACAGGTAGGAAGGTACCTGTGAAACCCATGGAGTTCTCCTCTTGCCTCCCAGCTAGTCAGGGCTGTTGGGTACTTTCTGGGGTAGAAATTCCCTAGCTTCCCTTGGTGACCCTCCTGGTGCTCAACAGGATGCAGAATGTGAGGGAAAAAGAGCGAGCACCAACAGGACCCTGGTTTATGCCTATTACTCAGGGCCAGGATGGAAGCAAGCATGAGAGCCCCTGGGTCCATTTGGGCTGCTGAGAAAGCCCCTCTCGTGTGACGTGCGTCCCCCACCAAGGAAGCATCCAAGTCCACCCTGGGTGTGTATCTACCCAAGCAGCTCCTTAGGAAAGTCAGCAGACCTCCCACCTCCTCATGCTGGAGCTTCATGTCAGCTACCGCCCTCCAGAGGACTTTGAGGACAATATGGCCATCTGGTTTCTGTACAATCTGCATCCGTATAGTGCTCATAAACTTATCTTCCAGCTCGTTCAAAATGTACACAGCTGAATTCTACTGCTGACTTTGGCACTTGCTCCTGGTATCTGAGAAGAACAGATTCAATTAAAAAGGAAATAACAGATGCTGCAAATCACTCCCTCATTTTCAGAGAAGTTTTTTCCCCCTAGTGCCCTGAATTACTTGATGATGAACAGCAATGCAGTAAAAAAAAAAAAAAAAATGCAGCTGGCATGACAACTTCCAACTTGGCTTCAAACCAAGGGGAAGCTGCGGGCTGTCCTTTCTAGATGGTCTTTATGCCCGGCACATTCCTTTCTTTGGTATGGGTATTATTGTGTAGAGAACTTGGCTGGAAGTAAAGGGATAGAAAAAAATGAACCCTGGGGTTCTTTTAGCCTTAAGATTCTTTGCTATTACTCACTCTTCCTCACAGTATCTTTGTGAGGGGTGTATGTAGTCAGTGGGACATTGAAGGCAGGATTAGTATTCCCATTTTAGAGATGGAAATGCAAAGGCCCAAGGACAGCAGGTTATTTGCAAACTCCAGTAAAGGAAATTGGTTCTATCAGAAAACCTTGATTCTTTTTCCACATGCACCTGTGCCCGTTACACAGCATGAGGTAGTAATGAGGCCAAGGCCAGGCTGAAGTGCCCGGGGGCATGCTCAGGAGACTTAGAGGCATACACGCACTCCCGGCACATGTCCTTGCAAGGCACTTAAAGGCTGCCAGTGCCCGGCCTTCCTCGGCTCCGTTCAGGCCTGCTTATCACATCCTGCCCTGTGCTCAGCTTCACTCTGCCTGAGTCTTGTGAGCCTCCCTTGGACTCAGGGGTGACCATCTTGTTATTGATGACTTGTGATGGGACCCACGTGGCTGGAGAGTGACGAAAGAAAAATGGAAGGAAAGAGATGCATTTGGAATAGGGTCTGATTACCTCTCCTCTCTTTCCCTAAGCACTAAAATGATTACGAATTCCAAGGTTTGGACAGGAGATGGGGGACCCCCAAAAATGTCTGCTACAGAGATTTTGGGAGCCTGGGACTGCAAGATTAGGAGCTCCCTTGCCAGAGTGTATAAAGAGGAAGGGTGGGGGCTCTCTTCTGGAGAATTAACTGAGGAGATTCTGCCTGGACACTGAAGCACAGAGTCAGGAGAGCCCAGGCTTCCTTCCATGAATCTCGTTTCCAACAGTCATCAGAGAACAGGGCTCCCACACTTCCTAACCCATTGACTTTGCTGGGACCTTATTTTCTGAAACAAGAGTCAAGACCAATGTTTCCTCTATGGCCTGTCAATGAAAAGGGATGATTTGAAAATTATGATTATCCCTGAAAATCCAGGGTATATGCCTTTATGTTCCCATGGCTGCTCTACCATCTCCACCCCCACCACCCTGCCCCCAGGACAAAGCCTACCCACCTGGGGTTCCTCTCCTTATGGAATGAGAGTCAAAAGCTCTAGGGAAGTGGTATGCGGCATGGGCTTTCTGTGTTCCCATTGCCTACCAATTCTACATGCCCCGTCCCCCTCCCCAATTCTCCCCAGCAGGCCCTTATGGGGCAGCTTCCACCCCCTATACCACTTCTACTTTGGTGCCTTTATTTGTCCATTTTTGGCTATATCGGCATTAGCTATGATTTAGCAAGATCACACGCTTCTGGAGGCAGAGATTGAGGATACCACGACCAGATGGATGGATGAACGTTTGACTTCTGGCTCTGCCACTTTTCAGGTGGGGGAGATCATGTCTGGTCCTTAATGTCCCTGAGCCTTCTTTTCAAGAAATGGGATGAGACTGGACCTGCCTTGCAGGGTGGTTGTGATGACACAGAGATAATGTGTGCAGAAGGCAGCACAATGCCTGGCTTGTAATAAGCGTGCACAACAATGGTGGCCCCACCATCTCTCCAACCACCAGCCCGCTCCGGGACTTGCTCTTTCGCCTCCTCCTAAATGCCTTTCCTAAACTGCATTTACCTCTGTCTTCTAACTGTTGGCCTTATCTTTCTTCTGCTCTGAGAACCTAGAAGCTAGACCATGTTGTTTATTATGATTATCTTAAATCCATGATTCAGAATGCTTTTTTTTTTTTTTTTTTTGAGACAGTCTCACTCTGTCGCCCAGGCTGGAGTGCAGTGGTATGACCTCGGCTCACTGCAGCCTCTGCCTCCTGGGTTCAAGCAATTCTCCTGCCTCAGCCTCCCAAGTAGCTAGGATTATAGGTGCCCGCCACCATGCCTGGCTAATTTTTGTAATTTTAGTGGAGACGGGCTTTCACCATGTTGGCCAGGCGGTCTCGAACTCCTGGCCTCAAGTGATCTGCCTGCCTCAGCCTCCCAAAGTGCTGGGATTACAGGCGCGACCCACAGCCCCTGGCCTCGAGAATGCTCTTTTGATCTAGGCAAATGAATGAACTAACAAATGAACAAACACATAAACCAAAAACAGGTTAGAGCTCTAGTTTTTGAGACCGTGTGATAATCTCTTCCAGAACTCTAGGAGAAAAGGCTAGGTGGGGACTCAAATTCCTCCCTTGCAAAAGCCTTAGATTAGATAATTCCACCCAGGATGTCAGGAATGCTTGATGACTTGGAGCATTTCTGCTGATTGTAGGCCTATACCCAGAAAGAGTTAACCAGCAGCTGCTGGGTTTATTTTCATTCTCTTTAATAAGGGAATCAAAGCAGCAGGACACAAACACACTGAATCTCTAATCACTCCAACACCCACACATGTTCCCCATCCCCTTCTGATTTAGTAAAGTCAAAGCTCGCTTACCACGCAATACATTTGACTGGCTTCTACAGCGGCTCACTTGTAAGTGATGAAATCTCAGCTTTTCCCCCAAACCTTTATTCCTGAAAGTCCATCATTACCAAATTCTTCCCCTGGAATAGATATTGGTATTGCCCTCTTGCTGCAGCCTCTTTTACAACGTAGACATGAAGGTGGGGCTGGGGATGGGAAAGTGAAGACTTCTAAGTCTCCAATAACATAGTTTGTTTTGAGACAGGGTCTCGCCTTGCTCTGTCACCCAGGATGGAGTGCAGTCGTGTGATCATGGCTCACTGCAGCCTTGCCAGGCTCAAGTGATTCACCCATTTCAGCCTCCTGAGGAGCTGGGACCACAGGCATGTGCCACCACACCCAGCTAATTTTTGTAGTTTTTGTAGAGACAGTGTTTCACCATGTTGCCCAGGCTGGTCTCGAACTCCTGGGCTCAAGCCATCTGCCAGCCTCAGCCTCCCAAAGTGCTAGGGTTACAGGCATGCACCACCGTACCTGACCATGAATGAGTTTATCATGTTTAAGTTGGCTGGGTTCTGCATTAAGGGAAGGTGATGGGAAATGACCATGTACTGAACACTGGCTAGATACATTATATACATGTTCTCATTTCTCAGTAACTGTGACAGAAGGATTATTATATGCTTTCGGCTGGTGAGAAAAATTGAAACCTAAAATGGGAACTTGCCCCATATTACATGGCTCCTGGAAGACAGAGCCAAGACTCATGCCAACATCATACTTAGAGATGCCTGACTCCAAAACCTGCGTGGATCTTTTTGAGGGATGCAAGTGAATGGTGCTGTCTATTTGGCAATAAAACTTTTTGGAAGAATGAATGAATAAATAGGTTACCAAAAGCCAAACAAGAAGGCCGGGCACAGTGACTCACACCTGTAATCCCAGCACTTTGGGAGGCCAAGGTGGGCGGATCACTTGAGGTCAGGAGTTCAAGACCAGCCTGGCCAACATGGTGAAACCCTGTCTCTACTAATAATACAAAAAAATTAGCTGGGTGTGGTGGTACATGCCTGTAATCCCAGCTACTCGGGAGGCTGAGGCAGGAGAATTGCTTGAACCTGGGAGGCGGAGGTTGCAGTGAGCCGAGATTGTGCCACTGCACTCCAGCCTGGGTGACAAGAGTGAAACTCCATCTCAAAAAAAAAAAAAAAAAGCCAAGCAAAGTTCAAAATGACTTAACAAAACTCCTTGGAGAATAGTCAGCATCTCACCTCTAAGGAGCAACCTCTCCTAGCCTCTCTTCTCTAGCATGTTGAAGATGGTGGTGAGAACCTGCTCTTAATTCCTTTCCTTTGGACACTGAGTCTCCAAAGAGTAAGTGGCTTGGAACTAAAGCCCAGTTTTCAGATTTCTGGCTCAGTGTGTTTCCTAGTATTATGATGTCAGGAGAAGAGATAGCCAAAGAAGAACTCTATCGTAGTATTCAGGCATCATAAATTATATATTAGAGGCCAGGTGCAGTGGGTTCATGCCTGTAATCCCGGCACTTTGGGAGGCCAAGGCAGATGGATCGCCTGAGGTCAGGAGTTCGAGACCAGCCTGGCCAATATGGTGAAACCCCATCTCTGCCAAAAATACAAAAATTAGCTGGGTGTGGTGGCGCACACCTGTAATCCCAGCTACTCGGCTGTGGCAGAAGAATCGCTTGAACACAGGAGGCGGAGGTTGCAGTGAGCCAAGACTGCGCAACTGCACTCCAGCCTGGGTAACAGAGCGAGACTCCATCTCAAAAAAAATAAATAAATAAAAATAAAAATTATATATTAGATTAGCTGTTTATTGCTACTGGAAGAGACAAATGAGACAATAGCCTTTAACTGCCACCTGAGATTTAGGTTGCTTATTCATTCAGCAAATATATATTTACCAGGCATTGTGGTTAGTAATGACAAAAAATAAAAAATAAAAAGATAAGCTGTCAGAAACCTCACAACTTAGTGAGAAAGAAGGCTCATTCAAATAATTGTCTTTTATCATGGCAAGTGCTAAGCAAAGTACAAACAAGGTGCTTGGGCAGCCCAGAGGAGGAAGAGGCAAATTTGTTCTCTTGCAAGGAGTAGAAGAGGCACCACGCAGAGAAGGCACACGTTAGGAAAAGGTTACCACTCCCCGTCAGAAGCAAGAGGAAAATAGTGGAAAAGCCTGCAGAGTAGGGTTGTAGCCTGTTCTTCTGGGACAGGAGAGTGTCATTGCCTAATGGCTTCCAAGAAAGTAAGTAGGTCAGCTAGTCCCAGATATTTGGATTTTATGGACCAATATCCTTTGAAAAACAGGGGTCTATGGGGTAGGCGGGGGTGGATTGTGTGGATTTAATGTTTAATTTTCTCCAGCAAAAATCTGCATCTGAAATCCCCATGATCAATTACCACCATCAGTTCATAAAAGTAAGGATGTTTTAATCACAAAAAAAGTAGAAAGGGTACCATCTCAGAATAAAAGGAACTTCCTTCTAAGGAAGATCATCTACCAGTCTTCCACTGGCATTCTTTTTTACTTGACTCATTTCATTGTGGACTAATGACAACAGAATTTAGGTCCAAAGTCAGGACTGAAGAATGTAGCCCATTAACCCAGATAGATTTAGAGACAAACAATTTTCTTTTACCTAGAATGGTGCAATCTTCTGCCATATAAACATGTTAATCTACAGAAATGTGCAGCTGAAATTCTCCATCTTATATTCCCTTTTCAGTATGTGATTGCGTACATATATGTTTCTTCTTGGTACTCCTAGCCAAGGATTTCTATAACTATCCATCTACATAGTTCCTCTAAAAGCCTACAAGTCCACTCGTTAGATTCCAACATCAGGAGATCAGCAAGCCTCAAACTCATCATTCTGAAGGCTATCCTTGAGCCCTTCCACAGACACCCTCAGAAAATCAGCAACTTCCTAAAAGAATCTCGTATCTAGGTACTGGAGTAAAATGCAGAATGTACACTCTCTAGCTTAACAACACAAGTTGTTAGCAACAAAGCTATTTCTCCAGACCTTTATGGGAGGAATTTCCCCACAGATGGCCAGATGTGCAAACAAGACCTTTGAGTGCCTTTCAGAGCTTGGATTATAGAAGCCAGCAAAAGTGTATAGCAATGGAGAGGGATTCTTCCAAATAAGCCTAAAGTCCCAAGCCCTAGATCTGAATCCAGGGGTGGCATTAAGAATTAGAGCTCTGTGGCGCATGCCTGTAATCCCAGCTACTTGGGAGGCTGAGGCAGAAAAATTGCTTGAACCCGGAGGTGAAGGTTGCAGTGAGCTGAGATCACGCAACTGCACTCTAGTCTGGGCAACAAGAGCGAAACTCCATCTCAAAAAAAAAAAAAGAAAAAAAAAAAAAGAAAGAAAAGAATTAGAGCTTTGGTAAATAAAGAAGGAATTTTTTGGCTTTTCTCTTCATGATGGACATTTTGACCCCTTCAGAATGGACATGAGGTGGCCTGAGAGCTGAACCCAGGCAGCCCCCACTTGTGTCCCAGTGCCTCCGTGTGACTTGTGGAGTGGATGCCACACCTGTGATCACAGGAGTCCAGCCTGGTCAACGCCTCACAAAAGAAGGGCATCAGCTGCTGCGGATTGATTTAGTCAGAGCAAGGGTGGAACGAAGTCCTGTGATAAAGTTGAACGAAGATGGGACGTCAGCAAATCCATTGGCAGCCATTTTCTTTCTACTCTCAAAGCCCCCCAGCCTCCCTATTAACTACATGAGGTGGTAGATGGCAGTGGATGCCCCCATGAGTTGGTGAGATTTAAGGTCCCTGGTGAGGAAGCCCAGAAGCCACAAGCACATTTGTGACGGTAGCGCCTGGGGCAATAGTCCTCCTTGATTAGGGCTAGAGAGCAGGCCTTGCTTCAACAATTTCTGTGAGACACTGTCATAGCGTGTAAAGGGAAGGCTGGCCCTCGGGCAATGGGTAGTGGACTCTTGGATTGACTGTCAGTAATGGAGGGATTTTAGATTTTTTTCTTTTTTTCTTTTTTTTTTTTTTTTTATGTTTTTCGAGACAGAGTCTGGCTCTGTCGCCCAGGCTGGAGGGCAGTGGTGCGATCTCAGCTCACTGCAACCTCTGCCTCCCAGGTTCAAGCGATTCTCCTGCCTCAGCCTCCTGAGTAGCTGGGATTACAGGCACATGCCACCACACCCGGCTAATTTTTGTATTTTTAGTAGAGATGGTTTTCACCATGTTGGCCAGACTGGTCTCAAACTTCTCACCTCAAATGATCTGCCTGCCTCAGCCTCCCGAAGTGCTGGGATTACAGGCATGAGCCACTGCTCCCAGCCAGGATTTTAGATTTAGCTGCAACCTCAAAGCTCTGGGACTCATGAGTCCGGCTGGCAGCTAGGAGGGCAAACTGTGTCCACGGGGATAGTTTCTGTCTGTGCAGAGCCAAGGCCCAAACATATGTTGGCCAGGTTAGTGCCTGCTCCCTCCCATAGTTACAGTAACAAGGCTTAGAGCCTGAAAACAAATCCTTCTTTAACCATAGGTCTTTTTATCAGAGTGACCTTCTTTTCTTCTAACCCCCCAAATAAGGAAAACATAAGACAGTTGCCTATTTTCACCCAATGCCACTTCGAGAAAGTGCGGCCCTTAAAGAAACCTCATAATAAAGTTTTCTATTAAAAAAAAAATTGTTGACGGGGCACGGTGGTCATGCCTGTAATCCCAGCAGTTTGGGAGGCCGAGGCGGGCAGATCACTTGAGGTCAGGAGTTCAAGAACAGCCTGGCCAACATGGTGAAACCCTGTCTCTACTAAAAGTACAAAAACTAGCCAGGCATGGTGGTGCGTGCCTGTAGTCCCAGCTACTCGGGAGGCTGAGGCAGGAGAATTGCTTGAACCTGGGAGGCAAAGGTTGCAGTGAGCCGAGATCACGCCACTGCACTCCAGCCTAGATGACAGAGTGAGGCTCAGTCTCAAAAAAAAAAAGATTTCCAGAGACACTCATCTGTAACCTCTCTGAGGAAAGTGGCCTCTCTAACACGCCACCAACCTGACACTCGGGGAATTCGCTTATCTTCTGCAACTAAAGCCCTTCGGTTCCCCCATGCTCAGGTGCTCCTGGAAACTACTCTCCTACTCACGGCTGACCCGCGTAGCCTTTTGTAAGGCCATCTTCAACAGAGGTAAAGAGCAGAAGGTGTTTTCAATGCTGAGAAATGTGAACTTCTTCCAGCCACCTTCTCAGAGGAAGACTCAAGAGACTGTGATTCAGATGCTCCATATGACACCAAGTTAGACTGTTCAACTGGCAGGTTTCAAGCCAAGGACTCAGCCCGTAAATAAAAGGTCACTCAGCTTTCGTTCCTGTAAGTTGCCCATTCAGCTTATAAAGCACTTGCTGCCTTTGGCAAAACTTGGCTTTGGTCTACAAAAGCCCCACCGCCGCAGGCACCCTGAGTAAGTTAGGTTGGTTTCCGAGTCCAAGTGAGTCATTGTTGAGGTCTTGACTATTAGCACCTTGGAGACAGTGTCCCCCAAGCCAAGAGATCTTGTCCATAAGATAGGGAAGGACAGCCCCTCCAGTGCCTGCAGGTCACATTTGAAGAATTCCAGGTCCCTAGAGTTCATATCCCCGGCTTATGCCATCACCTGTCTCTCTTCTACCCTAGAGAAATGCATCTTTCCACTAACCACTAAACCAGTATCAGGGCGCCATGTTCTCTTGCTTTTAGAATCCCAGTCATTTCCTGTGTCATGGGACATGAGATGCTTGTCTTCAAAAAACAAGGGGCTTTAAGTACAATAAAACAATACATTATATTTATGCCAAGAACTTTATGTTTAACCCTCGAGTCTCAGACAATCCCACTTATTCACAATGTCTAAAAGTTTCTATTTCAGACATGATCTAAACTTCTTTTTGAAATCAATAAACTGCCCCAGTTTCTAAACCTAATCTATGACTTGCAGGCATTTTCCCCCATATTTCCAAGGGAATAAGCATCATTTGACACTATTTATTTTGAAAAGCGGTGGTGGAGGGGAGAAACAATATATTTCTTTCTTTTTTTTTTTTGAGACGGAGGCCTGCTCTGTTGCCCAGGCTGGAGTGCAGTGGCACAATCTCGGCCCACTGCAACCTCCGCCTCCTGGGTTCAAGCGATTCTCCTGCCTCAGCCTCCCGAGTAGCTGGGACTACAGGCACCCACCACCACGCCTGGCTAATTTTTTGTATTTTTAGTAGAGACGGGGTTTCACTGTGTTAGCCAGGATGCTCTCAATCTCCCGACCTCGTGATCCGCCCACCTCAGCCTCCCAAAGTGCTGGGATTTACAGGCATGAGCCACCGTGCCCGGCCAAAGAAAAAAATATTTCAAAGAAGTGGCATGTCCACCACCAACCCTGTTCAGTAAACATCTACTAAGTACCTGCTGTGGGCGAGGCTTGGGGGAAAGAGGAAAGAGGACATTTCAAAAGGAATCAGATACAGCACTGATCTTGAGGGAGTGTCCAATTTGTTTATAGAATGAGTGAATAAATGAGAAAACAAATGATGAGTGAATGCAGAATCAGGATTAGTAGTAAGTTTTATAGCAATTCCACTCCTTCATTTAATGATGTTAGTATAATTCAAAGATGAGTGAGGAGAATATAAATTTTTCCTGAGTTAAAAATCTGGCCAGGCACGGTGGCTCACGCCTGTAATCCCCAGCACTTTGGGAGGCCGAGGCGGGTGGATCACCTGACGTCAGGAGTTAGAGACCAGCCTGGCTGACATGGTGAAACCCTGTCTCTACTAAAAATACAAAAATTTGCCGGGTGTGGTAGCATGCGCCTGTAATCTCAGCTACTCGAGAGGCTGAAGCAGGAGAATCGCTTGAACTCGGGAGGCAAAGGTTGCAGTAAGCTGAGATCGCACCATTGCACTCCAGCCTCGGCGACAAGAGCAAAATTCCATCTGAAAAAAAAAAAAACCTGGTGATTTTTTTTCCTACTGCTTACTGTTTTATCTGTTCCCCAAAACTCCAAACACGTTTCTTGCAACCTAGGGTTCTCTGAAATCTCCAATCTGACCTTGAACGATGAAGGCAAGGGATCTCCGTGCTTGGTAGGGGTAGGGTCCTATATTATACTTTATGTGATGATATTCTCTGGCCTCCTTTAAGTACTTTAAAAAGATCTTTATTTTAGACTCTTCTCTCTCCATGCTGATGTCATTAGTATTCTGGATGAAATGTTTCCTTGCACGTAACTATGTTGGACTTGGATTCATTACTAAAGCAAATAATTCGGTTTTCCTAGGAACAAATGCTACTTTTCCTCATGGGCTGTTTGCTGACCATCCCTCTTGGTTGAGCATACGCTGCATTACTTGGAAGCCACATGTTAGGACTAAGGGAGACATAGAGAAGTAAAGAACACAGCATCTGTCCTCAAAGAAACGGTCGTCTTCACTGGGAGGGAAGATTGAAATGTGGCATTACAGCTGGGCGTGGTGGTTCACACTTGTAATCCCAGCATTTTGGGAGGCCGAGGCAGGAGGATCACGTGAGCCCAGGAGTTTGAGGCTGCGGTGAGCATGATCATGCCACTACATGCCAGCCTGGGTGACAGAGCAAGACACAGTTTCTTGGAAACAAACAAACAAACAAACATGGCAGTACGAGGGCTCAGAAGGGAAGATGCTAATATATTCACTCAGAGTTCAGAAAAGGCAGATGGTTTGCTTTGGGCAAAAGTTGTCAGGAGAGGTTTTCAGACCAAAGCAAGGACATCTTGAGGGGAGAGTCAAAAGGAAAGAATTAATCCTATTTTCAGCTCTCTATCCCTGAATACTCTTAGTTCCTTCAAGCAGCAGTGGGCTAACAAGTGATGCTACAGGACCGTATGCCAATGCAAGCGAGGACCCTGTGACCTTCAACAGACCTCTGCGTCACCATGGAGCTTTGAGATGAGTGTCAGAAGGAAGAACAAGCTCATTTTGAAAAGTACACAGACGTTGGAAACTGTGAGTATTACCCAAAAAAAAGCTTGAAAGGCTCCCATCCCCATCGGGTGACCAGCAGAACTTGCCACTGCAAGAGCCTCGTTCTCATTAATAAGAGTTCATTTTATTATTTCCATGCTATGTAATTTCTCCCACTGCCTTTTAGACTGGAACATTCAACTTTTTGCACTTCATATTAATTACCCTGGGGGATTCAGGCTACAGTGCACAATAAGAAGACCCAATTAGAACATTGCCTACTGTCTTTTTGTTTCTTTGTAATCCAAAATCAATCAATAACATCCTTAAATCCTCACAAGAAATGACTAGAGTTATTAACGTCTTGGACAAAGAAGCCAAGAAATTCAAAGCAGATGGAGCAGAATCACACAAATCACACAACCATGCAAATTAGTAGCAGCCCGTGGGCTTGACAGGGTCAGAATGCTGGGGGTTGGGAATTTTTAATATGAAACAGAAAATATACCCCATAACACTAATGTTCTTTTTGTGATGAGACGTGATGATTCTGGTTTAATGTGGAGCAGGGTGTCTTCAGGAGCTCTGAGAAAACACAGGCTTCCCAGTGCTCATCTACATAGCACATCCCTGTCTGGGACAGTTTACTGTTCACCCTACATGAAGTGTTCTCTCACCTGTCAGAAACACACTTCCTCTACAAATTGCATCCCCTACTGTTAACATCAAGATCAGAAGTAGGCCAGGTGCTTTGGCTCATGCCTATATTCCCAGCGCTTTGGGAGGCCGAGGAGGGTGGATCACCTGAGGCCAGGAGTTCAAGACCAGCTTGACCAACATGGTGAAACCCCATCTCTACTAAAAATACAAAATTTAGCTGGGTGTGGTGGTGAGCACCTGTAATCCCAGCTACTGGGGAGGCTGAGGCAGGAGAATTGTTTGAACCCGGGAGGTGGAGGTTGCAGTGAGCCGATATCATGCCACTGCACTTCAGACTAGGTGACAGAGCGAGACTCCATCTCAAAAAAAAAAAAAAAAAGATCAGAAGTAAACTATGAGAGTGAGTAAGATGAACATATGAACATTTACATTGAAAAATGTGAAAAAAACTTAAGATGTAATGGTGTTTGGAAAAGAATTGTTAACTGTATCCACTAAACCATAAAGCTTAACAAAATCCCAAACTTGGGAAATGAATTTTAAAAATGGACTCACCATGTGTAACTCTGGTCAGAGCCTAAACAAAGGAGGAGACAAAGCTTATGATGTCAGCCCATCTCATTCAGCACTGGGGACTTTGTGCTAGTTCAAAGTGTTGAGGAATTGGATCTCTACCTAATCATAAGAGACTGACCTCTTCCTCACTCCAACAGCGGTGCTGCTCCCGGGGGAATGATGGTTACCTCAGTTTCTCTTGGCCTCTCAGATGTGCAGCATGTCGGGTCTCCGCTAGTACCCACACATGATACCTCATGCTGCAAACCTACCCACTGAATACGGCCAAGTGAATAAAGCACCACCAACAACACGACCTCTAGTTCCACTGCTGGGCTCTGGGTACCATTGTCAATTCCTTGATCGATTTCCAAAGCTAAACAATAATATTTACGTAAACCTTAATAGATTACAAGACATTGAAATATCAGTCATCTGGGCTGGGCATGGTGACTCATGCCTGTAATCCCAGCACTTTGGGAGGCCGAGGCAGGTAGATTACTTGAGCTCAGGAGTTCAAGACCAGCCAGAGCAACATGGCGAAACCATGTCTCTACAAAAAAATACAAAAATTATCTGGCTGTCATGGCATTTGCCTCTAGTCCTAGCTACTCAGGAGGCTGAGGTGGGAGGATCGCTTGAGCCCTGGAGGCGGAGGTTGCAGTAACCAGAGATTGCACCACTGCACTACAGCCTGGTGGCAGAGGGAGACCTTGTTTCAAAAAAAAAAGAAAGGAAAGAAAGAAAAGAAAGAAAGAAAGAAAGAAAGAAAGAAAGAAAGAAAGAAAGAGAAAGAAAGAAAGAGAAAGAAAGAAAGAAAGATTTAAAAAGAAAAATCAGTCATCTGATGTGTTTCTCACAATAATTTTGGAAGGTGGATAATATTATCCACAGGCATTTCACAGAAGAAGAGATAGCATAGAGGTTGCAGGAAATGCCAAGAACACATAGCAGCTTCCTAAGATTCAAACTCAATTCGGTGACTCCACGTGCCACACTCCTCTGAGTTGTGAGTTCTCTAAGATGAAGATCACATTTTTCCATCTGTAAGACACTGAGTGTTGCCATGAGGATTAAATAAAATAACCTAGGTACAGCAGGCACCTAATAGATACCAGTTCCCTCCCATGCCCCTCCTCCATCAGGGGCGAAAAGATTTAAAAATAATCCCAATCCGGGCGCAGTGGCTCACGCCTGGAATCCCAGCACTTCGGGAGGCCAAGGCAGGTGGATCACCTGAGGTCAGGAGTTCGAGACCAGCCTGGCCAACATGGAGAAACCCCGTCTCTACTAAAAATACGAAAATTAGCTGGGTGTGGTGCTGGGCACCTGCAGCCCCAGCTATTCAGGGGGCTGAGGCACGATAATCGCTTGAACTGGGAGGTGGATGTTGCAGCGAGCCGAGATCGCAACATTGCACTCCAGCATGGGCTACAAGAGCAAAACTCCATCTCAAATAAATAAATAAATAAAATCCCAGTATATGGTCTGCACACACTACACATTTATAACCACAACTTCAGATTAAAGTGAACATTAATGACCGTACTGAAGCAAATAGATTTCCAGAGGCATGGGGAGTGCTGGGTGTCGGGTGGATGGAATGTGGGGGCTGTGGGATCATTGGGAGTTAGGGAACTAGCTTTAGGTTCTGACCATTGTAGCAACTCAGTGAGCCTCCACACACGGCACCCAGGATGCTCCCACACCTGGTTTCTAGTATCCTCACAGCTGGCACCTGCCTTACCAAACATATGCCCCAGGCTCTCCCATACTGTGAGTGCAGTTTTCATTACATAATGCATCCATCTTCTTGCTCTTCTTTAGCCTTATACCATCCTAATTTTCTATAGTTCCAAAGCCATTCTCTCCTGCCTTGTTGCAAGGTGGGGAGAAAATGTAAAATTCAAATGGTCACATAGTGTTACTTGGGAACAACTTTTGCCAGAGCCTAGATGAGGGGCATGGAAGATTTTGGAAGGTGGGGAGCAACAGAAGATAGAAATCCATGCCTGGTGTGAATTGCAACAAAAATTTGGCGTGACTATGGGGGTATGGGTAGGGGGAGAGGAGGTCATCTGCAATGTTGACAACTTTTCATCTAATACGACAGAGGAGAATTCCAACTCTAAGAGAAGAGATCTGCCAGGTATACTGGCAAGAACACTGAGACTACGTGGCTGAGCCCAGCTCTGCCCTTAATTTGCCAGAGCAGTCATTCCACCACCCTGGTTTCCTCACTGAGAGAATGTGCGGGTTGGACAGGGCTGGCTTTGGAATGAGACAAATCTAGGTTCAAATGCAGGCTCCATCACTGACTCGTTATGCAACTTTCGGCAAGTTTCCTTACATCGCCACGCCCCAGTGCTCTTAACTGTCAGATGAAAATGAGAGAATGTGTTTCCGGAGGCTGTTTGAGAATTAAATGAGGAGGTATATAAATATACTCCCCCTTGGACAGTGTCAGGTCTATGAAGCTCCCAGCACAGCAGCTGCTTCCTCTTTTCTTTATTCTAAGTTGCTGTAAACCCATGTATCTATGGTGCAACGCAATGACTCAATCCTTGCTTATTTAATGTGGCTATCCTGCCCAACCTAAGTCCTGACTATCAAGGTACTGAGGTGCTGTATGCTGAAGCAGCAAATAAACAATTCACATTGGACAAGAAGATGGAAACAAGTGTGAGGGAGGATGGTGGAGGAAAAAGGATCCAGAAGTGGGAGGCAGTGGATCTGGGTTCGAATTCTAGCGCCCTCAGTCACTAGAAATCTCTGGAACTCTATTTGCTTCAGTACGGTCATTAATGTTCACTTTAATCTGAAGTTGTGGGTATAAATGTGTAGTGTGTGCAGACCATATACTGGGATTTTATTTATTTATTTATTTGAGACGTAGTTTTGCTCTTGTAGCCCATGCTGGAGTGCAATGTTGCGATCTCGGCTCACTGCAACCTCCACCTCCCAGTTCAAGCGATTATCATGCCTCAGCCCCCTGAATAGCTGGGATTTCTGAGCTTCAGTTTTCTCTTCTGTAATAAAGGGAATAATCACATATGTAAAAGTACTTTGTCGATTGGAAAGCGCAATTGAAATGTTAGTGGTCTGTTATGCCACCATTCCCGTTGTTTGGAGAGTCCAATTACTTGAGTTTGAAAAATGTTTTGAGAGCTATCTAATTCCTCTTAGCAGTCAAACAAAACTTCAAACTTCCCCCCCAAACCCTAATCTTCAAAATCAAATGGCTGCTATGTAGATTACTGATGTATCCCCAAAAGAGCTGGGCTGACTTTTCTTTGCTATGAACAAACACCGCCAGTGACCCACTGGAGTCACCAACTCCTGGTGGCCTGATCTTTACTTGAAAAACAATACGGTAAACCACCCTCCTATTTTAACAGCTAGCACAGGGCAGGGCGGGAGGAACCCCCACCCACGCTTGCTCTGAACAGAAATCGTGCTGCAGCTGATGTGAAAACAAGATAAGGAGAAATGTCTGTCAACAGACTCCGGCCTGCCCTAGAACTGGGGTGCTCTCCGTGTATTCTGTACAGATGGGAAGGCAGGGGCCATTAGCCACCTGCAATTCTGCTCTGATGTGGCTGCGGTACTAAACACGGCCCAGGAAAGGGTGGGCATAGCTCGGACACACGTGCAACTTACACATTCTAGTCTTTAGCTAAAGTCTTTGAAAATACAGATTTAGAAATGTAGTATTGGTTGGGTGCAGTGGCTCACTCCTGTAATCCTGGCACTTTAGGAGTACCAGGTGGATCACCAGAGGTCAGGCATTTGAGACCAGCCTAGCCAACATGGTGAAACCCTGTCTCGACTAAAAATGCAAAAATTAGCTGGGCATGGTGGCAGGTGCCTATAATCCAAGCTACTCAGGAGGCTGAGGCAGGAGAATCGCTTGAACCCGGGAGGCAGAGGTTGCACTCCAGCCTGGGTGACAGAACGAGTCTTCATCTCAAAAACAAAAAGAAAAAAGAAAAAGAAACGTAGGGCCCTGAAGAAATCCTCATTAAGGTTAAAATCCTGCCGGCTTATTACCGAGAAATTAAAAACTATTTGGGGCCGGGCGCAGTAGCTCATGCCTGTAATCCCAGCGCTTTGGGAGGCCAAGGTGGGCAAACCACCTGAGGTCAGGAGTTCAAGACCAGTCTGGCCAACATGGTGAAACCCCGTCTCTACTAAAAATACAAAAATTATCCAGGCATGGTGGTGGGCACCTATAATCCCAGCTACTCAGGTGGCTGAGGCAGGAGATTCGCTTAAACCTGGGAGACGGAAGCTACAGTGAGCAGCGATCGCACCACTACACTCCAGCCTGGGCAACAGAATGAGACTCTGTCTCAAAAAATAAAAATAAAATAAAAAATAAAAAAACTATTTGGTTATCAGGCTGAGTGGAAACATAAGCTCAATGTGACTATTTAGTAACTTCCCAACAGTTCTAAACTACCACCCGTAGCTCTAAATGAAAACTTCATTTTTTAACCACTTTGGGCATGGCTGGGATGTAGGAATCAATGTGTTGATGCAAAAATGCTGCAAGGCAGTTCTTTTCTCTGTCTTTCCTGAGCATCATTAGACCTCCAGGGAGTGAGGCACTGTGTAACTGAAGGTCCAAACAACATATCCAAGGCACTAAGAGGATCACAATGCATAAAACACGATGTGCATAAATGCTGATGGATAACGGGGAAAAAGTAAAAAAGAAAAGAAAAAAAAGGAAAGAAAACCACAGAGTCTCCTAAGAGCTGCTGAAATGGCGACAGCATCAGACACTTATTAGCATTCACCACTCAAGGAGATATTCCCAGAAGGGGTTGAAGCGTTATCAAGGTTGGGAGGACTCAGCATGTTTGCAGAGGAGGAGCCGGATGCATATGCTCACCAGCCTGCTGGCACGAGTACTGGAAACTCCCACCCATCCGCAGGCTCTGATCAGATCATGCCAGAGCTTCAAGCTCCTTCCAGGCATCCATGCAACTGAGTGATGACAGGAGTGGATAGAAGAAATAAATGCAAGGTTTTGAATTTTAAAGCAGACCAGTGGGCCGGGCGCGGTGGCTCACGCCTGCAATCCCAGCACTTTGGGAGGCCAAGACGGGTGGATCACTTGAGGTCGGGAGTTCAAGACCAGCCTGGCCAACATGGTGAAACCCCGTGTCTAAGAAAAATGCAAAAATTAGCCGGGCATGGTAGCAGGTGCCTGTAATCCCAGCTACTAGGGAGGCTGAGACAGGAGAATCGCTTGAACCCGGGAGGCAGAGGTGGTGGTGAGCTGAAATCGTGCCACTGCACTCCAGCCTGGGGGAAAGAGGGAGACTCCACCTCAAAAAAAAAAAAAAAAAAAAAAAAAAAGAAAGAAAAGAAAAGAAAAATAAATAAAATAAAATAAAAATAAAGCACATCACTGGTGGATGGCATACCCTGGCATACCTCAAATTAAGCACAGGCTAAGTGTTCTATGCTAACAGCTAGGGTTTTCAAATCCACTGTGGCACACTAAATCTTGACACTCAAGGAACCCACAGTCCAAACAAGGCTTGTTTTAGGAGCTCTTCCTTGCCCTGTGCTTAAAACCCTTAAAACTTAAAACTCCCTCCACTGGCTTCCGATTATCAATAACAGCATTTCCAAGACTTCAGCCATTTCTACCATCAACCCATTAATTTTTCTATATCAATATCTATACTGTACTATATTTAAGTAACTTCCTTCCTTCCTTCCTTCCAAGTTTTTTTAGAGACAGAGTCTTGCTATATTGCCCAGACTGGACTGCAGTGCCTATTCACACATACAATCATGGCACACTGCAGCCTACAACTCTCAGGCTCAAGCGATCCTCCCACCCCAGCTTCCTGAGTAGCTGGGACTACAGGCATGTGCCACCATGCTGGCCTGAGTAAGTTTCATTAAAATAACCTATCTACTTTTATTCAAATAACTTTTGAAGAAAATGTTATTTTTACCATAAACAGAAAATTAGTACCACTTGCCATTAAAAAAACAAAACAAAAAAGGAAACAAAGGAATCTTACTAAATTCTTGTTACATCCCCTCCCTGCCAGTGTTCTGAACCTAAGGCCTATAGCTCTCATAAAAAAGAGATTAACAAGTACTAGAGAGGTTTTAAAGATAATAGGCTCTGAACTGAGCCCCTCACCCTTTGTAATTAGAATTGTAAAAAGAAAAATTGTTCATTATGTGATTCATCATTTCTTAATGTCACGTCTACATATCACCCAAATCAGGCTGCATGGGCCACCTGATACCACCTGCGTGCCCTAGTCGACCTTATGACTGGGCCTCCATCGTTGCATCCCCAGAGCTTCAAATGTCACATAGGAAAATTGTAAGCACACAACACAACTGGGTGAATGACTGAATGAATGGATGCATCGCTTAGCCTCATCATTCTTTCTTTCTTATTTTTATTTTTTTCGAGACAGAGTCTCACTCTGTCACCCAGGCTGGAGTGCAGTGGCACCATCTCGGCTCACTGCAACCTCCGCCTCCCGGGTTCAAGATTCTCTTGCCTCAGCCTCCTCAGTAGTTAGGATTACAGGCATGTGCCACCACGCCTGGCTAATTTTTGTATTTTTAGTAGAGACGGGGTTTCACCATGTTGGGCAGGCTGGTCTCCAACTCCTGACCTCAAGTGATCCGCCCACCTCAGCCTCCCAAAGTGCCAGGATTACAGGCATGAGCCACCACGCTCGGCCATCATTCTTTATTTCAGCCTCATTTACAGGCTTATTTTTCCTCCCATGACCCATGCCCACTCATCCCTCCATGACTTTGTCCATTCTGTACCTTTCTTGGAATGTTTTACTTTTCCTCCAACTGGTCAACTCTAAAATCTTCAAGCCTTAAGGTGTGTGATCTTCCCTTGATGGTTTCTCCTTACCACTCTGGGTGGAGAATAGACGTTCTTCTCAGTGTGCCCACCACACACTTATTGTCAGGCCTCTGAGCCCAAGCTAAGCCATCATATCTCCTGTGACCTGCACGTATACATCCAGATGGCCTGAAGCAACTGAAGATCCACAAAAGAAGTGAAAATAGCCTTAACTGATGACATTCCACCATTGTGATTTGTTTCTGCCCCACCCTAACTGATCAATGTACTTTGTAATCGCCCCCACCCTTAAGAAGGTTCTTTGTAGTTCTCCCCACCCTTGAGAAGGTTCTTTGTCATTCTCCCCACCCTTGAGAAGGTTCTTTGCCATTCTCCCCACCCTTGAGAATGTACTTTGTGAGATCCACCCCCTGCCCACAAAACATTGCTGCTAACTCCACTGCCCATCCCAAAACCTCTAAGAACTAATGATAATCCCACCACCCTTTGCTGACTCTCTTTTCGGACTCTCCCCACCTGCACCCAGGTGAAATAAACAGCCTTGTTGCTCACACACCACCTGTTTGGTGGTCTCTTCACTCGGACACTTATCACACTATAATCACAAATGCACTTGTCCTTTCTCTCCCTACCAGTCTCTAAACTCCTTGAAGGGAGGAATGTGTCTTCTATTTCTGTTGCCAGTACCTGGCATTAGTTGACACTCCATAGATATGTGTGGAATGAAAGCATCTCTGGCTATTTCCCCATATTCTCCGATCGTATGAGACAAACCCTGTCTTTCCCTTCTCTGAGTTTTAGCACATACTGTGTCTTTGACCAGCGTGCCCTCGGCAGTATGCAAACTGTCTTCCACATTCCTGCTGAGAAGGCTCACGGGGCCCATTCTCCAAGCCAAGGGTGCATTCCTTCCTCTCTGTTCCCACCATACCCCCTGAATATCACCTTTACTGTAGGGTGTATCCCACATCTCTGCAATTCTTTGTTTCTATGCTGCTGTAATTCGGTAAATTATGAGCTTCTTGTTTTTGTGTCCCCAAGGTTTAGAGAGTGGTTGGCATCTTACAGTGAGTAATCAATAGATATTAAATACTGTCTCAAGAAAAGAATGAATGTTTAGCAAGAAAATATTTTACTAATGTTTAGTAAGAAAATATTCATCTTTCTTCTCTTAGCAATCCCAAAAGTCCCTGGAGTTGAGGTCAGTAAAACCATAAACATATTAAATTTATTGCTGACTTATATGGAGTACCTACTATCTGCCAGGCACTCTGTCAACATTATCTAATTTAATTATCCCCATCTTGTGAGGTAGGTACTTCTATTGATGCCAATTTCCAAGTGAGGAAATCTGGGCTTAGGCTTAGGGAGATTAAATCACTTGTCCAAGGTTCTGTAAGTGGCAGAGCCAGCACATGGAACGAGGCCTGAAAAGCTCCAGTGTTCTTAACTACCACTCTGGCCTGGACTCTGAGCTTATCCTGTCTGACCTACCGCCCTCCTTCATGATCAGAAGCCAGATCCTGGGCAGATGGATCTGGGCCTGCCTGGGGGTAGCACTGATTGTGTCCTTTGAGAGCCCAGCTAAGCCACCAAGCAAACCCTGCCCAAAACACAGAACCCCGTCACAAATGGCCATCACAGCCTTTTGCTCAAGCCAGGGGACTCAGCAAAATCACCAGCTCCACATCTACCCAGCAGAAGGCCAGGCAAGGCAGCCTTTTCATTGATTCCAGAAATGTCTCTTTTTCATTTGTAAAATACCCACATTTTGGGATTTTCCCGCAAGTGGTGGGTGGCTACAGCAATAACAGATGAACTGGTATCTTTGAAAGCTGAATAAAAACACTTTTCAATAAAGATTTTAAGCCTTAAATTGACTGAGGAGCTAAGTGAGAGTCCAGCAGCACCCCGGTGGGAGAAAACATTGGCCTGGTTTTTATAACTGCATTCCCTGCACGAGAGGAAAGGGGTTACAGCTGCTCTTTCTTCACTCACAGCCTGTGTTGAAAGCATCTGAGCTAACAAAGGCCAGTTTCCTCTAGTTTGCACCCAAGGAAGTCAGAGAAATGCTGCTTGGCTGCAGAAGATTTGTCCAGAAAAGAGTGACTTTAACCTACAAAAGCCAGCTTCAAATAGTTGTATAAAATTTGAGAGGAAAGAAAAGGAGTCAGAGCCACCTTGTAAAAGCTCCTTCCTGCTTCTTGATGATGTTACCAGAATTCTCTGCAGGAAAGGCCCGGCAAAGGCACAGAGCAGAACACACAGCCATGTGGTTTCGTTTTTCCAGTGATGAACCTCTCAGGAGAAAAACTCCGTTTTGGAGAGAGGCAAACATATCTGGACAACAAGTTAACCATGACCTTTCATTTGCTGGAAATGAGCATAACCCAGGGGGAGAATCCTGCCTAGGGGAGGAGTCCGGAAGACCCGGGGTTTGGTTCTGGCTTTACCGCTACTTTGCTTCGTGGCCTTCGGTAAACCATTTAAGCACTCTGGGCTTCAGCCTTTCGCAGAAGTGAGAAGATCGGGCCCAGTGATCAAGTTCCTCAGCTCGGAAATACTATGATATTAGTAGCATATTACAGAGCGCAAGATGACAAGTCTGACTCAACTCTCCCAGGTGCTGTACCCTAAGGAGAATCCTCTTCCACTAGCAGCGCACACCACCCTCAGCCATCATTCCCACAACCGAGGCATTCACAACCGATGTGAAATAAGGCAACAAGCGTGAGTTTTGGAGGGAGCATAGCGCTATGTGTCTCTCACTGGCTCTCCATGCGTATGTATCTAAACTTTAGCAGCTGCTGGGCTCATGACAGCCAGTGGATTCGGAGGCCAGAAGATATTGGCAAGGGATGCTTGGGACAGCAGCAGTTTGACTGCCAGGACCCCATCTTTGAGGCCGCTGAGATGTCACAGAGGCTACCTGAACTTCAGATAGGGTAACACAGTGCAACCACACACCCTTCAAAACCATGAGAATGTAATCCTACTTAGCATTTCACTTACTAAAACCAAAAGTCAGATGTAAAGTAAGCTCAGAATAGTAGCTACCATTTATGGAGAGCTAACTATATGTAAGGCACTGTGCTAAGAACTCTACATGTATTATAATATAGAATCCTCATTATATATATATATATATGTATAATTGGAGATATATATATGTATAATTGGAGATATATATATATATAATTGGATATATATATATATAAAATTGGATATATATATATATAATTGGATATATATATATATATATATATATATATATATATATATATATGTTTTCCTGCCTCGGGAGCAGGCCTCAGGAAACAGAATCTCTCTGACCATTCACCTGCCCTAAGGCAGGACTTTAATCTTCCAAAGCAGGCCTCTGACTGTGGGTCAGAAGACCCTCCCCAGAGAATGTCCCACCCTGGGGGAAGAAATGCTGAGGTAATGAGACTTCCAAGAAAACCCAAGAAGGCGGGGTTTGGTGGGCTGCCCACACGGAGGGTCCTGGAGGGTGGCGCCAGGGGAGGCCGTGGAAGCTCCATGCCCCTTCCCCCATACCTCACCTTACACATCTCCTCAACTATATCCTTTGCAATATCCTTTATAGTAAATCAGTAAACATAAGTGTTTCCCTGAGTTCTGTGAGCCGCTCCAGCAAATTAATTGAACCAAAAGAGGGGGTTGTGGTAACTCCCAACTTGAAGGCAGTTAGTGAGAAGTTCCAGAAGCCTGGACTTGCAACTGGTGGGGATGAGGGCAGTCTGGGGCCAGAGCCCTCCCACTGTGGGATCTGAGGCTATCTCCAGGTAGACAGTGTTGGAACTGAATTGGAGGATACTAGCTGGTGTCCGCTGCTTGCCATGTGGGGAAAACCTCCACATGTGTTCATAGAAGGCTTCCTCGGTGTTGATGATTGCTGTTGCGGTGTAAAGGCAGAGGAAAAACCCAGTTTGAGAGTTTTCTGGAAACAACCTCCATTTTACAAAAGCGAAAACTAAAGGCTTTTAATCCCACTCTGCTATTCAGGACACAAAAATTCGTGTGTAAGAATATTCATCTAAATAAAATGACCTAGTTTTCCAAAAATAGGGAACTGATTAAATAGTATATTCATGTACTAGAAATGCAGGAGAAATCATTTTAGACAAATAATTGACAGAAAAATGTTTAGACAAACAATTGACAGCAAATTGCGAAGTAATAACCTCAATTTTGTTTAATTTAAACATAATTATAAATAATATGGTATTTATTCTTTGGGTTTTTCCATACTTTTCAAAATTTACACAATAAACATACGTTACTTTTTACATTGTGGGGCTATTTAAAAGCCCATCAGAAATAACCAACAGCTGGCCAGGCGCGGTGGCTCACACCTGTAATCCCAGCACTTTGAGAGGGCGAGGCAAGTGGATCACTTGAGGTCAGGAGTTCGAGACCAGCCTGGCCAATATGGTGGAACCCCCCCCCCCCCCGCCTCCCCGCCGTCTCTAGTAAAAATACAAAAATTAGCCGGGCGCGGTGGCTCACGCCTGTAATCCCAGCACTTTTGGAGGCCCAGGCAGGCGGATCACGAGGTCAGGAGATCGACACCATCCTGGCTAACACGGTGAAACCCCGTCTCTACTAAAAATACAAAAAATTAGCCGGGCGTGGTGGCGGGCGCCTGTAGTCCCAGCTACTAGGGAGGCTGAGGCAGGAGAATGGGGTGAACCCGGGAGGCGGAGCTTGCAGTGAGCCGAGATTGCACTACTGCACTCCAGCCTGGGCAACAGAGCAAGCCTCCGTCTCAAAAAAATAAAATAAAATAAAATAAAATAAAATAAAAGAAAGAAAAAAATTAGCCAGACGTGGTGGCGGGCGTCTGTAGTCCCAGCTTACTCGGGAGGCTGAGGCAGGAGAATGGCGTGAACCTGGGAGGCGGAGCTTGCAGTGAGCCGAGATTGCACTACTGCTCTCCAGCCTGGGCAACAGAGCCAGACTCCGTCTCAAAAAAAAAAACAAACAAACCACAAAACCCCAAAATTAGCGGTGTGGTGGCATGTGCCTGTAGTCCCAGCTACCCGGGAGACTGAGACAGGAGAATTGCTTGAATCAGGGAGGCGGAGGTTACAGTGAGCCGAGATCGTGCCACTACGCTCCAGCCTGGGCAACAGAGCAAGAGGGAGGGAGGAAGGAAGGGGAGGAAGGGAAGGAAGGGAAGGAAGAAAGAAAGAAAGAAAAAGAAAGGCAAACTCCCATCCCTCTCGGTGTCTGGATCCTGAGGAAGTGCTTTAACAGGTTCAGATTCTACACAATTGTCATCACCCCAATTAAAACCAAGAAGTCCCCTCAGCTTCTCCCTTTGTTCCTGAGGTGTGCAGTAAATAGGTGGGAAACCAAGGCAGTTGAACAGTTCTTTCTCCAAGGCTGGGGCACCTGCCATGCCGAGTGGCCCAGACCCCTATGTTCTAAAGAAGTCAGGCAGAGAAGCAAAAATAAAACCACTTAATAAAAGAAAACAAAATTTATGTATAATCTATCTCTGCTCAACTATTATGATATCATTATTATTAGGTATTTAAATGAGGCACTGATGGCAGGATAGGGAGGTAAGACAGGACAGAACTGGCTTCATGACTTGGCAAATTCTCTCATCTTGGAGACACGGGAGCACCAGGAAGAAGATGATCATGGAGAAATAGCAAGACTCAGAGGTGTGGTGGGGGAAATGCAGAGGCTGGCCTTCAAGCACACATGGATTAAAATGCGGATCCCATTTTACTGAGTGATGCTGTGCAAATTCTTAACTTTCTCATCTGTAAAATGGGTTTAAAGAGGCTGCTGAAAGAAATAAATACAGCATACAAAACACATAGTAGAAGCATAGCAGAGGACATGCAGTAGGTGCTTAATATCTTTCTCGTGGTCCCTCCTCACTCATCTGCCCCCCCAATACAACACACCTGCTCTCCATCTTCCTCAAGTTCTAAAGTTTTCCCCTTCGCAGAAGAGTAATATAAAACCTCCCCACTGGACGCCCAGTGCTGTGAGGGACCATGTTAAGTGGAAGGTTTGAATCAAAGGGCAAGTCATTTCATCAGTCATCACTGCTAAATAAGAATCAGGCAAGTTGCCAGCTATTTCATACTTGGAAATACCGTGACCTTATATGTATTACACACTGCTAAAGTGTCTACCATGATGCCATCAAAATCATCTACCATTTTTGTGGCTTATGACAGACTTTCTACTTTTGTATTTGCTGTATCTTACTGGAGGTACAGAATAGAAATAGCCTCATTTGCCCAGGTGCGGTGACTCACACCCGTAATCCCAGCACTTTGGGAGGCCAAGGCGAGTGGATAGCTTGAGGTCGGGAGTTCGAGACCAGCCTGGCCAACATGGTGAAACCCCCATCTCTACTAAAAATACAAAAATTAGCTGGGCGTGGTGGTGCACATCTGTAATTCCAGCTACTCA
This sequence comes from Homo sapiens, assembly GCF_000001405.40. Taxonomy (NCBI): domain Eukaryota; kingdom Metazoa; phylum Chordata; class Mammalia; order Primates; family Hominidae; genus Homo; species Homo sapiens. The sequence goes on along the minus strand of NC_000011.10, from coordinate 122,686,991 downwards.
GGAGGCTGAGGCAGGAGAATCACTTGAACCTGGGAGGTGGAAGTTGCAGTGAGCCCAGACCGCACCACTGTACTCCAGCCTGGGCGACAGAGCTAGACCCTGTCTCAAAAAAAAGAAAAAAAAAAATACCTTCATTTTACTTACCGAAAAACAGGGCTTAGAGAGATGGGTTGATTTGTCTGAGATAAGCTGGCATATAGGAATAGCACATAGGATAAGCTGGCACATAGGATTAGGAAAGGGAAAAAGTCAACACCTGGACTAGTTATTTCACTAAGGCATTTGTGGTAGGGTAGGAAGAAGAGACAGGGCCTTCATTCTCCTCCCAAACGCCTGCACACGGAGCTCTATTAACAAGCCTGGATGGCTTTTCCTCCAGGGCCATGTTCTTTCCCTGCACACCACGGCCAAAAGCCTTACTCATCCTGCACAGATCCAGCCCCCAAACAAGTTTTATGGTTGTTTTCTTAACATTTAAGACCATCTCAGTACCATCTCCACCTTTCCTATAAATCTACCACTCCACTGGCAACACATCCTTGGATCCCGGTTAGGAGGAACGCTTGCTTCCGGATCCACACCCTGGAGTCAAGCCTTGTGCTTCCTCTCAGAATAATTGTACCTGAGTCTGCTGTCTCACGCTCGACCATGCGTGTTGACCAGTCTGCTTACATATTTCTCCTTGGTAGCCATTTGTCTCTTCCTCGACATGACTCAGCTCATAGGAGAAAAAACCTGCTTCTCTCAGCTCCACTTAGACTTTGTCTGGCAGACTTTTTGCTAAGCACTTAAGCAGTCCCAAATAATCATGTTCCCCAAAGGACTCCAAACCACTTAAGGCCATAGTTGAGATTGGACTTCCTCAGGGAGGAAGTGACCCGGGAAGAAACCTGCTCTTTTTAGTCTTTATTTTCCATGAGCAGAGGGAGAAGGGACTGGTGGTCTTGCAGAAAGAGCGCCAGGCAGGCCTGGGTTCAGTACCTGCTTTGCTCCTCCCTGGCGTGTGGGCTTGTGCAACTTAACCTCTCAGAGCCTCAGTTTTCTCCTCAATAAATGGTGGTAACATCATCTGTTCAGCCTGTATCCAAATAGGGCTGCTATGAAGCTCGAGGAAGACCCCATGAGGTGAAAATGCTTTGAAAATGTAACGAGCTATAAAAATGAGAGGTGCTGGCCGGGTGTGGTAGCTCACGCCTGTAATCCCAGCACTTTGGGAGGCCAAGGCGGGTGGATCACCTGAGGTCAGGAGTTCGAGACCAGCTTGGCCAACATGCTGAAACCCCGTCTCTACTAAAAATATAAAAAAAATTAGCTGGGCATTGTGGCAGACGCCTGTAATTCCAGCTACTCGGGAGGCTGAGGCAGGAGAATCGCTGGAACCCAGGAAGTGGAGGTTGCAGTGAGCCAAGATCACACCACTGCACTTCAGCTTGGGTGACAGAGCGACACAAAAAAATAATAATAGTAAAAAAGAAGTATTTTCATTATCACGAGGATGTGTCAGATTAAAACACTTTATATTTTGAAAACTCCATCTCTGCCTATAAATTGGAGTACTCACAGGCAGACACTTTCAGAGGGAAACCCTACCCTAGGTAAGAATGACAAAGATAAATTAATTTGCTCTATAGTATTTCTTGAGCACCTGCTCTGTGGCAAACACTCTTCCAGGCAGGAGAATCAGAGTAATGAATAAGACAGTCAAGGTCTTTGCTCTCAAAAAGCTACATCCCGGGGGTGGGGATATGGGACAGAGAATAAGCAAATAAAGAAGAAAAACAAGGCAAGTTGTCCTTCCACTGAAGGTACAATGGACTTTCACCATATTTTCCTATTCTGAGGCTGCAGAAGCATCAGCTGCAAATTCAGTGATAATCCAAGGAAAAGACCCAGAATTGGTGGAAAAAAGATAGTATTTTCCTCTTGCCGGGGGGCAAGATAATGCAGTTTCAGACCCGCGGCCCGTGAAGATATGTTGATGAGCCAGAAGAATGAAGGAATGAAACATCTGGACAAATGATTTATCAGTTATATAAGGATTTCTAGCCTCTGCTTGGAAGCCTTGTTGAAAGGCTCTCTTAAAAAATAACCACAGGCTGGGCGCAGTGGCTTACGCCTGTAATCTCAGCATTTTGGGAGGCCAAGGCGGGTGGATCACCTGAGGTCAGGAGTTCGAGACCAGCCTGACCAACATGGAGAAATCCCGTCTCTACTAAAAATACAAAAATTAGCTGGGCGTGGTGGTGCATGCCTGTAATCCCAGCTACTTGGGAGGCTGAGGCAGGAGAATCACTTGAACCCAGGAGGTAGAGGTTGCAGTGAGCCATTGCACTCCAGCCTGGGCAACAAGAGCGAAACTCTGTCTCAAAACAACAACAACAACAAACACAAACCTGCATCGCTTTGAGTTCCTCTTTACTTCTCCAAATTCAGGAAACTGAACCAAATATTTTCTGCTCTAAAATTGTTGATACCTCATCCTTCATAATATGTCACCCCTTCCAGGAAGCCTCACCTGCTTTAGTGAGGTTAACACACACTCTTCTCTGCAGCTCTTGCTATCTGTGAATAAGTACACACAGCATTTTCACAATATACCACCATTCCTAACTTTTGCTTGTCGCTCTCTAGAAGATAAGCAACCCCAGGCCAGGACTAGGCCTTCCTTATTTGATTTTGACTTCTTAGCACCTAGTATCAGGCAGATACATAGTAGGTACTCAATAAATGCTTATTCACTAGATCACTCCTCATTGATCAATCTTGTCTCTACAGCCAATTTATTAGATGGGTTGAATGTGCACACAGACTCTAGGATACGCCTTGTAAATGTGCATAATAGGACAAAATGTCTCATCTCATTCTATTCTTCAGCGACTTTCCCATTTTTTTCTATAAGAATGTGTGCTGTATCTGATGTTTTATCAAGAGTTTTTGGTCAAGTGAGCTTTTGATCCAAATGAGATCTATATTAAAAACTAATAGTTTCCTCTTGACTTAACTATCAACTTAAAGGAACTACAAGAAATAGATGTTCCCTGCCATCCAGGGCTGCAATCAGCATAATCTGGGCTATGGAGACTTTAGACATTAGACCTCGTCATCAACAAGAAAATTACAAATAAAAAAATCAGAAAAGACTGGGCAGGGAAGCTAACTACACTAAGAGACACAACCCTCCATCTCAAGTATAGATCTTATTTGAAACCTGGCTCACACACACACACACACACACACACACACACACAATTTTTTTTTAATTATAAGGCAATTGAGGATATGTGATCACTGACTAGATATTTGATAATATTAAGTAATTATTTTTCAGGTGTGATAATGATCCTGTGGTCATATTTTATTTTATTATTATTATTTTTTTTTTTTTTTGAGAAGGAGTCTCGCTCTGTCCCCCAGGCTGAAGGGCAGTGGCGCAATCTCAGCTCACTGCAACCTCCGCCTCCAGATTCTCCTGCCTCAGCCTCCCAAGTAGCTGGGATTACAGGCGTGCGCCACCACGCCCGGCTAATTTTTGTATTTTCAGTAGAAACGGGGTTTTGCTATGTGGGCCAGGATGGTCTCCAACTCCTGACCTCAAGCGATCTGCCCGCCTTGGCCTCCCACACTGCTGGGATTACAGGTATGAGCCACCATGCCAGGCCCTGTGGTCATAATTTAAATAGTCACAGTCTTTTAAAGATACAAACTGAAATACAGACTAAATGATACATCTAAGACTTTTTTTTTTTTTTTTTGAAACAAGGTCTCACTCTGTCTCCAGGCGGGAGTGCAGTGGCGGCTCACTGCAGCCTCGACTTCCAAGGCTCAAGGGATCCTCCCACCTCAACCTCCCAAGTAGCTGTGACTACAGGCATGCACCACCATGCGCCTGGGTAACTTATTTTTTGTAGAGATGGGGTCTTACTGTATTGCCCAGGCTGGCCGCAAGACCAACTCCTGGGCTCAAGCAATCTTCCTGCCTTGGCCTCCCGGAGTTTTGTGATTACAGGCATAAGCCACCATGCCTCACTCTAAAATTTAATTCAAAATTATATGGGGAGGGTGGGGAAGTGGGTGGTATTGATGAAACAGGATCAAGGATGAATTGCTTGACGCATTTGTTTTGTTATACTATTCTTACTACCTTAGGATAAGTTAGAAAATTTCCATTAAATTTTTTTAATCAGTAGTTTATTATATTTATAATCACTGTAGGATGGCTGGTGAATTCTACAGAGCAAGCTTCCCCGTGACAGTGCTGGGCTTGGTGCAGCTCCCTCTTGGAGGGGAGGGGAAGCTACAGGCAGCCCAGAGCTGGGTTATTCCTCTAGCCCTGCCAGGAGAGAATGAGAGGAGAGCTGGCCCCTAGTGTCCTAATTACCATCTTCCTCAAAGAAGCTCTCGGTTAGAAAGAGACGTGCATCTCAGGCTCCAGGAACCAAATGAAGGAGAAAGAAGTGTTTCTCAACTTTTTACAGGGAAAGATACAAACTCGGGAAAGGCAGACTGGAAAGAATATGGAATTTGGAGTCAGAAGGTTAGAGTCACTCCTTGCCCCACAACAGGGACAAGTGAACTTCTCAGGACAAGTGAACGCCTCAGCGTCCCCATCTATAAAAATGGGAATATAACTATCATCCATATCAAATAACTGCCACGAGGATGAGATGAGATCTCATACTGGACGGTGAGAGGCAGCTTGGTGCCGTGGGTCAGACTTGTGTCTGTTGGTGGCTCCGTTGTACCATCCACACAGTCAACTACTAAATAAATGAAAACTATTATAATTAATTATTTAAGAAAAAGCAATTTGTCCAAGGCCTCATGGTGCGTCGGCAGGGTTGGCAGGGTACTACGCAGGAGGAGAATTTGCACTCGCTATCCTCGCAGTGATCCCTCCGAGCTTCCAAGTGGCTGTACATGGGCAGATGATTCACGACTGGTGCTTTTTTGACAAGGCAGGGAGAACAGACAGGAGATGGGCCCATCTTGTTCTGACAGCTGGGCCACCCTGGGTGGCAGTGATGAGTCAGCCTTGCTGCTGCCACACTCAGCACACAAGGCTTCCCAAACCCAGGCAGAGCATCGTGGATCGCAGACACGCTGACCATGCAGTTGTGTGATGGCAACAGATGACTTGTCTCTTTGTGTCCCTTCCCCAAAAGTACTCAGTAACCTAACAGGCTTCTACCAGCCTCCAAATAGAAGCATCTTTTTTTCAAACCCTGAAGGGATCAAGCAAGCCAGAGGGGTAAGCATGTGGGTTTGCATGCATGTGCCTGTGTGTGTGTGTGTGTGTGCATGTGTGTACAGAAGAATGCATATGAACCTGTGCCTATTACCCCTGCAGACAGCATGCTATCCCAGTGTCATGGTGGAAGAACAAGGAACAGGACATTCAAACAGTGGATGACCAGGTCCCTACTTCCCAGGACTCGGCTTTCTTTGGAGGGAAGCTTATCCATGTTCCCCGAGGACCTACTACACACGTGATTTCAGAGTGGACTGTTCAGTGTGGCTTGTCTGGGACTTATATTCTCAATCTCATCATTGCCTTTCTGTGTCCAAAACCAAAGCATCAGAGGTACAAGAAGGCAAAACTCCATTTCCTCTGTGAGCACTGTTCCTGTTTGACTGAGGAATCTGGCTAGAACAAGAAGAAATAGGGCCAGAGTTGGGGCTATGTATGTAGAAATTTTGGGTGGATTTAAAGAAATCAACGTCTTGGATTTTGTCACAAGAAAAATCACTTAGACACCCTACAGTTATGGATAAGAAACCAAATGGAATGCTTGATTCATTCTATTATGCTTTTAAGTAACTATTACAATGAATGATTCATTAATTACTATGAAAGAGCAAGGTTTCAACAAAAACAAATACGAATAAATTAAATAATTTCTAGCGAAACTTCATTTGTTATGGAATAGCACCTAATCTAACTTTTATTTTGCTAAATAAAAAAGAGTTTTGGTATCTTATTTCAGGTATTGAAATGCCTCGGGTCTTGCTCTGGACAAACACATTGCCCTGGGACCGGCTGCTCACAGCATTTTGGCTTTGACACGGCAGCTCTGACATTAAAAAGCCCTTAACTAACCATTTGCAACATATCAGAAAAAAGGTTAATTTGCCTTTTACGCATCCTTTACTCTGCTCTGTTGTAGAGGAGAAAAGACAGGACTCTGGTTCTCCTTTCAAATCAGTTATGCATAGAATAAAGGAAGAGCACAGACAGGCACGGTGGCTCACGCCTGTAATCCCAGCACTTTGGGAGGCTGAGGCGGGTGGATCACTTGAGGTCGGGAGTTCAAGACCAGCCTGACCAACATGGAGAAACTCCGTCTCTACTAAAAATACAAAATTAGCCAGGCATGGTGGCACATGCCTGTAATCCCAGCTACTCAGAAGGCTGAGGCAGGAGAATCGCTTGAACCCAGGTGTCAGAGGTTGCGGTGAGCCAAGATCGCGCCATTGCACTCCAGCCTGGGCAACAAGAGCGAAACTCCGTTTCAAAAACAAAAATAAAGGGAGAGCACTTGATAGGAAGGCAGCAGACCTGCATTGAAGTCCTAACCAGTAACAAGCTGTGCTACTCTCAGCAAGTCACTGTCCCACTCTGAGTCTCTATTTCCTGATCTGAAAATAAGGACTTAGTGTAGGTGTCCTTCCCCGTGCCTTTGATTTTCACAATCACTCTCTGAAGCATATAGTTCAGGAGGTTTTATTTGAAGCTGAAGATACAGAAACCCACAGATCAAGAGCCAGCAAACTACAGCCCAGGGGCCAAACCAGCCCACCTCCTGCTTTTGTACAGCCTGTGAGCTAAGATGGTTTTCACATTTTTAAATGGTTAAAATAATTGGTTGGGCATGGTGGCTCACGCCTGTAATCCCAGCACTTTGGGAGGCCGAGGCGGATGGATCACTTGAGGTCAGGAGTTCGAGACCAGCCTGGCCAACATGGTGAAACCCCATCTCTACTAAAAATACAAAAATTAGCCGGCTGTGGTGGTGGGTGCCTGTAATCCCAGCTACTCAGGGGGCTGAGGCAGGAGAATCACTTGAACTTGGGAGGCGGAGGTTGCAGTGAGCCAAGATCGTGTCATTGCACTCCAGCCTGAGTGACAGAGAGAGACTCCATCTCAAACCAAAAAGAAAAGAAAAGAAGAAAAAAATCAAAAGAAGAATGACATGTTGTGACTGATGGAAATTATATGAAATTAAAATTTCAGTGCCCACAAATAAACTTTCATTGGAACACAGCCATGCTTATTTGTTTATATATCATCCATGTCTGCTATTGCAAAACAGCAGAGCTGAGTAGCCACCATGGAGACCATATGGTCGGCCAAGCCTGAAATATTTACTCTCTGGCCCTCTACAGAGTTTGCTGGTCCTTGCTAGAGATCAAGGTGTCCCAGACTTCAGTGTACATACCAATCACCTAAGGATCTTATTAAAGTGGAGATTCTAACGTAGTGGGTTTGAGGTAGAGCTGAGATTCTATGTTTCTAACAAGCTCCTGGTTGGTACCAAAAGGGCTGGTCTGAGGACCACATTTTGAGTGGCGAGGCTATGCTCTCTCAGACAAATCTGGTTACATCGTGAACTTGCTCACCATCCTTTGGTGCCTTTCCGGGGCCTTCAAAATAAACTGAGACTCCCTAGTACCATGCAATTGTCGCCAGCTTCTCCAGCTCCTCTGCCCCCAAATACACTGCGTTGGTGCACCAGGATTTCTCATCCATCGTGCCTATGCACGCACTGACCTCTTCACCTACACTATCCCCTCCTCGCCCCACCCCTTCACCCTCAACATGTCCAGTTGCCCAACTCCCTGTCTTCCCAACCTCAGCTCCAGTGGCACCTCCTTAGAGTGGATCCTTCCTGGATCCTGTGAGTCTTGTGCTTTCTGGGCTACGTGGCTTTTAGTCAGGTCTCTTAGTACCTCGTGTACCTCTTCACAGCCTGAATTACATGGTTATGACACTACGGCTCTTAAACACAGAGGCATCCTTGTTTATTCCTGCATATCCAGCAGCCAAGCACAGTTCTTGGTACATCATGGGGTATAATGAGTGTTATTTGGGATGGCACAAATGAATTACCCAGGATTATGCAGCAAATCAGGCGAAACGCTGGGACTAGAGCCCACACTTTCTAAATCCTGGTACGCGGTTCCTTTGCTCTAAGCTATGCCTCATAAGTGGATACTCATTCTCCTGACTGATGGAGGAATTTGTTCCACAGCATTCCAAACTCTGAATGGTCTGAAACTCTTAAGAGATTTTGGGAATGGCAGCCCCTCCCCATGACTGACTATTTTGTGGAGCACAAGGGTCAATCAGCTCCTGAAAACACACCTTTCAGCCTCTGGGCAGTGGGTCCTGGGATGATGGTGGCAGTGCCTGCTGGACCATCACATATACTAGTGAGTCATGTGGAAGTGATCCCAAGTGGTTAGTGAGAGACCTAGGAAAGAGATTTAGCCTTCACCATCTTCACTCCTAGAGGCTGCAGGCATTTCCCTTCTCACTTCTTATGGTTTCTATTTTCTTATTGGACATCTGGACTCAAAGGAACATGGGTCAGCCAGACAGATCTAGGCTGAGTGCAGCCACAATGGAAAGAAGGGCAGAGAGGATGGTCCCCATTGTGACCCCTGCTAGCTGACAGGGCTGTGGCAGGATGGAGTAGGGTCCCACCTGGCCTCAAATTCCCACCATTCAGTCACATAGGTATTCTCTCCAGGTCACTGATGGCTGATATGAACTGAACTGAATTGTTTCCTCTTAAAATTCATATATTGAAGCCCTAACCTTTAATATGATGGTATTTGAAGATGGGGCCTTTGGGAGGTAATTAGGGTTAGACAAGTTCATGGGAGGAATTCTAATGATGAGATTAGTGCCCTTGGCTCATGCCTATAATCCTAGCACATTGGAAAGCCTCAGCAGGCACATCACCTGAGGTCAGGAGTTTGAGACCAGCCTTGCCAACATGGCAAAATCCCATCTCTACTAAAAATACAAAAACTAGCTGGGCATGGAGGTGGGAGCTGGGTGTGGTGGTGGGCACCTGTAATCCCAGCTACTCAGGAGGCTGAGGCCGGAGAATTGCTTGAATCTGGGAGGCAGAGGTTGTGGTGAGCCAAGATTCTGCCACTGCACTCCAGCCTGGGCAACAGAGTAAGACTCTGCCTCAAAAGCAATAGTACCCTTATAAGAGCCTTTTTTTTTTCGAGAGGGAGTTTTGCTCCTCTTGCCCATGCTGGAGTGCAATGGCACCATCTCAGCTAGCACAGGGTATACAAAATAATAAATGTTAATAAAAGGTTATTAAAGAGATGAATGAATGGAGTGCTTATTATGTACCAGGCACCATGCAAAGGGCTAGGGAAAGATAAAAGACTAAGATACTATCTCTCCAAGGAGTCACAGTCTAGTCTGGGAAACTGACATAAGCTGACTTTGATGATGTGATAATGGTAAGTGCTCCACCAGAGGCACGGCATCAGGTACGTACAATGTTCCAGGGCAGCACAGACGCACATAAACACATTCTGCCTCGAGATGGGAATGTAGTATATAGGAGTTAGGAATGGATAATGCAACCTGAGAAATTTTCTCAAAGGAGAGAATATTTGAAAAGAACGTACAGTACTCCCTTGGTATCCATAGGGGAATGATTCCAGGACCTCCCTCAGATATCGAAATCCTCAAGTCCTTGATATAAAATGGTGCAGTATTTGCATATAACCCATGCACACCCTCCTGTGTACTTTAAATCATCTCTGGGTTACTTATAATACCGATTACAACATAGAAGCTATGTAAATAGTTGTTATACTGTATTGTTCAGGAAATAATGGCAGGAAAAAATTCTGTTCATGTTCAGTACACATGCAATTTTTCCCCCCAATATTTTTGATTTGCAATTGGTTGAAACAACAAATTCAAAACCTATGGACATGGAGGGCCGACTGTATAACATTTCATCTAAGAGAAAAATGTACCCAGGATGAAGTTATCCATGGATTCATCAACAAACATAAGCAAGACCCAGAGGTGTTGAAAATGCAAGGGCTTGAGTGATAAAGGCGGCTTTCATAAAGGTGGCTGAGTCACACAGAAGAGCCTGGGGGCGGGAGGCAAAGGTGAGCAGGAAGGGCCAGAAGGTGACAGTGATGCCAGGAAATACAGAAGGGAGCCTGAGGGGAAGACAGGGAGACAACAGTTCAATAATGCAGGGATGCTGGAATGTCGCTATTTAGAATTTTTTTTTAGACAGGGTCTGGCTCTGTCACTCAGGCTGGAGTACAGTGGCACATTCTTGGCTCACTGCAACCTCCATCTCCTGGGCTCAAGCAATCCTCCCACCTCAGCCAGTGTAACTGAGACTACGGGCCTGTGCCACCATGCCCAACTAGTTTTTGTATATATTATTTTTTTGAGATGGAGTTTTGCTCTTGTTGCCCAGGTTGGAGTGCACTGGCGCAATCTCGGCTCACTGCAACCTCTGCCTCCCAGGTTTTCAAGCGATTCTCCTGCCTTAGCCTCTTGAGTAACTGGGATTACAGGCACCTGCCACCACGTCCAGCTAATTTTTGTATTTTTAGTACAGACACGTTTTACCATGTTGGCCAGGCTGGTCTTGAACTCCTGACGTCAGGTAAACCACCTGCCTCGGCCTCCCAAAGTGCTGGGATTACAGCTGTGAGTCATCCTGCCCAGCCAGTTGTTGTATTTTTTTAGTAAAGACGGGGTTTCTCCTTGTTGCCCAGGCTGGTCTCGAACTCCTGGGCTCAAAGCGATCCTCTTGCCTCAGCCTCTCAAAGTGTTGGGATTACAGGCCTGAGCCACCACACCCAGCCAAAAATTTTTTTAATGAAATCTTACAAGGGCTGTTAGGGTGAGGTGGGAGAGCTGAGGGGTCTAAAGCCAGATAAACTTCAGTGCATTGGCACAGTCACTTCTGAGTGGGATAAATCCTTTAATGTATCTGTCTTGCTTTTCTCATTTGTAAAATGGAAGTACTGCTTACTACTTTCCTCAGGATTGGGAAAAGAGTAAAATTACACATAGTAGGTTCAGAACAAATGTAAGCTCTCACTCTCTCTCTATTTAATTGTAAAGAAGTTCCAAATACCCTGCAGTTCCAAGATGGTCCGCTGCAAACTGGAGGAAAATGGGCTCTGCCTTCAGCAGGTGCCTCCTTGTTTTGTGATTATCTACTGTGTATGCGTCTATCTCCTTCCTACTCTCAGGAATTCACTGGGGCCAGGATTACATCCTGTTTATCTCTGGGGGCCATGGACCCCAGTGCTTGGCTCATCAGAGGTGCTCCTTGCAGCTTTGAAGAACTAAATTGCACAGATGGGCAAAGCAGACATAAACTGTCTTACCCAAAGTCACAGGACAGAACAGCGGCTGAGCTAGTTCTAGAACTTTGACCTCACAGTCCATTGATTTCATGATGCCACATGGTCTCAGACCAAACAGAACAAAGACTCTGATCTCATCCAGTGACATATCAATTCCTCTCCAAATCCCCACCAAATGGGAACTGCCACAGAACGCTGAGCATCCGCGTCACCTTTCTCTTTCTCAGAACAGCATCCACACTTTCACACGGAGGAACAGAACCAACACTCAAAACAACTCTTAAAACACTTTCCTGCAATGTGGTCTCTAAACACAGGAAACAGCAGCTGGCTGCATTGCCAGTAATGCTTATTTGCCAGTCAGGGTGCTAGAGCTCTGTGTGCAAGTTTAAAGCTGTGATCCAGGAACAAAAATAAACCAGCAAAGCAGAAACCGAGGCACCATAAACACGGGTCTAATAAAAGGTTTTTGGAGCCAGGAAAACTTGGGTTAGGGACCCAGCTCTGCCACTTAATCATGGTGCATGTTTAATAAACTCAGTTTCCTCATCTGTAAAATGGGTTTATTAATACTAACTGCAGGCCAGGCACGGTGGCTTATGCCTGTAATCCCAGTACTTTGGGAGACGAAGGTGGGTGGATCACCAGAGGTGAGGAGTTCGAGACCAGCCTGGCCAACATGGTGAAACCCTGTCTCTACAAAAAATACGAAAATTAGCCGGGTATGATGGTGCACGCCTGTAATCCCAGCTCCTCAGGAGGCTGAGACAGGAGAATCGCTTGAACCCAAAAGGCGGAGGTTGCAGTGAGCTGCGATTGTGCCACTGCACTCCAGCCTGGGCCTCAGAGCGAGACTCCGCCTCAAAAAAAAAAAAAAAAAAAAAACTAACTGCAGAGCTTTGCTGTGCTGAGTAAGAAGACAATGTTTGGGCTGGGCGCGGTGGCTCATGCCTATAATCCCAGTACTTTGGGATGCCGAGGAGGGCAGATCACGAGGTCAGGAGATCAAGACCGTCCTGGCTAACATGGTGAAACCCTGTCTCTACTAAAAATGCAAAAAAATTAGCCGGGTGTGGTGGCGGGCGCCTGTAGTCCCAGGTACTGGGGAGGCTGAGGCAGGAGAATGGCGTGAACCGGGGAGGCGGAGCTTGCAGTGAACTGAGATCGCGCCGCTGCACTCCAGCCTCAGCAACAGAGCTAGACTCCGTCTCAAAAAAAAAAAAAAAAAAAGACAGACAATGTTTGTAAGGTGCCATGGCTTATGATTGGCACATAAGAGATGACTGAATGGTATTTACCTCCAACAGCTTTGAGAATCTAATATGAATTCACTTGACAAAATCCAGCTCTTCAGAGGAACGAGGGGCCCCAACTCGAGTTATTTTCACTAGCTCTTTCATGATTCCATAGCACCGTTTACATCTCTGTGTTTGTGGGCACTTAGCAGACTGCTGTATACTTATTTGGTTTTCTTTTTTTATTTTGATATAATTTAATTTTTATTTTTGTTTTCCCTACTAGACTGGGAGCACCAAGGTGGCAGCTCATTCTCTAGCCATATCTGTTTCTTTTGATACTAGCAGAGCACACACTTAATAAATGTGTGTGGGAAAAACAACAACACAGCCCTATTAACAGGAAATTAGTGGAAGAAAAAGAGGCATCCTGAACCCTAGATATGCAGCTCTAAAAAGATACTCTAATATTCTGGCAGGAGTCCAGCAGTAAGCTGAGAAAGGCTGAAGAAATTTGAGAGTACTTCCTTCTTCATCATGATCTTCTTTTTCTTTTAAAGTAGAAAATCCCCTCTGCAGAAAGAGCAATTCCAGAGCAAAGAGGACCAAACAAGGAGATAGGATTGGACTCTTTAGCAAAAAAATATGCATTCTCTCCATCATCAGAAATTGCAGTGACAATAGAAAGAGCGCCAGGCCTTCTGGAACTTTTTTAAGTGACGGAGTCTCACTCTGTCGCCCAGGCTGGAGTGCAGTGGAGCCATCTCGGCTCACTGCAAGCTCTGCCTCCCGGGTTCACGCCATTCTCCTGCCTCAGCCTCCCGAGTAGCTGGGACTACAGGCGCCCGCCACCATGCCTAGCTAATTTTTATTTTTATTTTTGTATTTTTAGTAGAGACGGGGTTTCACCGTGTTAGCCAGGATGGTCTCGATCTCCTGACCTTGTGATCTGCCCGCCTCAGCCTCCCAAAGTGCTAGGATTACAGGCGTGAGCCACCGCGCCCAGCCCTGGAACTTTCTATGGTAAGGAGTTAAAGGTTGGCTAAGGCTATTCCTTTTACTGCTGAAAACTTCAGCCTCCTAACTTACAAATTCAAATCCTCCTGAGTCTCAAGGGCCTGCATCCCCAGCTCAACAGTTCCTTTTCTTCCTCCTAAGGTGGCTGTTCTGCCCTGGCTTGGTTACACTGGACTTGCTTCCCATCTCCTTTGCTGAGGCCTCTCTCAGCAGTAATCCCTTCCCAAAATGCTGAGCACAACTCACTGTCACGTGCCCAGAGGCCAGACAGTGGCTGGCCAGTGAACGCTTGCCCAACCAGCGAATGCTGAGGGCTCATCTTTCCTAAGGCCATTGCTCAATTCCATCAGTTCATCACTGCACATCCCCTCAGCCCTGGGGTATGGATAATCCATCCCTAACCAACCTGAGAATCATGCCCATGAAAGCCGCTATCCAGAAGCTGATCCATAAAGGACACCCCTAGAGGCCATGTCCCTACTGCAGGCTGGCCCAGCCTGGTCCCCCAGGGACTTTAGGTATGCTCCTGACTCCAACACAGAATGCTTGGGTCCTTCTGAGGAGGCTAACCAGGAAGCTCTGCTGTGCTCACTCAGAACCAGAGAAAACTCTCGCTGAGGAGGTCGAGCATCTGTACGTGGGCCAATGGTTTCCAAAAGTTGTTTTTTCTTGTGAACTGAAATCTGACCCTGTCCCCAGCAATTATAACCACTCATTAAAGTTCACAAAATAGGCCGGGCACTGTGCCTCACGCCTGTAATCCCAGCACTTTGGGAGGCCGAAACAGGCAGATCACCTGAGGTCAGGAATTCGAGATCAGCCTGGCCAACATGGTGAAACCCCATCTCTACTAAAAACACAAAAAGTAGCTGGGTGTGGTGGTGTGCATCTGTGATCCCAGCTACATGGGAGGTTGAGGTTGAGGCAGAAGAATCGCTTGAATCCGGGAGGCAAAGGTTGCAGTGAGCCAAGATTGTACCACTGGACTCCAGCCTGGGTGACAGGGAGACTCCATCTCAAAAAAAAAAAAGTTCACAAAATAGGCATCCGTTTTTCAGTTGACAGCCCTTTCACTCTTAGAGGAGAGATACCCTCCATCCCTCTCCATCATACCACATTATGTTGAAGTCATCTGCTTGGGTCTGTCTTCTTCAAGAGGTTGAGGGCTCCTTGTGGTCAGGGTCTTATTCATGATTGTACCTTCAGAATGCGGCACAATTCCCAGGTGCCTGACACAAAGTCACTGCTCAGTAAACTTTTGTTGGACTAACAGGAGCCTGGTTCTGTCCTGCCTCAACATCTTCCTTATCTCTGCATGTCTTTTCCAGACTAAACATCGGTAGCCCTGCATGACCTGTTTCCCAGGACAACCCATTCTGGGGCAGCGGCTGGTGCCCCAGCATGCAGAAGATGGAAAAGGAACATTAAAAAACCAAACAACAAAAAACAAACCAAAAAAAACTTCACATACTGAGATTCCATCCTCCACATCCTTCGGAGCCAGCTGCACAGCAAACAGCAACCGTCTGTTTACTCAACACCCCCTGGGAGTCATCCCATTCGGAAGTCTTCACCAGTCACGCACAATGCAGGCCATCTCACCGAGGCGGTTTTCCTGGTGTCCCACCGCTCTTCCTCTGAGGCCCATCTCTCCTGCTCCACTGGTCTGTAAGGCTGGCAGCCACAGGCCGGAACAAGACAGCCCACTTGTGGCCTCCCTGCCAAGGCCTGATGGATAAAGTGATACCGGGAGATCTGTGGTGTCTGAGGCGGCCAGACAGCAAGGGGACACAGCTGTCTGTTCAGCCTTCCATTTGTGGGCCTGTGGTCTTACGTTTGGAGGAAGATAAGAACTTCAAATATTCTCCTCCAACCTGATGTAGAAAAGCTGCTGCAGATCTGAGGCCTGACGTCCCAGGAGGGTATCTTGATTGCTCAGTGGATCTTCAAGACCAGGTGCACACCACCATGCTGGCTAATTTTTATGCATTTTTTGTAGAGATGGGGTTTTGCCATGTTGCCTAGGCTAGTCTTGAACTCCTGGCCTTAAGCAATCTGCCTGCCTCATCCTCCCAAAGTGCTGGGATTATAGGCGTGAGCCACTGCGCCTGGCCCATGGATTTTTCTTGACAAGGCAGCAGCTCTGAACTTGCGAGGCCAGGCAGAAGGCAGGAGTGGTGTGGCTCCCACTGCGCACTGAGGAGCGCCACACTCCTAAGCCAGCTCCCCGCATCTCTGTTCCCCTCCTCAGAACACTCATCACACAAACTGAATGCTATTTTAATTATTCCTTCTAGCAGGGTGTGGTGGCTCACGCTTATAATCCCAGCACTTTGGGAGGCCGAGGTGGGCAGATCACCTCTGGTCAGGAGTTCGAGACCAGCCTGGGCAACGTGGCGAAACCCCATCTCTACTAAAAATACAAAAATTAGCCGGGCGTGGTGGAGCACGTCTGTAATCTCAGCTACTCGGGAGGCTGGGGAAGGAGAATCGCTTGAACCTAGGAGGCGGAGATTGCAGAGAGCCACAGTCGCACCATTGCACTCCAGCCTGGGCAACAGAGCTCAGTCTCGATAAATAAATAAATGAATAAATAAATAATAAATTATTCCCTAGGCTCCATCTAGGTCTTGAGGAGGCTGGGGAGGAAACAGAAACACACTCTTACCAGAAGACTTAGAATAGTTTATTAACATACCCAGAGTCCCCTTCTGTACTCAACACTGTAAGCCCAACCACCATGCCTACCATTTATCGTGCACTTAAGGTCAGGCTCTGCACTCACCATTCTTATGTGTATTATCTCATCTAATCATTGTAACAATTCCTTGAGGCACAGACTATTACCTTCATTTAACAGAAGACAAAACTGAGCTTAGAGGAATTTGGTAACCTAAGTGGAGTAGGAATTTGAATGTACATCAGTTTGATCATACACTCAAGTACCAGACACACCACTCTGCATTCTGCCCCAGGAGCCCTTTCTTGAGGCCACAAGAATAGGAACATGCTTCCTATTTCTACCACAGAGGTTCATCTGGCAGCAGCAGGTGGAGGCTGGGATAGGTGGTTGGCAGAGACTTGGTGCTCTGTGACCCGTAAGTACAATCCTGTCCCCATTTTCTCACAGTTGGGAGCTGAGATGGGCAGTGTATATACACACACACACACACACACATTCACACTCAGAAACACATACACACACACACTATTCCAGAAAGTGTGATAACCATTCCAACTCCAGACCACATCACTAGACAGCCAACCCCACTGCATTTAGCTGGGGCCAAGTCAAAGAACAAACCAATGGGCAAGTCGGGTTGCCCTCTTGACCCCAGTTCCATGTAATCTAGAGACTTCATATCATTTATTTAGATCTCAAGTTTCCTTCCTTCTGCTGTTCATCAAACCTTCATGAACACTAGCTACATGCCAATACCATGGATGCTGGCTAAGAACTCTTGAGTGTGCAGTTGATTGCCTGGGATTTGCATCCTGGTTTCTACCACTTTCTAGCTGTGTGATGTTGGGCAAGTTCAAATCTCTGTGCTTCAGTTTTCTTATCTGTAAAATGGGTATAATAATAGTTCCTATCTCATAGGGTTGTTATGAAGAATAAAACAAAATAATACATATGTTAGGTGTTTAAAATATTGTCTGGCACACTGTAGGTACCCAGTGAAGGTTAGCTATGACTACCTGGTGCTTGGGTTGGAAATGGTAAGGGTGACAAGTTAGTAACAGAAATGTCATGAACTCAGGGGAAAGGCAGACCAAGCGCTTACATACACACATGCTGTGGCTGACAGAATAATAGTCACCAAAGCTGTCCATGTCCTAATCTGCAGACCCTGTGAATATGTGACCTTACATGGCAAAAGAGACTTTACAGATGTGATTCAGCTGAGGAGCTTGAGCTGGGAAGATATAATCATTAGGGCCCTTACAAGGAAAGGAGTGAGGCAGGAGAGTCACAGACAGAGACAGGAGGTGATGATGATGAGGAGGGCTTGGAGTGACGTACTTGAAGATGGAGGAGGAAGGGGCCACTAGCCAAGGGATGGAGGCGGACTCTGGAAAAAGTCAAGGAAACACATTCTTTCCAGGAAGAACACGGTTCTATTGACGCGTTGACGTTAGCCTATGATATGCATTTCAGACTTTTGACTTCCTAACTGAATAAATGGGAATGCATGTGTGTTGTTGTAAGCCACTGAATTTGTAGTAATTTGTGAGAGCAGCCATAGGAAGCTACTACACATGCTTTTGGCTATATTTGCTGCATTTCACAAAGCCTCTTGTATTTCACAAAAGCCACCTGCTAACTCATTATGACTCATGTCCCTAGTTCCCAAGGGATAAAGTGAAAATTTAAGCTTCCAGAAGGATGTGTTTACTTTGGTGGAGATGGCTTCTCGAGTGACTCCTTCTGTTCCTCACGCTGACGGAATTAGCCTCTCTGAAACAGTGGTGCTTGGCAAGGAAGAAGACTAGAATAGCCCACTAAATACCACACAAAACCAACAGTTCACAGTACTTTGAGAGCCTCAAAGTACCAGGACCCAATTGTTGGTAACAAATAATAGTATCACTTTGCATGTGCATGACTTTTTGTGGTTTTTATTACTTTTATATCCACTGCCTCATTTCGATGCAGCCACCTATAGAAATAACGTTCAAAACCACATCCTCAGAAAGTGACAGATCCAGGACTTGAGCCAAGTCTTTTGTCTCTAAAGCCAATTTTCTTTCTGCTATAGCAGAATATCGCTTGTTCTTACCCTCATGGATGGGTGACTGAGACTACTGTCTATCCCTTCAATATCCTATCACTGGTACAAGTGGCACTTTCTCACCCAAGCATCTCACCCACCTAGAGAGATGCCCACTCCCATGGCCTACGGACAGGTTAGCTTTGTCTTCTACAGGCTGAGATGCAAACAAAAGGCCAGAAGCAAGAGAGGAGCAAAAGGAAAAGACAGAGAAAACCATATGAAAAGGCTAATTCAGAGAACAGATCCTCCCATTCTTCCAGAAAACAGAGCCAAAACCTTGTTAGAAAGCTGACTCGGCCACGCATGGTGGCTCAAACCTGTAATCCCAGCACTTTGGGAGGCCGAGGTGGGAGGATCACCTGAGGTCAGGAGTTCAAGACCAGCCTGGCCAACATAGTGAAACCCCAACTCTACTAAAAATACAAAAAAAATAGCCTGGTATGGTGGCAGGCGCCTGTAATCCCAGCTACTTGGGAGGCTGAGGCAGGAGAATCGCTTGAACCTGGGAGGCAGAGGTTGCAGTGAGCTGAGACTGCATCATTGCACTCCAGCCTGGCAACAAGAATGAAATTCTATCTCAAAAAGAAAGAACAAAAGAAAGCTGTCTCTAGGTGCCTGGACTCAGAGAAGTAGCCTGATATGGAAAAAAGAAACCATGGTCTCAACTGAGATCAGCAGGCCTAAGCTCTGGTTTCTATCACAGACTAGCCGTGTGGGATCTTGAAAATATCACTTCATTTTCTGGTCTCATTTTACTTAAGTGTAAAGAAAAAGGGTACTAGACTAGATGAGCCCTACTAGCAATTCCAGCTACAGATTTCTGAGCGTCTACCTCTGGAGGTTTCTTCCAAGCAGGATCTTACACCTGAGGCATAATATTAAATTATTTGAACTGTCTACTGGCCTTCCCAGAATTTTTCCTCTCCTCTCAAACTGAAGAGTATTGCTCCTGTCTTATTGGTGCTTCAGATGTAATCGTGTGCTCCCTGTCTGGTTTATGACCCTCACCCTCCCACACTGATGTGTCTTCCATCTTCTGTCTCTTGCCTCGCATTTACCACGCTTTATCATAATCGTGTATCTTCCACCCTAGATTGCCAGTTTCCTGAGGGTGGAGATTATAGCTAATTATCTTTATACTCTCAACTCCTGTTATAATAGGATATTATAGTTGCACATAAATGTGTGAAGTGTCTGTACAGTATATACATACATATACAGAGAGAGAGAAAGAATGGACTGGGCGCGGCGGCTCACATCTGTAATCCCAACACTTTGGGAGGCTGAGGCGGGTGATCACCTGAGGTCAGGAGTTTGAGACCAGCCTGGCCAACATGGCAAAACCCCGTCTCTACTACAAATACAAAAATTAGCCAGGTGTGGTGGTGGTGCGTGCCTGTAATCCCAGCTACTTAGGAAGCTGAGGCAGGAGAATCGCTTGAACCCAGGAGGCAAAGGTTGCAGTGAGCTGAGATCACAACATTGCACTCCAGCCTGGGTGACATAGTGAGACTCTTTCTCAAAAAAAAAAAAAAAAAAAAAAAAGAATGCCATTATCAGGGGATTTGTCATGGAGAAAGTGGCTGAGGACCCTGGGCAGATCACTGTGCATCTTCATAGGTGATTTGGGGTAATCCCCTTAGTCTGGCTTGCTTCACAGGGTGTGAAGCTTAATAAGACTTGTGGCAGAAGAGATGAGGAGAGTGAGAGAGGAGGGGAAGAGAAAGTGAAAAGAAGGGAAGAGGAGCCAGATGCATTACAGTGGAACTAGTTCTCCAGGATGGGTAAAATCTGATTAGGAAAAAAGAGGGGAAAAAAATGAGCAATCAGGCAATTCAAGGAAAAGTTGATTCAAAATGAAACTGCAGCTGGGCGCGGTGGCTCATGCCTGTAATCCCAGCACTTTGGGAGGCCGAGGCGGGTGGATCACAAGGTCAGGAGATCGAGACCAGCCTGGCAAACATGGTGAAACCCCGTCTCTACTAAAAATACAAAAATCAGCTGAGCATGGAGGCGCGCGCCTGTAATCCCAGCTACTCAGGAGGCTGAGGCAGGAGAATTGTTTGAACCCGGGAGGCAGAGGTTGCAGTGAGCCGAGATCGTGCCATTGCACTCCAGCCTGGGTGACAGGGCGAGACTCCGTCTCAAAACGAAAAACAAAACAAAAAACAAAAGAAAAAAAAAACAAAAACGAAACTGCAGATGCCATGGTTGAGAACTCCAGCGACCCTGCATCGTTCCACATGTCTGTGTCTAAATAGACTGTACACAAAAGCAGCCATGAGGCAGATTTCTTCCTAAGGTAAAGGAATAAACACTTAGGGAGCGAACGCTCTCTGTAAATGTTTTTGAAAGGCGCACCATCAACGTGGAAGCAGGATTCTAAACAATCCTGCTACCTGAATCACCAAGAAGGTTCACCCAACAAAACCTGAAAGAAATCGGGAGCATGCAGCTGCCTCTGGCCATCTGTGCAGTCGGCTTCCCCCTGGCATTTTCCAGACTGCCATGAGAGGCTACAGCGGTGGTTCTTTCAGCTTCCCACTCTGCACGAGAACAGCCTTGGTCCTGGTGGAGTTCACTGCCACAGTTGCTTTATGTACAAGAATGTTTATGCTTCCACAGAGGCCGGGAGCACAACGGGAAGTGTCACCCAAACAGCTGGTGACTCCACAGAAGGGAAGATGTCCCTTTAATTTAAAAGGTGCCCCTGAGCAATCTATTTGCCTCAGGTGCTGGGCTCAAGGCACTACCTTCCTCTTATTTAACCAGCACTTTGGTTGTATTTTGCAAGAAAACAAATTGTTTGTTTTTGTTTTGTACCAATTTGAGAATTATACTATTGCATACTAGTAAACGGCTCCCCACCACTGTAATTGCCTCATATCTTTCTTCCTTTCCGTTTATTTACTCTCTAAAATATCAAGTCCTGAAGAGTTTTCTTTAAAGGGAGAGGAGAAGAATTTGACCATAAAGCACTGTGAAAAACAAAACAAAAACAGGAACAGAAAAGCCAAATGCTCTGGAACAGAGAAGCACACCCATGAAGCAGTGAGAGCATCCTCGTGCTGTCCAAAAACACTGGTCCAGGCTGGGCGCAGGGGCTCATGCCTGTAATCCCAGCACTTGTGGGAGGCTGAGGCGAACGGATCACTTGAGCCCAGGAGTTTGAGACAAGCCTGGGCAATGTAGTGAGACCCCCATCTCTACAAAAATAAAAATAAAATAAATTTTAAAATTATCCAGGTGTGGTGGGGCACACCTGTAGTTCTCACTGTTCAGAAGGCTGAGGCAGGAGGATTACTGGAGCCCAAGTGTTCGAGGCTGCAATGAGCTAGGATCGTGTTATTGCACTGTAGCCTGGGAGACAGAGTGAAACACACACGAGCCGGGCGCAGTGGCTCACACCTGTAATCCCAGCAGGCCTCAAAAAGGCAGGCCTAGGTCAGGAGATGGAGACCATCCTGGCTAACACGGTGAAACCCCGTCTCTACTAAAAATACAAAAAAATTAGCTGGTATTGGCGGGCGCCTGTAGTCCCAGCTACTTGGGAGGCTGAGGCAGGAGAATGAAGTGAACCCGGGGGGCGGAGCTTGCAGTGAGCTGAGATTGCGCCACCGCACTCCAGCCTGGGCGACAGAGCGAGACTCCGTCTCAAAAAAAAGGCAGGCCTGCCCTCCGAGGGTCACTGTGGAGAACGTGCAGCCAGCTCAAAAGAGCAGTTGACTTCAGAGTGCCAGATGGGAAAAACCTGACATTTACCTTTTCCTCCGGAGAACTGCACAGAATTTAGCAGGGTGCTGCATGCACAGTAAGAGCTCAGACAGTTTCTGGATGTTCATCTAGGACACTTCACCATGGGCCTCACCGTCATAGATAGTAAGTGGCAAAGAGCATGACTGCAAAGTCACCAGGAAAACAGGGATGTGAGCAAGATGAAACAAGAAAAGGGATCACCTATCACATACCGAGGGCCCCGGGCAGAGGGTCCAGAGGACTGCGATCACTGCCACATCTACCCACCCATCCTCCAGGGAAAAGAGAAAAACCACAGATTCTCCATAAGCCTTTGGGCAAATAGAAAGTGGCCCCTGGGAGAATCCATCCATGAAAATGACAAAAGTGTTCAGTTCAATGAGGATCATAGTCATCTCATTCTTCTGGCAATGGCTCTGCATTCTGCTTGGCTGAGTCTGTCACCCTGCAGAGAGGATCCATTCTTGAGTGTGGTTTTTTCTCCCCACTCTCTCTCTTAGGCTTGAGTCTGATTCCATTTGAAAGTAATCAGAAGACAACCATATGGTACCCCTTCCAGTCCCCAGCCCCTGCCATTTATTATAGTCAGCAGCTTGGGTGGTGCTCTCTCTGCCCTGGGTCTGCTTTTTCTCAGGCCCCGCACCCCTCTGGGCACTCTAGAGAGAGAAGCACAGAGAGCAGAATGCAGTTATCAGGGAGAAAGCATCCACTGGCCTCTGCCCTATCTTACAGCCTTATACCCAAAGCTCAGTGAGGAACAGAGAACCATAAAAGTGGAAGGCGACCAAGGAACCAAACCACAGAGGGAGCCATGTGGAGTAACATCACCACTTGAGTAGCACTAATACCGACCTCATTTCTGAGGGTGTGCCCAATGCCAGGCGCTCTCCAGCTGTTTGCGTGGTTTGGCACCCTTCTCTCACAAAGGTCCTTCAAGACAAGTGCTGTTATTGTCTGCATTGTACAGACAGGAAAATTGAGGCTTAGCATGTTCAGCAACTTGCCCAAGGTCAGTCCCTCAGCTGGTAAGAGGCAGAGCTGGAATTCAAAGCCAGGCTGCCACAAGTTCAGACTTCTGTCTATCAGGGCAGGATGGATGGGGCAGATAATGATGGGGTCTCTTCAGCTTCTGGATGGCCAAGAAAGGAGATACCCTTACACAGGCTTATGCCGGCTGGGATTGGGGAGGCAGTGATAGTACCACCACATCATCATCAGCTGGAGCAAAGCTGGCGGGAGACACAGGATTCCCTAGGTTGGCTGCCTCTCTGAAAAGCAACGCCTTTAGCTCTGCGAATGACTGTCCACTCCCTGAAAGGGAGCTGGACTTTGAGGCAGCTGAGGGTGGGGAGCAGGTGGTGATCAAAGCCACAGGATAGAACAGTGAGGCAGGATACTCTTCAATCTCTGTAGTACTTAATCTTCCAAACCTCAGTTTCCTCATTAAATTATCAATGTCTGAGACTTAATAGTGATTATGTATGTGACTCTGCTTTGTAAGCTCGAACATGGTCTAAAAACTTAAGGTATTATTAGAAATTCTGGCGTAAGGCCAGGCGCGGTGGCTTATGCCTGTAATCCCAGCACTTTGGGAGACCAAAGCAGGCGGATTGCCTGAGCTCAGGAATTCGAGACTAGCCTGGGCAACATGGTGAAATCATGTCTCTATTAAAATACAAAAAATTAGCTGGGCATGGCGGCATGTGCCTGTAGTCCCAGTAACTCAGGAGGCTGAGGCAGGAGAATTGCTTGAACACGGGAGGCGGAGGTTGCAGTGAGCCGGGATTGTGCCACTGCACTCCAGCCTGGGAAACAGAGCGAGACTCCATCTCAAAAAAAAAAAAAAAAAAAAAAGACATTAGCGCGTAAGAGGGAATTTTCATAGAAGCTGTGTGCAAGGGGTTATAATTACCCTACTAGCACATCCAAATACCTGAAGGTCTACTCAGCAATTAAAAGAGATAAACTATTGATACATGCAGGATGAGTCTAAAAAATATGCTGAAGGAAAGAAGCCAAGTACAAGGGTATGCACTGTATGACCTACATGCAAATCTAGGAAATGCAAACTAATGTACAGTGAAAGAAAGCAACTGGGCTGGGCGTGGTGTCTCATGCCTGTAATCCCAGCACTTTGGGAGGCCGAGGCGGGCGGATCACCTGAGGTCAGGAGTTCGAGACCAGCCTGACCAACATGGAGAAACCCTGTCTCAACTAAAAATACAAAATTAGCCAGGCGTGATGGTGCATGCCTGTAATCCCAGCTACTTGGGAGGCTGAGGCAGGAGAATCACTTGAACCTGGGAGGCGGAGGTTGCATGCAGTGAGCTGAGATCGCAGCATTGCACTCCTGCCTGGGCAACAAGAGTGAAACTGTCTCAAAAAAAAAAAAAAGAAAAGAAAAGAAAAAGCGACTGGTGGCTGCTCAGGGTTGGGGGTTGAGAGAGGACTAACCACAAAGGGGTACAAACGAAACTTTTAGGGGCAGTGAACGTACTGTGTCTTGTAGCAGGTAATCACACAGGTACAGTTGTCAAAATGTATCAATCTTTAAATAGGGTTAGCTGATTGTACATGAGTTATAACTCAAAAAAGTTTTTTTAAAAAAAGCACATCGGCTGGCCGGGCAGGGTGGCTCCCACCTGTAATCCCAGCACTTTGGGAGGCCAAGGCGGGATGATCACTTGAGGTCAGGAGTTCGAGACCAGCCTGACCAACATGATAAAACTCTGTCCCTACTAAAAATACAAAATTAGCTGGGCATGATGGCACATACCTGTAGTCCTAGCTACTTGGGAGGCTAAGGCAGGAGAATCACTTGACACCTAGGAGGCAGAGGTTGCAGTGAGCTGAGATCACGCCATTGCACTCCAGCTTGGGCAACAAGAACGAAACTCTGTCTCAAAAAAAAAAAAAAAAAGAAAAAAAGCATATCAAGGTATTTTTTTTTTTGTTTTTTTTTTTTTTGGAACCAGGACCTCGTGTAGCCTGGAAAGTTCAGGAGACTTGCAGTTTAGCCTGAGGCTCTTATGGCAATGCAGTCCCTGCATACCAACTGTGTGACTCTAGACACGTCCTGAACTCCTCTAAGCCTCCAGTCTCATCTTAAAACAAAGCATATGTTGTGTGCTTTACCTCACAAGACTGCTGTGGGGTATCTAATACACATAAGAGCAATTTTTACAGTGTATAATAACACAGATAGAAGGGCGTGTTATGTGGGTGCACAGTCACAGCAGGTAGATTAGAGACTTCCTTGCCCTGCCCACCTATAAGAGCCCTTCAGCTCCAGGTGGGTTCCAGTTTTTCCTCTTTCTGTCTATCCAAGGCTGGGAAAGCAGCTGCAGCCCCCACGCCAGAGTCAGCTACATTTCAGAGATGTTGGGTTGGCCAAGTGTTCTCAGAGGATCCAATGTCAACCAACAGGTAAGCTGGAAAAAGCCAGGGAAACCAGATACTTTAATTCATGGGCTCCACATGCCGCTTCTCAACTCCTCATGCAGCCAACTTGGAGCTGCTTTTATCTTTGGGCAGTGAGGCATAGCTAACACAGCTTACTGTCCAAAGCCAAGTCAAAAGCGCTCATTCCAGCTCTTTCCTTCTGCCACTGCCTTGCTCTTTAATTTGGCATTGTTCAAATATTCTCAGTAGAAAAAAAAGGACAATCCAATAATACACGTAAATCCTCGCCAGACACCTCAACCACCATCTCACCTCCTCTCCCTTCTTGCAATCCAACACAATAATGCCCCAATCACATCTTGCATCCTGATCCTATCTTTAACTTTCCCAAGTTCTTTTCTGTCTGTTATCTCATTTTGTCTTTGGAAAGGCCCGTGACACATGACAGGTCTTGCCACGCACAGAAGCTGGTGAAGATATTAAGGAAAAGAGGTTAAATAGAAGACCTAAAAGGTGCAGATATCATTCAGAAGCTAGACCAGACCTTAGGACCTTTGATCCCTGCCACAGTGTCCTTCCCAAGACTATTATCTCTTAATCACTGGAAACATTAAAAAGCCATTTGTTGTAGACAAAGTTCTAGCCACCAGCAGCCTCAAAAAATAAAAATAATAAAAAAACTCATCAGGGTTGTATCAGCAAGGATTCCTCCAATTCAATTATTCAGTGACTTGCTCCAAGGCCCAGCATCAGCCCCAAGCTACAGAAGAGATGAGAGCCTGTCTCCCCAGAAACCAGAGGTCAGCAGGGGGATGACAGTGCTCTGACATCGGATCTGGCTGTGCAAAGTGATGGCTCTGATCTGAGTCCTGTCCCATCTTCTCCGGTGTTAGGCTCAGACCCTCTCCTGGCCTGTGAGGTCTCCTCTTCCTCAGGTCTTTGCCCCCAATACATTCTTTCTTTTCCTTCCAACCAACCTCACTAGCCTCAAGGAAGCTGGACCCTTATTTTTAGAACCCTTAAAACAGGGAAGTGCTAGTGGGCATAGAAAAAAGGAAGCGATTGGCCATTTTGACCTTTGAAAGGTTTCCTTCCTGATGCCTCCCGAACACCTCCTTAACTTGGACTTGCACACGAGCGCACACGCACACACACACCGTGAAATCGCCACTTCTCAGTCCTCCATGAGGCAAATTCTCCTATAGCAGTGTCTAAGTTGGACTGAAGTTCATATAGTGGAATGGAAAAAACCTAGCCCAGCTCCAGGGAGTAATGAGCTAGAGAGAGCACACCCTGAGGTCACCCTGCTTGAGCCAGCCCTGCAGCCCTCTGGTCCTCTTAGCTCTGTCAAGCACTTAACAAGCATGCAGTCATTAATTGCGTTCCCCTCAGAGGGCAACAGCATGGCCCTGAGGGGACTAAGTGACTTTTGCAAGACCACAGCACAGTGCAGCCCAGCACGGGCTGGGTGGGATCCAGCCTTGCTGGCCTCAACCCTCTCTGCCAGCCCACCAAGAGCCTGGCCTGAGTGCCCCTTCTTGGTGCCGCACACCACCAGACCCAGTTACACCCATAGGGGAAACTAGAGCTGTCAGCCCTGGCTGCTGTCACTCTGTCAAAAGGGCCTAGAGCTGTCAGCCCTGGCTAATGTCAGTCTGTCAAAAGGGCCAGGTTTGAGACAACCATCTTACCCCTTCTTAAAGCATCACATCCAAGTCTTCTAGACCCAGGAGACCATCACTGCTCTTTGGGGCTTTGGATTTTCATTATGCTCAGCCCTCCAGGCATAAAGCTCAAGAGAGAAGCTTCTGATGAGCTAAGCCCGATGCCCTTGCTCTTTCTTCTCAACTCTCAAAAATGAAGTTAAATGCCTGTTCTCTGAAGCCTCCGAGGGCCCCTCTTCATACTGGTCTAAGTTACTGGGGGGAAGGCCGACCACATCAGCCTTTCTGGGTTGAAGTAGAGGAGGGAAGCAAGCCTGGGCAAGGAGTCCAACTAGATCAGGTGACCTCCAGGACCTTCACTCCCTTCCAGGCAGAGAATTTAAGAAAAAGAGCAGCAAACCCAACCTCCCTCTCTCCAGGCCTGCTCTTGTTACCTCTTTGGTAAAGAGGGGCAGTGCTAGTAGTAATATAATAATAGCTGTGATAGGCTAAATAATGATCCCCCAAAAGACACCCACATCCTAATCCCTAGAAGCTGTGAATGCCGCCTTATACATTTTTTTTTAAAGGACTTTGCAGATAATGATCTTGAGATGGGGAGATTACTCTGGATTATCCAAGTGGGCCCTAAGTACAACCACATGTATCCTTATAAGAGACATGCCAAGGAAGATTGGACACAGACAGAAAACAAAGACAATTTGACCACAAACGCAGTGATTGGATTGATGCAGCCACAAGCCAAAGAATGCCAGCCCCCAACAGAAGGTAGGAGAGGCAGGGAGTGGATTCCCCTAGAGCCTCCAGAGGGAGCACGGCCCTGCTGATGCCTTGATTTCAGCCCAGCGATACTGATTTTCAACTCCTGGTCTCTACAATTGTGAGAGAATAAATTTCTGCTGTTCTAAGCCACTCAGTTTGTGACAATTTGTTACAGCAGTCACAGGAAGCTAATACAGTAACTAACACTTCACGATTGCTCACTATGTGCCAGGAACTGTTCTAAGCATTTTACCCACATTCAATCATTTCTATCCTGGCCCTACTGGCCCTAGATGGTGTGAGGCCTGGGCTGTGCAGATAGAATACCTGGGTTTGAATCCCAGCTTCACTGCTTACTGTTGTGACCTTGAGCAAGTTATGCAACCCTTCTAAACCTCAGTTGCCCAATTCATAAAATGGGCATGTGGTACCTTCCTCATTGAGTTGCTAGGAGGATAAAATGGGTAATAAAGATATAAGTACTTAGAACAGTATGGAGTAAGTATTCAATACATGCTAGCTATTAGGAGACCTCAGGGGTTAAACAAGCCAAAAATGACCCTTATGCTAATCTGTCAAGACATGTCAAGACCTCCTGGACTCAGAGCAGGAGAAAAGATGTCCCTTTAAAGCTGATTTGAATTTGAATCTCAAATATGACTGAGGAGTTCAGTTAAGTATTTCTTCCCTTAATTAAGCAATTTAGGTTTTTAATGCTGGCCTTATTTCAAAAAAGGCAGTAGCCTGAGACTATGCTAATTCTGCAGCATTCCCCAGCTGACTTCCCCACTCCCACCTCCAGCTTTTTTTTTTTTTTTTTCTTGAGATGAAGTCTCGCTCTGTAACCCAGGCTAGAGTGCAGTGGTGCGATCTTGGCTCACTACAACCTCCACCTACTGGGCTCAAGCGATTCTCTTATCTCAGCCTCCCAAGTAGCTGGGATTACAGGCATGCACCACCCCACCCAGCTAATTTTTGTATTTTTAGTAAAGACAGGGTTTCACCATGTTGGCCAGGCTGGTCTCAAACTTCTGATCTCAAGTGATCCGGCTGCCTCAGCCTCCCAAACTGCTGGGGTTACACCCAGCCCCACCTCCAGTTTTTAAGGAGAGCTGTGCACATTGATCATCCACACCGACGACTTCACCTGAAGCGTCCACACCTGACACACCCCTGCAGAACCCACATTTTCTCCCTGTAATTCTGGTATCAGGAACTGGAGCCCTAGTATTAGGAAGTCGTATTGGGACGTCAGTGGAAGGCAGAAACCATCAGTCCATTTTGCAGCCTTCTAAGGCCACTCCAACGTGTCCCAGCAGCCTGGAGAATAACAAATTCAAGGGTCTACTTTGATTAACAGATTACAACCAAGTTAGTAGAGAATAAACAAGGTTTGCCCAGAGATAAGGGAGGGGAGACATAAAGTTATTGCCTGTAATCCCAGCACTTTGGGAGACCGAGGTGGGTGGATCACCTGAGGTCAGGAGTTCGAGACCAGCCTGGCCAACATGGCAGAACCCCATCTCTTCTAAAAATATAAAAATTAGCCCGGTGTGGTGGCGCATGTCTATGGTCCCAGCTACTCAGGAGGCTAAGGTGGGAGAATCGCTTGAACCTGGGAGGCGGAAGTTACAGAGATTGCGCCACTGCACTCTAGCCTGGCGACACAGCGAGACTCCGTCTCAGAAAAATAAATACATAAATAAAGTTATCACCTGAAAAAAAAATGTGAGAAGGGAAAAAAATAAAAAGGACTTTCATTTACTTGGCCCTCACTGATTAAGTTTGGCCAACTCTCCTGTTCAGGTGCTGTAATTCAAAGATGAAAAGAAGCTGCGCCCAGTCCGGACGCCAGGCCTTGTGTCCCCACCTAAGAAATCTGCACGGCAGGGATTAACCAGGGGAGAAGGGCCTGGCCGCTGGGCCTTGGCTTCCTCTTAGGCAGAGTTCCAGCCCCTGAGACTTGAGCCGACCGGCCTGAGACGACTCCGGCCGCCGCCACCCTATGCTGGCAAACAGGCCTCTCCCCAGCAGGCTCCAGGGGCAGCCACCTGCGCTCTCCCTGCCCTCCCCTACCCCACTCTCCTAGAGGAAGGATGAAGAACAGCTCCCCCTCCTTACTCTCAGGCACCCACAGATTTCTGAGCTGCCGTCACCACTGACGAGAACCCAGGTCCCCTGGAGGGATCGCTTCTCCTTCTGATTCCATCCTCCCCATCAATGAACACGCAGGAACACCCACGCTCCCGCTCCTCCTACTCCAGGGGGAGACCGAACCCGAGAGCGACATCCGGAGCTGGAAGCCGCTGCAACGGGGGCGCCGGCCTCCCTGCCCCGCAGTCTCCCGCCCTTTCCCAGACACCGGAGGATCCCAGACCAGCCCAGTATTCCAGACGGAGAGGGTGCCCGAGTCCTCCGCAGGGCCCCGCCTCCCTAGGCGCTCGGCGCTGGAGACCTAGGGGAGCGCGCGAGAGAAACGCTGAGCTCCACCCGGCTGGGGCGGAGGCTGAGCACTATACCCGGGACTCGAACCCCGCGCCCTCGTCCCCCAGCTTTAGGCATCCCACGGCGAGCCCTGGCCCAACGCCCCCGCGCCGCGTCTTCCCCCGCACCCCCGCCCGGAGCCGAGTCCCGGGTTGCCAGCGCGCCCATCCCGCCCCCAACAGGTCTCGGGCAGCGGGGAGCGCGCTGCCTGTCCCGCAGGCGCTGGGAGGCGAGCCGGAGCGAAGCCGAGGGCCGGCCGCGCGCGCGGGAGGGGTCGCCGAGGGCTGCGAGCCCGGCCACTTACGCGCGGGCTCTGGGGAACCCCATGGAGAGGAGCACGTCCAGCGCCGATCCATGCTTGATGGTGCCGGGGCGCTGTTGGCGGTTCCTCCGGGGGGTGACTTTGCTGTACAGCTCCTCTCTCGCAGCCATGCCGAGCGGACTGGGGTGGCCGTACTGAGCCATGGCTCAGCGGCCAGCCATCGCCAGGGAAGGAGCCCGAGCCGGATGGTTCGGGAAGGAGGAGGGAGTCGGGCTGGGCCAGGGGAGGGGGCTCGGGGACCCAGAGCCAGGCAGGAGGCGGCGGCAGCGGAGGCGGCGCTCCGAGCTTCCCCAGTGTCGGGACTCTGACGCTTCCTGGTGAGGCCACAGGAGCCAGAACGCCGGCAAGCGGCCGCTGCGGGACCAGCCTCAGCCACTCGGGCCCCCGGCTGCCCCCAGCTCTGCGCCTGCAGTAGCCCTGTCTCCTCCGCCCCCTTCCCTCTCCTCGCCTAGCAGTCCGGGAATTTGCAATGAGTAATTTTTGAATGGATCAAAAAGGAAAAGGAGCCTTGTGGGCTGGCCCTGACTTGCCTGTACCCGGGCCCCGCCCCTCTCTTAAAGCGGCCGCGCTGTCCGAGGCTGCTCCGTGCGGGCAAGAGCTGTAGTCGCGCTACTTGGAGACGGAGGATCCCAACCTTATGGGCTGCTTGTGTGCTTCACCTCCCGAGAGTCACCCCCGGCGCCCCAGCCCTCTCCTTGGCTGGCATACCCGCCCAGCTGGGCCTCAAGACAGGAGATCAACCCATCTCAAGTTTCATGTGATTCTAGATGCGGTTATTAATGGAAATTGGGTGAACTGGTGGATGATACTAATGGACCAGAAGGCCAAGCCGTAAGGCCTAGGTAAAAGGTTTTGCTTCTCAAAGATCCTGCAAAACCCAAAGGGTTGTTAGGACCATCGGAAGTTGAGTTCCCAATCAGCCGGCCAAGTGGCTGCACTAAAGACCTACTGCGCTCTACAAGGTTATGGTCAGTGACTGAATAGTGCCTTCCCGGTGGGGCAGAGGGGTTGGGGAGAAGGACCTCAGGTTCTCAGAGGTGGCAGGACCTGGGAGGGGACAAGAAAAGAGGGACAGGGCAGAAAGAAGAGGGAAGGGAAAAAGAAAGGAGGAAGGAGGAGGAGAAGAAGGAAGGGCTAGGAGGGTAGAGGAAGAAGGAACAGAGAAAACATACTTCCTAATTATAAGAGGTGTTCAAAAGGGAACGGGCTTATTTCATTAGGGAGTGGATATCCTGTCAATAAAAGGATTCAAAGACGGACCGAATCACCACTGCACAATAATAAGTGAATTGTATCATAGGCTGGACAAAACTACTCCCACTGCAAAGATGGTGGAAGCCACAACCATATTGATGCCCCATGCCCCACCTGGTGAATTTGGCTGGGGGATGCTAACCCTCTTTCGTTTGGAAACAAAGTCATTGTCTTCAGTCAGGGACAAGGGTCCCACTTGCTATAATGAAAGAGGCAATGAGTACACCCTAACTGATAGTCTTTTTTGGGTAATAATAATAATAAAACCTAACATTTATTGGGCTCTTGTATGTGCCAGTCATTGTGCTAATCGTAATGAATGAACTCACTGAAGTTTTATACTGACCCTAGGAGTGTGTTTAATCATTATCCCAGTTTTACAGATGAGAAAACTCAGCTCAGAGAGGTTGGGGAAGATCATAGAGCTGGTAAGTGCGTAGCTACAGCACTCGTATCCACTGCGGTGCCTTAGACAAGTTACTTCTCTCTACAGCCTAATTTCCTCATTGGTATGGACCGTGGTAACCTAACCTTGCACACACTGGGTTTTCCAGAAATGTCAGTCCGGGCCTGTCCCTGGTTGGAATATGGGGGAGGGATGGTGACCAGCACCCATGGAGTGGCTTTTTGAGGTTGCTTTATAAGGCCTGTGAAGGTTTTACCAGGGGAAATGATACAGTGTAACTCCCTGAGCCCGGAATTGGTTTCCTAAAGAATAGCCAGTGGTGTTTGGAAGCAGGGAGATAAGACAGCTGGAGCTTAAGCAACAATGTGTATTAATTCTGCCTCCTGCTGTACAAAGGATGAGGGAAAATTAATGCTTCCTGGGTAGTAGCTGCTTCCAGAGCAAAGGGGATATCCTGGAGACCTTGCAGAATGCTCTTCCAGGACATGGAGCAAAAAGACAAGACTGGGCTGGCAACACCATACCTAGTATTAGCCTCCTTGGATGTGTTCGGTAAAACATGCTGGATTTTATCCAGTATTCTGAATTGTTTCCAAATGCCTGGGCTGAAAGTCAAATGATCTGGATCTTAGTCAAGAGATAATAATGTATGTGAAAGCGCTTTGTAAACCATAAAGCGCTACATAAATGATAACTCAAATTTATTGAGTACTTACTATATGCTGGTGTTGTTCTTTGCTTCTTACATATGTGACTCAAACAATTCCTTGACAAGACTATGAACTAGGAACTACTTTACAAATGAAGGTGCTGAGCCAGAGGTCAAGTATCTTGTCCAAGGTCACATGGCTAGTAAATGGCAGAGCCAAGATTTGAACTCTTAACATTTGGCCAAACAACTAGTTAACGACCATTGTTATGATGATAAAAGGACACCAGCCTTTAAGATAGTTTTTTGACTCCATCTATGCCCCTTGACATAGAATTGCTGGATCTCTGTTTCTCCAGAAAAATTGAATTAATTGTCTTTCTCCCTGCCTTTAGGCAAACTGTAAGATAAAGGAAATGATGCATATAAAAATAGTTTTAGGTAGACTGGAAAAAGCACTATGAAAAACTAGGCACCTGAGATGCAAACTGTTTTTGTCTGGGACACTTTTACAGAAATCCCAGCTTGGCTTCCTCACTTGTCTTCAGCTCAGTGCAAACCCCTGTTTTATTTAGGACTCCTGCCATTTGTTCTGCACTGGGTTGGGGGGCTGGCAATTCAGATGCATTGTGCTTTAATTGTGTTGACGTTGAAAAGCTAGGAAAAGCTTCATAAATGTCTACACTGTTCTATTACAAAGAGAGAAGAGGGGGGCTGGGTGCGGTGGCTCACCCCTGTAATCCCAGCACTTTGGGAGGCTGAGGTGGGCGAATCACAAGGTCAAGAGATCGAGACCATCCTGGCCAACAAGGTGAAACCCAATCTCTACTAAAAATACAAAAATTAGCTGGGCATGGTGGCATGTGACTGTAGTCCCAGCCACTCCGGAGGCTAAGGCAGGAGAATCGCTTGAACCTGGAAGGCGGAGGTTGCAGTGAGCTGAGATCATGCCATTGCACTCCAGCCTGGTGACAGAGCAAGACTCCATCTCTAAACAAATAAATAAATTGAGAGAAGAGAAATGACTATTCATCTGGCAGTATATCTTACAGTGGCCAAAAGAAGTGAGATGGGAGTAGGGGTCTTGCACAGGGACAGAGCTGACACATCAGCATGAAGTTCCTCCCTCAGAAGGGAAAGCAAGTTGACATGTCTCCGTGTGTGGTCATGTCAGAATCCACTCTGGACCACAAAGCTCTCTTTGTTCATGTGAGCATGTTTAACCCTCCCTCATTGGCCCCTGCCATATTTTTGCTATGGTACATCCTCTCAGATGGCCAGAGGGAGACCCAGGATGGACCCAGTTGGCTGCACTCACAATTTCTGAAGCATGTCCTATATCTTCTCCTTCTCCTTCACTCTGTCCTTGAGGAACGGTCAAGTAATAACAATAAGAACATGCAGTAGGTCTGTAATTCTAGTACTTTGGGAGGCTAAGGCAGGTGGGCAGATTGCTTGAGCTCAGGAGTTTGAGACCAACCTGGGCAAAATGGTGAACCCCATCTTAATTAAAAATATAAAAATTAGCCCAGCATGGTGGTGTGTGCCTGTAGTCCCAGCTGCTTGGAGGGCTGAGGCAGGAGGATTGCTTGAACTTGGGAGGTCGAGGTTGCAGTGAGCCAAGCTGAGATGGCACCATTGCACTCCAGCCTGAGTGACAAAGTGAGACCCTGTTAAAAAAAACAAACAAGGCCTGGCGCGGTGGCTCATGCCTGTAATCCCAGCACTTCGGGAGACCGAGGCGGGTGCATCGCGAGGTCAGGAGTTCAAGACCAACCTGGCCAAGATGGTGAAACCCTGTCTCTACTAAACATACAAACAAATTAGCCAGGTGTGGTGGCAGGTGCTTGTAATCCCAGCTACTCGGGAGGCTGAGACAGAGAATGGCTTGAACCTGGGAGGCAGAGGCTGCAGTGAGCTGAGGTCACGCCCGCCACTGCACTCCATCCTAGGCAACCGAGCGAGACTCCGTCCCAAAACAAAACAAAACAAAAAAACAAACAAATAACAACAACAACAAAAACAGGCAGTAAAGTCTGCCCACTGTTTCAAATCCTAAAGGCTGGGGTGTTGCCTTGCCAAACAAAGGCAGCTTTGGAACTGCTGGGAATGACTTTCACCCCTAGACTTTAAGGGGATCCTTCGTGGTCAGAAGATTTTGAAACCATGTGCTGCCCCTCTCTGGGCCTCAACTTCCTTGCTTGCCAAATGAGGGGATTAGCTTAGCCTGGGGATCGCTAGGATTTTGTCAAGGGACCCCCAGGAACTTTGAGGGACAGGGGTTGGGGTCACCCAACTGAGGATTAAGAGGGTAGTGTGGTATCCTCTTTTCTTTCATTGTAAGTCTATCAGCTTTATATGTTGGGAGTTTTTTTGTTTTTTGTTTTGTTTGTTTGTTTTGAAACGGAGTCTCTCCCTGTCACCCAGGCTGGAGTGTAGTGTCACGATCTCAGCTCATTGCAATCTCTGCCTCCCGGGTTCAAGCAATTCTCCTGCCTCAGCCTCCCAAGTAGCTGGGATTACAAGCATGTGCCATCACGCCCAGCTAATTATTGCATTTTTAGTAGAGACAGGGTTTCACCATGTTGGCCAGGCTGGTCTCGAACTCCCAACCTCAAGTGATCTGCCCGCCTCAGCCTCCCAAAGTGCTGGGATTATAGGCATGAGCCACAGGGCATGGCCAAGATCTAATTTTTTTAAGTGTTTTTTTCTTTCCTTTTTTTTTCTTTTGTTTTGTTTGTTTTGCTTTGTGTTTTTCAGGGTCTTGCTCTGTCACCCAAGCTGGAGTGCAGTGGTCTCAACTTGGGCTCAAACTATCCTCCCACCTCAACCTCTTGAGTAACTGGGACTACAGGTGTGTCCCACCATGCCCAGCTTCTTTTTTTTTTTTTGGAGAGATGAGGTCTTGCTGTGTTGCCCAGGCTGGTCTTGGACTCCTGGACTCAACTGATTCTCCTGCCTCAACCCTTCAAAGTGCTGGGATTATAGGCATGAGCCACCACACCTGGTCCCAAGATCTCATTTTGAATAGACTTGTTTTGTTTTGGGTAGAGACAAGGTCTTGCTATATTGCCCAGGCTGGTCTCTACCTCCTGGCCTCAAGTGATCCTTCTGCCTTCCTCTCAGCCTCCCAAGATGCTGGGATTAAAGGCAGGTGAACCACCTCTCCCAGATGAATAGACGTTTTTAAATGTAAATTTAGGCTAGATGTGGTGACTCATGCCTCTAATCCCATCACTTTGGGAAATCAAAGCAGGAGGATCCCTGGAGCCCAGGAGTTTGAGACCAGCCTGGGCAACATAATGAGACCCTATCTTTATTAAAAATAATAATAATAGACCTGGCACTGGCCAGGCGCAGTGGCTCACACCTGTAATCCCAGAACTTTGGGAGGCTGAGGGGGTCGGATCACCTGAGGTCGCGAGTTCGAGACCAGACTGACCAACATGGAGAAACCCCGGCTCTACTGAAAACACAAAATTAGCCGGGCATGGTGGTGCATGCCTATAATCCCAGTTACTCAGGAGGCTGAGGCAGGTGAATCGCTTGAACCAGGGAGGGAGAGGTTGCAGTGAGGCGAGATCACGGCATTGCACTCCAGCCTGGTCAACAAGAGCAAAACTCCATCACACACACACACACACACACACACACACACACACACACACACACACAAAATAGATCGGACACAGTGGCTCATGCCTGTAATCCCAGCATTTTGGGAGGCTGGGGTGGGCAGATCACCTGAGGTCAGGAGTTTGAGACCAGCCTGGCCAACCTGGTGAAACCCCATCTCTACTAAAATACAAAAATTAGCTGGTCATGGTGGTGCATGCCTGTAGTCCCAGCTACTTGGGAAACTGAGGCAGAAGAAGTGCTTGGACCGGGGAGGTGGAAGTTGCAGTGAGCTGAGATCGCACTATTGCACTCCAGCCTAGGTGACAGAAGGAGACTCCGTCTCAAAAAAATATAATAAATAAATAATTAAAAAAAAAAAAACAGACCAGGGCTCACATCTGTAATCCCAGCACTTTGGGAGGCCAAGGTGGGAGGATCACGACGTCAGGAGATAGAGACCAGCCTGGCCAACATGCTGAAACCTCGTGTCTACTAAAAATACAAAAACTAGCTGGGTTTGGTGGCACATGCCTGTAGTCCCAGCTACTCAGGAGGCTGAGGCAGGAGAATTGCTTGAACCTGGGAGGTGGAGGTTGCAGTGAGCCAAGATTGTGCCACTGCACTCCAGCCTGGGAGACAGAGCAAGACTCTGTCTGAAAACAAACAAACAAACAAACCCCAATCAAACAAAAAAAATCCAGGACAAGTCTTTGTACAAGTATGGCTCTCTGGATTGGAGACCACCAGTGTTGGCCAGCATCTAAGCAAGGAAGGGACAGGTCACCCTCTTTCTCTTTTCTCTCCTCTCTCCTTCCTTCCAAAAGACTCCTAGGCAAAAGAGATGCTTCATCTCTGGAGGAATCTGATTGTACAAGTTTCCTGTGGTAACTGTAACCGATGACCACAAACTGGGTGGCTTACAACAATTAGAAATGTTAATTTCACAATTCTGGAGGCCAGAAGCTCTAAATCAGAATCCCTGGGCTAACCTCAGGTGTCAGCAGGGCTGCGCTCCCTCTGGAAGCTCTGGAAGGGAATGTATTTCTTGCCTCTTCCAGTTTCTGGTGCCTGCTGGAGTTCTGTGGCTTGTCACTACATCCTCCTAGTCTTTTTAAATATAATTTAATATTTTTTTCCGAGACAGATTCTTGCTGTGTTGCCGAGGCCAGAGTGCAGTGATGCGATCTCAGCTCACTGCAACCTCCGCCTCCCAGGTTCAAGCGATTCTCCCGCCTCAGCCTCCCGAGTAGCTGGGATTACAGGCACACGCCACCATGCCTGGCTAATTTTTGTATTTTTAGTAGAGATGGGATTTCTCCATGTTGGCCAGGCTGGTCTCGAACTCCTGACCTCGTGATCTGCCTGCCTCAGCCTTCCCAAGTGCTGGGATTACAGGCGTGAGCCACCGCGCCTGGCCTCCCCCAGTCTTTAAGGCAGCATCTTCAAGTCTTCTTGTTCTGTCTTCACATCACCTCTGTGTGCATCTCTCTGACATCTCTTTTTACCTTTTCTTTATAAGGACAGTTGTGGTCGCAATTAAGGCCACTTAGATAATCTAGAATAGTCTCTCCATCTCAAGATTCTCAATTTCTTTTTCTTTTTTTTTTTTTAGATGGCATTTCGCTCTTGTCACCCATGTTAGAGTGCAATGGTGCAATCTTGGCTCACTGCAACCTCCGCCTCCCGGATTTCAGCAAGTCTCCTGCCTCAGCCTCCCAGGTAGCTGGAATTACAGGCATGCACCACCACGCCCATCTAATTTTTTTTGTATTTTTAGTAGAGACCGGGTTTTGTCATGTTGACCAGGCTGGTCTCGAACTTCTGACCTCAGGTGATCCACCTGCCTCGGCCTCCCAAACTTCTGGGATTACAAGTGTGAGCCACCACAGCTGGCCTAAGATCCTTAATATCATTACATCTCCAAAAACCCTGATTAGGACTTGCTATCTCCAGGTGGCCATTATTTTACCTACCACACTAGTATTCCTTAGAGCAGCTAATTTTGAGGCTGAATGGGCTTCAAGGTTCAGGAGAAGCTTTTTCAGCCTCATGACTTAGGTTAAGGGGAAGAGATAGATTATGGGCAGGGACAAGAAATGAGTAAGAAAATCATACTTGCCCAAGCCTTTTGGGAAAGGCCATACTTCTCAATTTATGCTGTTCCCTCTGCCTGGAATTCTTCCTTCTTCTGGCCTCCTTTAAGAGGCCTTGCCTGACCTCACTTCCCTTCTTTGCCCACATTGCATAGATGGGGCAGAGAGGGTGGGAAGCAGGACCTCAGGTTCTCAGAGCTGGCAGGACCTGGGAGGGGAGGAGAAAAGAGGGACAGGGCAGAAGGAAGAAGAGGAAAGGGAAATAGAAAAATGGAAGGAGGAGGAGAGGAAGGAAGGGCTAGGAGGGTAGAGGGAGAAGGAACAGAGAAAAGACACTTCCTAATTATAAGACATATTCAAAAGGGAATGGGCTGATTTCATGAGGAAGTGGATATCCTGTCCTCTGTGACCCCTTTATCATAGCACCAAGCACAATGAAGGGCATTTCATTTGCTTAAGTGCTTCTCTCCAGGGTAGAATGGGAGCTCCATAAGGCTCCATGCATCTTTCTTTAGCTGTGCCCTCAGTAGGGGCTTAATAAATGTCTATTGAATGGACTTGAATTGCATTTCAGCTGAGAGGCATCTTGATAGCACAAGTACAGTTGCATTTTCTCTTCTCCCTGGTTTTGAGACCAAAGCCAACAAATTTTCTTCCACCCCATAGCCGCACCTTGGCTGGACTGGCTCAGAGCCCTGGTCATAATCTTTCTTCTCCCTCCCTTGATTTTGTTGGTAATTAGACAGACCTTCATCCCCAGCTCATGTCTGGTGCACAGAGTGCTGTGAGTAACCTCAAGGGGATTCTCCTTAAAGGCAGTCCCTGAAGGGTCTGTCTAAGGGGCACACACAGGAAGTGGAGCAAGGAGAACCGGAAGTTTGAGGAGGGGAGCATCAAGGGAAAATGACCCTCCTAGAATGCGCTGGCCTGAACCAGCAAGAGAAATATTTTAGCCAATCTCTAATGTTCCATGGGAAGTGTGGTTTGGAAAACACATCTGTAGATGACAAGAGGCACAGTTCTTCCAGTTTCTTGGCTCTGACTTTTTACATTAGTCATTGCCCTCCCACCAGACTGTGTGTGGGTGCCTCTGGGGCTGAGTGTGCAAGGTGAGCCTGGACGGAGCCTCCTAGGAGCTTCCTTAGGGCCTGCTCCTCTATTAGCAGCTCCCGTTAAGGGAAACTAAGAGAGGGGAAGAAAAGCAAGCCCTAATCCACCTCTTAGCTCAAGGCTTTAATTGAAGAGCTGGGGACTGAGACTGCTCCTGGCCTTCGATTGTCTGTGCCACTTCAGCCCACCTAAAATGGCACACTCTTGTTCCTCTTTGGCAATAGTGTTTACATAGCTCTTTACAATTTCCTAGCACGTTCAGGCATAATACCTTGTTTAATTATTATTCACCTAAGAAAACAAAACAACATGGGAAAGTTGCTTCAATACATTTTTCTTTGGAAGAACAACAACAAAAATTTGAGGCTCAGAAAAATTATGTGACTAACCCATGATAATAGAGTGATGAAAGATGGTAAATCAGTGTTGAAATGCAGATTTTCTGAAATTAAAGCTATACATTAATGTTCTTGTTTCTTTCTTGAGCAGGGTCTAGAAATGTCTTTTTATTTTATTTTATTTTATTTTTTTGAGACAGAGTCTCACTCTGTCGCCCAGGCTGGAGTGCAGTGGTGCGATCTCGGCTCACTGCAAGCTCCGCCTCCTGAGTTCACGCCATTCTCCTGCCTCAGCCTCCCTAGTAGCTGGGACTACAGGCGCCCGCCACCACGCCCGGCTAATTTTTTTATATTTTTAGTAGGGACGGGGTTTCACCATGTTAGCCAGGATGGTCTCAATCTCCTGACCTCGTGATCCACCCGCCTCGGCCTTCCAAAGTGTTGGGATTACAGGCGTGAGCCACCGCTCCCGGCCTAGAAATGTCTTATGACTTGGTGCTCTTAGGAGGAAAGGGCAAGTTCCTTAAAGCAGCGAAGATGAATGTTTCAGGTGAAGCCAAGTGAAGGTTTAACTCACTCCTTCAGCCTCTGAAAGGCATCTAAAATAGAAATTCTCTCAGGATGAAGGTTGAACTGTCCTCTGGAGTCACACTGTATTGCTAGTAACCCTCATCATGTCTCAGGAATGCCTGGGATGAGGAACAGTGACCTGGAAATTTATTGATTGCAAATTGCATTTAAAAATTGCAGTGGACCAGGCATGGTCACTCATGCCTGTAATCCCAGCACTTTGGGAGGCTGAGGTGGCCAGATCGCTTGAGGTCAGAAGTTCGAGACCAGCCTGGCCAACACGGTGAAACCCCGTCTCTATCAAAAATACAAAAATTAGCTGGGCTTGGTGGCGAGGTCCTGTAATCCCAGCTACTTGGGAGGCTGAGGCAGGAGAATTGCTTGAACCCGGGAGACAGAGGTTACAGTGAGCCAAGATTGCACCACTGCACTCCAGCCTGGGTGACAGAGCGAAACCTTGTATCAAAAAAAAAAAAAAATATATATATATATATATATACACACACACACACACACTCACACACACACACACACACACACTCACACATATATATATAGGCCTGGTGCAGTGGCTCACACCTGTAATCCCAGCACTTTGGGAGGTCAAGGCTGGTGGATCACTTGAGGTCAGGAATTCGAGACCAACCTGTCCAACATGGTGAAACCCTGTCTCTACTAAAAAGATGAAAAATTAGCCGGGCATGGTGGCGTGCACCTGTAATTCCAGTTACTTGGGAGGCTGAGGCAGGAGAATCACTTGAACCCGGGAGGTGGAGGTTACAGTGAGCTGAGATCAAGCCACTGCACTCCAGACTGGGTGACAGGGCAAGACTCTGTTTCAAACAAACAAACAAAATAAACAAAATAAAGTAAAAATAAAAATTTTAGTGGGCCAGGTGTGGTGGCTCATGCCTGTAGTCCCAGCCCAACCCAGCTGAGGTGGCTGGATTGCTTGAACCCAGGAGTTCAAGACCGGCCTGGGCAACATGGTGAAACCCCGTCTCTACAAAAAATATACACAAAAAATGAGTTGGGCATGGTGGCGCACGCCTGTAGTCCCAGCTACTCAGGATGCTGAGGCAGGAGAATCCCTTGAGCCTGGGAGGTCAAGGCTTCAGTGAACTGTGATGGCACCACTGCCCTCTAGCCTGGGTGACCTGTCTCAGAAAAAAAAAAAAAGCAACGTGAAGATCAGGTGCGGTGGTTTAGCCTGTAATCGCAGCACTTTGGGAGGCCAAGGCAGGAGGATCACTTGAGCCCAGGAGTTTGAGACCAGCCCAGGCAACATAGTGAAACTCCATCTCCACAAAAAAGAAAAGAAAATTTGCAGAGACAGCATACTTGGCATCTAGATTTTGAGTTCTAAGTATCATTTTCTACTAAAACGAGCCAGAGCTTCATGGAGAGATGCTGATTCCAGGTCAGAGGCAGGGCAATCGCAAGGTGGGCCTAGAGTATCTTGTGCTAGATCCTTGATTGGTACTTGAATCCCAAAAAAATCAGCTACGAAGGACGTTTTTGGGACAGTTTGGGAAATTTGAATGTGGACGCAGTGTTGGATGCTGTTTTTGTATGAATGTGAATTTCCCTAGATGTGATACTGGTGTTGTGATTAGGTTGTGATTATGAATGTTCTTGCCCTTGGGAAATGCAGGCTGGAGTTTTCGGGGTGAAATGTCATAATATGGGCAGCCTTCTAGATGATTTGGCTAAAGAGAAGTGTGTGTGAATAGAAAGAGTGAAGCAAGGTGGATATGGCAAAAACCTGCTGCTGGTGAATCTAGGTGAGAAAACATATGAGGTTTTGTTGTATTATTCTCTTTGTATTATTCTTTCCAATTTTCTGGGGGTTTTAAAATGTTCATTTTTTTAAATTAAGAAATGAAAATGTTCAATTTAAAACAAAAAATTAAGAAATTGTGACTGAGCATGGTGACTCATAACTGTAAGCCCAGCACTTTGGGAGTCTGAGGTGGGCGGGATTGCTTTAGTCAAAGAGTTCGAGACCAGCCTGGGCAACATGGCAAGACCCTGTCTCTTAAAAAAATATAAAAAATTAGCCGGGCATGATGGTGCCTGTCTGTAATCCCAGCTACTGGAGAGGCTGAGGTGGGAGAATTGCTTGAGCCTGGGAGGCAGAGGTTGCAGTGAGCCGAGATCGTGACACTGCACTCCAGCCTGGGCGACAGAGGGAGACTCTGAGGAAACAAAAAAAAAAAAAGAGAAAAACAGAAAGAAATTGTGGCTAGGTGTGGTGGCTCACACCTGTAATCCCAGCACTTTGGGAGCCCGAGGCAGCAGGATCACTTGAGCCCGGGAGTTTGAGACCAGCCTGGGCAACATTATGAGACCCTGTTTCTTTTTTCTTTTTCTTTTCTTTCTTTCTTTTTTTTTTTTTTTGAGAACAACAAGAGCATTTAGCTCTTGTTGCCCATGCTGGAGTGCAGTGGCCTGACCTCGGCTCACTGCAACCTCTGCGTCCCAGATTCGAGCAATTCTCCTGCCTCAGCCTCCCGAGTAGCTGGAATTACAGGCACGCACTACCATCTCTGGCTAATTCTGTATTTTCAGCAGAGACGGGGTTTCACCATGTTGGTCAGGCTGGTCTTGAACTCTTGACATCAAATGATCCACCCACCTCGGCCTCCCAAAGTGCTGAGATTATAGGCGTGAGCCACCGCGCCTGGCCTGAGAGACCCTGTTTCTATTTTAAAAATTAGACATAAAGTAAAATAAAAAAGAAATTGCAGTTAAGCCTTTCAAATGACGGAGGACCTTG
Organism: Homo sapiens; assembly: GCF_000001405.40. Taxonomy (NCBI): domain Eukaryota; kingdom Metazoa; phylum Chordata; class Mammalia; order Primates; family Hominidae; genus Homo; species Homo sapiens. Next base: position 122,643,375 of record NC_000011.10, on the reverse strand, counting down.
GGTCTCTCTCCAGTGGTTGTAGAGCCTTGCAGGAAAGATTACTTCACCTGAGCAGGGGATGCTCTCACTCTGAGTGCCTAGCACTGGCCCCAAGGTGCCAGAGCCGTCTAAGCTGCTTGGCTTCCGGTTCTTGGACTTTTCCGTTTTCACATCACCACACAGGCGTCTCACAAATCCACAGATCCAGCTAGTAATCACTGGCTAAGAGCATCAACATGATTGGCCTTTGAAATCTGAGGAAGGTGGTTCTTCTTCAGGATGCTCACGGTCACGCAACTTTTTCTGTAAATAAAGGCTCTTGAGAACATCTCCAGGGAAGTGCTTTTCCCTGAAATGGGTTTGCCTCTCTCCCACATTACCCTTGTTACATACCACCCACCCCTCATTAGAGCCAGTGTTTTTAAACCTTTCTGTAGAGAAAAGAGTGCCCTAGACATGTGTAAATCTATTTCTGGTCCCCTCTGTTTTCAGGAATGTCACCATCCCTCGCCTCCTGTGACTAATCCATGCTGTTCCTCAGAGCCAATCTCTTCCCCATTTAGAAAGTGGCTCCTGGTGAAGTTGCCAACAAGTGCTTCTCTGAGCGTATCTGGAAAAAGTTCTGGGAAGCTGAGGGATACTTGGTCTGAGTGCTGAATGGCCACTCTGTGAAGTGGTGTGAGGGTTGTGGCTTGCTCTTATCTGTTCGTCTGTTTTGAAAATAATCACTCATTCACTTGTTCAGGATGAGTAACAGTCTATGGCGGATGAATAGTAAATCATTGATTTCATTTCCTGTGAATGTCTTCTGCTTGGGGCTCTGACTGGCAGAGAGAAGCATTCCAAAAATGTTTTGAGCAAACACAGTGAGTGGAGTTAGGCCAAGTGGGTAGCTTCCCAAGATGTACTGCTATGCTGGGGATGGCAGGGATTTAGATGTTTTCATTTCAGTATAGTTACATGAAATATCGATCTTGTTCTTTATTTCATAATCACATCTCATATATGGACTAGTAAATTGTTATGAACAAGAGATAGTGGAAAGAGACTAAAGTTAACTTGTCACTGGCTGGGCACAGTGGCTTACACCTGTACATATATGGACTAGTAAATTGTTATGAACAAGAGATAGTGGAAAGAGACTAAAGTTAACTTGTCACCGGCTGGGCACAGTGGCTTACGCCTGTAGTCCCAGCACTTTGGAAGGCCAAGGCCGGCGGATCACTTGAGGTCAGGAGTTCAAGACCAGCCTGGCCAACATGGTGAAACCCTGTCTCTACTAAAAATACAAAAATTAGCCGGGCGTGATGGTGCATGCTTGTAATCCCATCTACTCAGGAGGCTGAGGCAGGAGAATGGCTTGAACTCGGGAGGTGGAGGTTGCAGTGAGCTGAGATTGTGCCGCTGCACTCCAGCCTGGGTGACAGAGCAAGACTCCATCTTAAAAAATAATAATAAAATAAAAAAATAAAGTTAACTTATCACCAAGTGCATATCAGGTCGTTTATATGAATTATTTCATTTAATCCTTATAACATCCCTGTAACTAAAGTTTTATTTTTCTCATTTTACGGATGAGAAAAGCAAGACTCAGGTGAGATTTACCCAAACACAGTTAGTAAGTACCAGAAGCTGAAATCCACACTTTTCCACTGTTGTCTGCCATCTCCAGTAATTTGTAGTCAACTCTACTATTTTCTCGATACGTAATGGTCAAGAGTCCTTTCATCCCCAGACACACATCTGGGCTATCTCCTTTTCCTGACCAGTTAGCACGTGATCTTGGTGAAATGGTCTTCGGTGAAATTTGTTGAGAAGAATAAGAACAATCATTTTCAAGCCAGATTGTTTTTTTTGTTTGTTTGTTTGAGACGGAGTCTTGCTCTGTCCCCCAGGCTGGAGTGGAGTGGCGCGATCTCAGCTCACTGCAAGCTCCACCTCCCGGGTTCATGCCATTCTCCTGCCTCAGCCTCCCGAGTAACTGGGACTACAGGCACCAGCCACCACGCCCGGCTAATTGTTTGTATTTTCAGTAGAGACGGGGTTTCACCGTGTTAGCCAGGATGGTCTCAATCTCCTGACCTCGTGATCCGCCTGTCTTGGCTTCCCAAAGTGCCGGGATTACAGGTGTGAGCCACCTCGCCCGGCTCAAGCCAGATATTAATGAAGCCCATACTGCTGCTTGTCTCCGTTAGTCTGAAAAATAAACTTGAATTATTCCTTTATTGTAGCAATCAGATATATCATTGATTTAGGTCACTCTCAATCATTCTGAAATCAATAGATAACAGGATATCACCAATTTTCTTAAGAGATGTTGTAGGGCTAGGAGCAGTGGCTCACTCCTGTAATTCCAGCACTTGGGGAGGCCAAGGCAGGTGGACTGCTTGAGCCCAGGAGTTCAAGACCAGCCTGGACAACATGGCAAAACTCTGACTCTACCCCCCAAAATATACAAAATTCAGACAGGCATGGTGGCACGTGTCTACAGTCTCAGCTACTCGAGAGGCTGAGGTGAGAGGATCAAGAGGTGGAAGGATCCCTTGAGCCTGGGAGACAGAGGTTGCAGTGATATCATACCACTGCACTCCAGCCTGGGTGATAGAACCAGGCCTCATCTCAAAAACAAAACAAAAACAGAGATGTAGACACTATACATCAATTCTGAAAAAATAAAATAAAATAAAACAGTACATTGAAAGGTAATCAAATAACACTTTTAGGAGGCTAGCACAGTATTTAAAAGTGTGGTCATTGCAATTAAATATCAGAGCCTTTCTACTTAGAGTAACACTGTTTCTGCTGTTTAAACTTGGAAATTGCCGGGCGCGGTGGTGGCTCACACCTGTAATCCCAGTACTTTGGGAGGCCAAGGAGAGCGGATCACCTGAGGTCAGGAGTTAGAGACCAGCCTGACCAACATGGAGAAACCCCGTCTCTACTAAAAATACAAAAATTAGCCGGGCGTGGTGACACTTGCCTATAATCCCAGCTACTCGGGAGGCTGAGGCAGGAGAATCGCTTGAACCTGGGAGGCAGAGGTTGCGGTGAGCCGAGATCGCGCCATTGCACTCTAGCCTGGGCAACAACAGCAAAACTCTGTCTCAAAAAAAATAAAAATAAAAAAATAAACTTGGAAATTAACTTAAACTCTACAAACTTCAGTTTCTGTATAGGTAAAACAGAGATAAGAGACTATCTTCATAAGGCTGTGTGATTATGTTATTAAATAATGGAGGTCAAGTCCAACACAGAATCTGACACATAGAATACCTTGCGGACTTCAACTCAAAAAATGAAATGATGTCAAATCATGGTAGTGATAAATGAAGAAAATAAAACAGGTGAATGAGAAAGAGAGCGAAGGGGAAGAGGGCACCTTAGCTGAGCTGGAAGGGAAGGCTGGCAGCAGGGAGGTGATATTTAAGTTGAGGTCTGAACGTTCAGCAGGAGGTAGACATACCAGATGAAAATAACAGTGATGCCAGGCTTAGCTGGAAAAGACCTGAGTTCAAGTTCTGATTCTTCTACTTCTGACCCAGTTCACTTTAAACAATGCTGAATCTCATACTCCTGGACTGCAAAAAGATTTTTTAAAATGCCACATAAATGCTGAGTGTAATGGCTCATGCCTGTAAATCCCAGCACTTTGGGAGGCCAAGGCGGAAGGATCGCTTGAAGCCAGGAGTTTGAGACTAGCCTGGGGAACAAAGGAAGACCTGGTCTTCTTATTTTATTTTATTTTTTAGAGATGGTCTCGCTACATTGCCCAGGTTAGCCTGAAACTCCTGAGCTCAAGTGATCCTCCCGCCTCTGCCTCCCAGGGTGCTGGAGTGCTGGGATTAAAGGTGTGAGCCATCACACCCGGCTGACCCAGTCTTCAAAAATTAAAAAAAAAAAAAAAAAAGTACATTGCAGACTGCAAAATCCTACAAACTCTGAGCTAGTGCATCCCTCCATTTATACTGAAAATAAACCACTGTATCCATTTAATCATCCACTCATGCATACATTCCTTTATTTCCTCATTCATTATGCAGGGTTGATGAGCCTGAAACTGGACTGGCTTTGGAATAGCTCTCGTGTGTGGGGCTTTACAGTTATAACATCAGTAGTCCTGGGCAGGTGGCAGTACTGTTGCCATTTCATAGATGAAGAAATTGGGAATCGCTTTTAATGATCATGGCTAAAGTGACAACATCTATATTCAAGGTAGTTGCCTGTCTCCACTGCCAGGTGAGAACACCTTGAAGGAAAGGATGTCATCAGGGTTCCGACTGGGGATGTTCGTTGAGGTGTCTTTCATCTTGTTAGCCTCTACATTGCTGGAGCCCCTACAAGCTCTTATGAGGTGTTAAGCACACACTATAAAAATGAAGACAAGATGGCTGCAGTCTGGCTGGCGTTCTTCCTTAAGAAACAACGGGTGTGAAACAGGCCTTCCCTGGGGAAGGTGTGCGGCCACTTATAAATGAAGCCGCCATATTTTCTGAAGCAAACCTCAGCTCATGTCACCTGACAATAAGATGCAATATTTAAAGTTGGACTGTCCCTAGCAGGGACTTGCTTGCTAAAAGAAGTCATTCTTACAATGGACTTGGGTCTAGCTAACTCGCTAACTACCAGTAATACTGGAATTAGAATGGGAGACGGGAAAGAAAAAGGGAAAACAAAATAGGTACAGGTGAAAATACAGTCCAGGCTCATCTACCTCCGAATCCCTGAGTTTTCTTATTTCTACTCATTAAAACCTGGGGAGGACAGCTCTTTGCCTATTGTTAATATCCCAGGGGTAACAACTACACAATGAGAGCTGGAGCTAGTTTCATAGAAATGATCTGTAAGGAATGAAAATAAGTGAATATCTTGAAATTCTTGACAACTTCAAATCTCCTGGGCCCATCAGAGGGGACAGAAGCCAGTTCAAGAAACCCCTAATTGTTGTCCTTTGCTGTTAGTCTGGAGGGGTTTAAAAGGCAAGCTGGCCGGATGCAGTGGTTCACGCCTATAATCCTAGCCCTTTGGGAGGTCAAGGCGGGTGGATCACTTGAGGTCAGGAGTTTGAGACCAGCCTGGCCAACATGGTGAAACCCCATCTCTACTAAAAATACAAAATTAGCCAGGCGTGATGGTACATGCCTGTAATTCCAGCTACTTGGGAGGCTGAGGGAGGAGAATCACTTGAACCCAGGAGGCGGAGGTTGCGCTAAGCCGAGATCAAGCCATTGCACTCCAGCCTGGGCAACAAGAGCAAAACTCCATCTAAAAATAAAATAAAATAAAATAAAAATTAGCCAGTTGTGGTGGCACACACTACTTGGGAGGCTGAGGCTGGAGGATCACTTGAGCCTGGGAGGTGGAGGTTGCAATGAGCCAACATCAAACCACTGCACTCTACCCTGCGTGACAGAACAAGACTTGGTCTCAATATTAATAATAAATAAAAGGCATGCTGTATTCCCAAGGCAGGAGTGGAGGAGGGACAGAGGAAGGGAAGGGTGAGAGAGAGGAGAGAAGACAAAAAGGATGGAGACGAGAGAGGGATTGGCTCCTTTAACTGCTTCCTGTTGTGGTGATGCTTTTGCACTTGTACATCTGTGGAAGGATGTGAAGTGGGAAGTGTTTCGTGGTCATAAGAAGAGCAGCAGCTGGTGGGGGATGACGTGGGTCGATGGGTACTCTGGAGGGAAATGGCAGAGTACAGGAGGAGGGAAAGAACCCGCTAAGGGAGTGGTAGAATATAGAAGACTATCATCCCCTCCAATCGGGCCAGCTTCCTCACAAATGGTTGTTAAATGAAGGTGTCTGGCTCTCATTCTCAGTCCAGTCCAGGCCCCACTGTGGTAGTGCTTTCCTTTCTCCCAGATAAAAGGACAGAATTGGAAAACTCACTCTATGACCTGGAGCCCAGTAGAACAAATGTGAGCTAAACTATCCAGAAGTCAGTCCACTTTAAATAGCATTTTGTGGGGCCGGGTGCAATGGTTCATGCCTGTAATCCCAGCACTTTGGGAGGCCAAGACAGTTGGATCACTTGAGGTCAGGAGTTCAAGACCAGCCTGACCAACATGTAAAATCTCGTCTCTACTAAAAATACAAGAAAATAAATAAAAAAATTAGCCGGGTGTTGTGGCACATGCCTATAATCCCAGCTACTTGGGAGGCTGAGGCAGGAATTACTTGAAGCCAGCAGGCAGAGGTTGCAGTGAGCTGAGATCACAACACTGCACTCCAGCCTGGGTGACAGAGCAAGACTCCATCTCAAAAAAAATGGTATCGTGATTGTGATTTAAATGGACTTCTTATTTTTTAGAGACACATGCTGAAATATTTGTATATGAGCTAACATGGAATCTGGGATTTGCTTCAAGATAGTCCAGTGGGGTAGTGACTAGAGAGAAGTGGCTGAGGATACAGATGAAGGAGGATTGTCCAGGAACTGATTGTTGCTATAGCTTGGTGAAGGGTACAAAGAGATTCATGGTGCCATTTGCCTCACTTTTGTGTATGCTTAATTTTTCTTTTACTTTTTTTAAATTTTCTTTCTTTTTTTTTTTTTTGAGATGGAATTTCCCTCTGCTGCCCAGCTGGAGTGCAGTGGCATGATCTTGGCTTAGTGCAACCTCTGCCTCCTGGGTTCAAACGATTCTCCTGCCTCAGCCCCTGAGTAGCTGGGATTACAGGCACCTGCCACCACCCCAGGCTAATTTTTGATATTTTTAGTAGAGACGGGGCTTCACCATATTGGCTAGGCTGGCCTCGAACTCCTGACCTTGTGATCCGCCTGCCTCGGCCTCCCAAAGTGCTGGGATTACAGGCGTGAACCACTGCACCCAGCCTTTTTATTATTATTATTATTTATTTTTCTTTTTATTTATTTTTTTTGAGATGGAGTCTTGCACTGTCGCCCAGGCTGGAGTGCAATGACGCGATCTTGGCTCACTGCAACCTCCACCTCCCAGGTTCAAGCATTTCTCCTACCTCAGCCTCCCGGGTAGCTGGGATTACAGGTGCCCATGACCACGCCCGGTTAATTTTTTGTATTTTTAGTAGAGACGGGGTTTCACTGTGTTGGTCAGGCTGGTCTCAAACTCCTGACCTCATGATCTGCCTGCCTCGGCCTCCCAAAGTGCTAGGATTACAGGCGTGCCACCGCACCCAGCCTTTTTTTTTTTTTTTTTTTTGAGACAGAGTTTCACTCTGTCGCCCAGGCTGGAGTGCAGTGGCACGATCTCGGCTCACTGCAACGTCTGCCTCCCGGGTTCAAGTGATTCTCCTGCCTCAGCCTCCCAAGTGGCGAGGATAACAGGCACTTGCCACCATGCCTAGCTAATTTTTGTATTTTTAGTAGAGATGGGGTTTCACCAGTTGGCCAGGCTGATCTCGAGCTCCCGACCTCAGGTGATTCACCCACCTTGGCTTCCCAAAATGCTGGGATTACAGGCGTGAGCCACTGCACCTGGCCTTTGTATATTTTTAAATAATATCATAATACAAAATGAGCTACATCAACACTGAAGGGCTACAGAATGTTTCCCCCTTTATTTATCTATTTAACAGAGGTGGGATCTCTCTATTTTGCCCAGGCTGGTCTCAAGGGATCCTGTGCCCTCAACCTCCCAAAGTGTTGGGATTATGTGTGTGAGCCACTTCACCCAGGCTTTTTTTTTTCACTTTAAAATGGTATCCATTTCTGAAGGAAAACATCAGCACGTTTTTGGGGATATAGAAGGACTGACTTTTGATGTTGAGAAATTGTTTGAATAGGATGTTGGCAGTACAGTTAAAAATGAAAAATTAGGTAAAAGAGATATTTTGGAAGTAAATCCACCCTTTCTAGAAGATTGAGACAACTTAGATATGGGACATTAAGGAGAAATGTTTGAGTCTACAGGACTAAGAAAATGGTAATGCCATTCTCAGAAACTGGTTATTCAAGAAGAGAAGCTTATTTAGGACAGGAAGAGAGGAGTTTGCTAAATTTATTTCGGATATGTTGAAGAAAGTGTCATGGCAGCAAACTGGAAATATGGAAGTGGGACTTGACAGATGTAAACGCTTCTCTTTCGAACCAAAGACACACCATATACCCTACTCCACCCTGGACCGGGGGCCTCTGTGCTCAGCACACTATAGATAGGGCTGAGTATAAAAACCACACACAGGGCTGGGCACGGTGGCTCACACCTGTAATCCCAGCACTTTGGGAAGCCAAGGTGAGTGGATCACTTGAGGTTGGGAGTTCGAGACCAGCCTGGCCAACATGGTGAAACCCTGTCTCTACTAAAAATACAAAAATTAGCCGGGTGTGGTGGTGCGTGCCTGTAATCCCAGCTACTAGGGAGGCTGAGGCAGGAGAATCGCTTGAACCTGGGAGGTGGAGGTTGCAGTGAGCTGAGATCGCGCCGCTGCACTCCAGCCTGGGCAACAGAGGGAGACTCTGTCTCAAAAAACAAAAAACAATACAACAACAACAACAACAACAACAACAAACCACACACAGGGCCCAAACCAAGGCTGGCTCCGTGGGACCAGAGATACTCTCAGTCAGCCTGAACCAAGCCCTAAACTGGAAGGCACCAGGAGCGGTAGGAACAGTAGCCGGCACCGCGTGTGGGGTGGGGCAAAGGGCCTGGAGCTCGCCTTACCCTGCATCCAGGAAGTTGCTGGCCTGACTTCCAGCCACCACCAGCTGTGTGAGTTGTCACTAAAAGGCAATTGTAACTGCCTCCTCTTTTTGGTTCAGATTACAAATGGTAACTAACCAACCCCCAAAAAGAAAAAAAATGTTCCGGTTTGGAAATCTGAGACCATCTGTTTCTCATTCTATTTCCCCTCTCTTTTCTGGATTTTTTATATTTGATCCTCTCCCTCTCTCACTCGCTCCCACTCCTGAAAACACACAGTTCAGCCAGGAGCATAGTGACCTTATTTGACTATCTTTTCTTTAATGAGAATGCTGGATTTGTTATTGGGATTAAATTTGAAAATTCCTTGTTTCCATTCAAAATAGATGCCTTGGATTGTTTACTTAAAAATGTTTTTTCATAAAAATTGTTTCTGTATTTAATCTAGATAATAAATAAATCTAAATGAAATAAAATAAAAATAAACAAAGTCACATATGATGAAGCCACATGTAGTTTTGTTGAAATCCATGCAAAATTCCATCTTAAAGTCTTTTTTTTTTTTTTTGAGACAAAGTCTCACTCTGTCACCCAGGCTGGAGTTCAGTGGCACGATCTCGGCTCACTGCAACCTCCACCTCCCAGGTTCAAACGATTCTCCTGCCTCAGCCTCCTGAGTAGCTGGGATTACAGGTGCCCACCACCATGCCAGGCTAATTATTTAATTTTTAGTAGAGATGGGGTTTCTCCATGTTGGCCAGGCTGGTCTCGAACCGCTGGCCTCAAGTGATCTGCCCCCCTCAGCCTCCCAAAGTGCTGGGATTACAGGCAAGGGCCACCTCGCCCAGCCTCTTAATGTCTTATTAACAGACTCATTTAAATTTAATGAAATGGCTGGATGTGGTGTCTCGCGCCTGTAATCCCAGCACTTTGGGTGGCTGAGGTGGGAGAATCACTTGAGGCTAGTAGTTCCAGGTTAGCTTGGGGAATATAGCAAGACCCCGATTCTACAGACAACTTAAAAAATTAGCCAGGCTTGGTGACACACCTGTAGTCCCAGCTACTCAGGAGGCTGAGGTGGGAGGATTGCACGAGTCCAGGATGTTGAGGTTGCAGTGAGCTGTGATCACGTCCCTGTATTCCAGCCTGGGTGATACAGCAAGTCCCTGTCTCTAAAAAAAATAAAAATAAAAATAAATTTTTAAAATTAATCAGAGGATCAGTTACGGATTAAAATGCAATATTGAACTCTCTGTATTGGAAGCAGCAACAGTGTTGCGAGGACTGCTTCTCTCCTGGGATTCAGGCATGGGCCGGCTGGCTTTAGAAACTCTCTATTTCCCTATAGTCTGGTGTTACAGGTCCCTCTTGTGTTGGTTGTTAACATTGTCTTGCTTCTGTTCTAGAACCATGAGAACCTGATTCTGTAATTGAGTTAATCAGCATATTGCAATCAATATTCTCCTCATCACCATCATCATCACCATCAATAGCTAGGTGTACATACAGAAGACAATGGGAAATCAGTGTAGGGTCGTTTAAAACCACGTGCTTTGTAGCCAGATGGATCTGAGTTCGAACTGTTATTTCTCAGCGATATTACCTGGGGCAAGTTAATTACACTTTTGTGTATTAGTTTCTGCATTGATTAAGTAGAGGTGATAATAATACTCATTTTCAAGAGAAAATAGGATAATGTATATAAAGTGTCCGATGTAGAGTCTTAAAAAATGTACTTCCTTTCCTATTCACTTCTTTTTCTAAGGAAGACAGAATTCTTTTTTATTTTTATTTATTTTATTTTATTTTAGAGATGGAGTCTTGCTCCATCGCCCAGGCTGGAGTGTAGTGACAAGATCTCAGCTCATTGCAACCTCTACCTCCCATGTTCAAGCGATTCTCCTGCCTCAGCCTCTCGAGTAGCTGGGACTACAGGCACCTGACACCATGCCTGACTAATTTTTGTATTTTTAGTAGAGACGAGGTTTTGCCATGTTGGCCAGGCTGGTCTCAAATTCCTGACCTCAGGTGATCTGCTCGCCTCGGCATCCCAAAGTGCTGGGATTACAGGCGTGAGCCACTGCGTCTGGCCCAGAAATTCTTGAAAAGTGAGTAAAGATGTAATCCAGGCAAATTGGATGTGCTGTGAACTTATCAAAGGATTGAGTAATTGTTAAGCTTCCTACATAATGACAAAGCAAAATTTTAAAAAATGACAAATTAGTCAAAGTATCATTTTAACCCATCATTATGCCCAGTAGAGGACCCCTTTGCTTATATCCTGTTTCCCTGTCTTCCTTCCTTTACTGTCCCCGCTCCGGAAGGCTTTGAAGGTCTTGGCTTTTCTTCTTGCGGTTGAAGTCTGGCAAGTGCCTGCTTGCTGCTTCTGTCCTACGACCCTGCTTGTAGCAAGTCCTCAGGTCAAGATATAAACACATTTTATTGCAATTAGTAGGGCAAGTTGTGTGTACAAAGTATTTGCTAAGGCACTACTGATTATACGTAATCATGCTTCTGCTCAACATAAAGGATTTCTCCTTCCTCTGAATTCATATGGGACGTGCAGTGCAAAAATTCATTGAACCCTTAGCATACACCATCTTGTTGTTTATACTACTTGTTCTAATATATACCTTTCCAGGATTCTTGGGGCTGTCTCAATTCCTCTTTGAATTTTTACCAACAAGCCTAGGCTTGACCACAAAGTCAGCTTTGGTAAATATTTATTGTATTAAGTTGAATTGTGTATCTTGTTTGCCTGAGGATACTGGAAATATTTCAAAGAAAGAAATTTGGTTCTCTACTTCTTTGTACCCCCTTTTTCCTCTTTTTAACCCACCATGATGCTCTCGAGAGGATCAGTACATCTTTGATAATATTCACAGTAAGTAATAGAACAAAGCCGACTAGAATTTTAATTTGCAAGCATCCAGCCCAGGACTGAACTTGCTGACAACAACCCTGCCAAAGGTCATTCCCCATTTGCCAGAGCAACTGTAGTTCTGGGGAATGCAACACTTATCAAGGCAGCTATTTCAGACAGAAATCTTATTTTTTTTTTTTTTTTTGTGACTAGAGACAGGGTTTCAGTATGTTGCCCAGGCTGGTCTCAAACTCCTGGCCTCAAGTGATCCTCCTGCCTTGGCCTCCCAAAGTGCTGGGATTACAGGCACGAGCCACTGTGCCTGGCCCAGAAATCTTTGTATGGGGTTACAGTTTTTGTCCCTTTAGATCTAAAACCTATGCATTGGAGGAATTGAAAACTCTTTTAAACCTGCTTTCTACACGACAGCCCAGCACATATTCAAGCTCTTTGTAGATTCAAGATAGCTCTTGAACCAGACATGGTGACATGTGCCTATGTTCCCAGCTACTTGGGAGGCTGAGCCAAGGGGATTGCTTGAGCACAGGAGTTTGAGGCTGGAGTGAGCTATGATCATGCTTGTGAATAGCCACTGCACTATAGGCTGGGTAACACTGCGAGACTCCATATCAAAAAAAAAAAAAAAAAAAAGAAGGAAAACTTTTGAATCTGAATCTGATTTTTCTATGATAAAAACTTCAGTTCACTCATGATATAATTTTTTTTTTTTTTTTTGAGACAGAGTTTCTCTCTTTTTGCCCAGGCTGGAGTGCAACGGTGCGGTCTTGGCTCACTGCAACCTCTGCCTCCCAGGTTCAAACAATTCTCCTGCCTCAGCCTCTCAAGTAGCTGGGATTACAGGCATGTGCTGCCACTCCTGGCTAATTTTTTGTATTTAGTAGAGACGGGGTTTCGCCATGTTGGTCAGGCTGGTCTCGAACTCCTGACCGCAGGTGATCTACCCGCCTTGGCCTCCCAAAATGCTGGGATTACAGGCATGAGCCACCATGCCCGGCCTTGGAGGCTACTCTTAGGGACAACATAGAATCCACATCTACCTCCCACTGCCACTAATCCCAATGACATGGGTAGAGGCTGGTGCTCTTTGCCATAAAACTGCAGACAGGCCTGGCGGAGGACTTGTAGAACTTGAAGTGGGAGATCCAGCAGGACTTGGAGGAACTACAAACATGATCCTGTCCTGAGACAGTCCCGTGCTGAAGAGATGACCCTCCCATCCCCATGAGCAATGACCTGCCAAGTGGGGCGTCACCCGAAGTCTCACCCAGCCCTCCTAGGTAATTCCTGCTGTGCCCCTTTCAGCTTCCACATTGCCTGCACATTTCCTTAGAGGCCGACCGTAATCCAGGACCATATAGAGAGGAGATTCCTGGAAACGTAGTTCCAGCTGAGCTGAGCTGACACAGTACAAATCACCACAATACCTTAAGGACTGCCTACAGACAGTGATTTTAACATCTCAAGTTTCAGGTGCTTCTGATGCCTTCAATACAAAAATTGTTTCAAAAAGCCTGGAGTAGACACAATGACCTTCTGCTGGGGGGCAGTTGAGTATTGGGAAATCTAAATGATACATCACATTGTCAATTGTCTGACTAGTTCATGAAAAAACAAACCAACCTTCTTTCTAAGTTTATACCACACGAAAGAATAAAAGGTGAAAGATTCAGCATCATGCAGCAAAGTCCAAATCCCTGGCTGACTGGCATTACCTTCCCACCTTTCTGCCTGCTCCTGGGTCCACATGGGTGGAAACCATCATCTCAGTGGGGGACTGAGGATTGAGGTCACTGCTCTTCATCATAGTGCAGGTGAAGGTGTTCAGGTAGTGTCGACGGAGTGGTGTGTGTGTGTGTGTGTGTGTGTGTGTGTGTGTGTGTGTGTTTTGGGAGTGGGGATGTGTGAGAACAGTATTTACAGAAAACATTCTTTCCCTGGGGGCTGGCTCACACCAGGAAGGGAGACTTTCCCACTGCCAGTCTCCTTGGGAGACTATGTGTCAGCAACACCAACTGGGTGACCAAATAGTGGTGATTCCCACAGTTCTTGGCTATGACCCTGTTATTATCTCTGCCTGCCCTGTCTCAAAAAGAAAAAAAAAAAAGGGCCAGGCGTGGTGGCTCACACCTGTAATCCCAGCACTTTGGCAGGCCAAGGCGGGTGGATCGCCTGAAGCCAGGAGTTCGAGACCAGCCTGGCCAACATGGTGAAACCCTGTCTCTACTAAAAACACAAAAATTAGCCAGTCGTGGTGGCGCGCACCTGTAATCCCAGCTACTCGGAAGGATGAGGCAGGAGAATTGCTTGAACTCAGGAGGCAGAGGTTGCAGTGAGCCCAGATTGTGCCGCTGAACTCCAGCCTGGGCAATAGAGTGAGACTCGGTCTCAAAACCAGAACAGAAACAAAAACAAAAAACAAAGAAAGAAAGAAAGAACTGGTTATATGTATTGTTCTTTGCCAGTTTGCAAAGAAGTGCTTGTTTAATAACTTTTTGTACATATTTGACTCGGGGCTTATTTTCATTTCAATCTGGTCACAAGGTTGCAAGAGAGCAGTTAATTTTCACCTGTTGAAAAAGACCCAGGAGTTGTGTGTTGCTGAGATGGCTCAGTCAATTTACAAGTAATTTCTCCTTTTCACAACGCCAGTCGCCATCTCCAGCTTCCTTCTTGCCCATCCACTAACAATGGTATTTTGTCTCTCAAACCAGATTTCACCCTTGCACAGAAACGACCCCTTGTGGCTTTCCCTGGGGCCTGCATCCCTAGGGCTGGCTCTGATGAGAGTAGCCAGCCTTGGGTTCGCCCTCCTGGAGGAGGAGGAACCTCCTCCTGCCTCCCTCTTACTGCACAGGATGCCACCAGTCTGTTGGAAGCAGAAATGAAAAAGAACAGTCTGTTTGCCAAAGGAATGTGTCTATGCAAAAACATATAGCTCAACACAACTGCTGCACCGAGAGGAAAATCGTAGCATCTGCCAACCCACAAAGCCTCCTCACAGCTTTTCCCTGCATCCCTCCCCTTCCAACAGCAGCCACTGTGCTTATTCCAATCACAGTGCAACAACTATTTTGGAAAAGAAGAGCCCGGGCCTGCAGCAGCCATCTGATGATCTAAGAGCTGATTTGTACTTGAGCAGATGAAAAATACTGCCACTGTTGACCTCGGGGAGTTGAATGCCATGGGGTGAAATTTTAATGATGCTTACATTTTTAAATAGTTTTTCATGACTTTTAACTGAGGAAGTCTGCTGTAAGGATGAAACCAGATAAACTAATGTTCAATGATAGTGGAAGCTATTTAGTTGAAACTGATAGCAAATATTTATTGCCTATATATTATATTCAAAGGACTGTGCTAAGTGATGCAGAAAAGTCAGAAGTGTTTTATTGGGCCCTGATTTTTCTTTTTGGCCCTTTGTTGTGTTTATTTTTTATTATTTTTGAATTTTTTGAGACAGTCTAGCTCTGTCGCCCAGGCTGGAGTGCAGTGGCGTGATCTCAGCTCAGCACAACATCTGCCTCCTGGGTTCAAGTGATTCTTCTGTCTCAGCCTCCCTAGTAGTTGGGATTACAGGTGCTTGCCGGCACCACCCAGCTAATTTATGTATTTTTAGTAGAGATGGGTTCATCATGTTGGCCAGGCTGGTCTCAAACTCCTGACCTCAAATGATCCACCTGCCTCAGCCTCCCAAAGTGCTAGGATTCCAGGGGTGAGCTACCCCACCCAGCCCGTTATTGAGTTTAGAAAACAAATATTGCTATTTTCTTTGGGTCCATTATGAATTCTGGTGCTGTGATCTGTCATTGTGCCCAGGATTAGAACCAGCTGATGGGTGTGCAACTTTAAAGGCACCGTTCTAAGATCCATTAGGGAAAGCCCAGTCCATTACAGAGAAGGGAGTCTCACTCCTTGGCTCTTTCCTTAGTCCTGCAATCTCTGTGTCACTCTGGACTTCTGCCAGATGGGTAGGGAGTCTGTCTGCATCGCATATTCCGCAGAGAGGATGAGCTTGGGTGTTATGACTGGTTGTGAATGTTGGGAGCCAATTTATTTCCAATCTTCCCAACAGGTAGAATTGTTACAGCTGATTCCTTTACTGGTTGACCTGTTAAATAATAACACATCTCTGAGACAAACATTAGGTATTTCCTAGAGACTATACGATCCAAATCCATACCTGGGAAAGGATATTCTCCCCATTAGCAAGGCTCTGTGACTATTTTTTGTTTTTTTGTTTTTTGTTTTTTTTTTGAGACGGAGTCTTGCTCTGTTGCCAGGCTGGAGTGCAGAGGTGCTATCTCGGCTCACTGCAACCTCTGCCTCCCGGGTTCAAGCGATTCCCCTGCCTCAGCTTCCCGAGTAGCTGGGACTACAGGCCAGCTGTGCCTGTAGTGCATCACACCTGGCTAATGTGCCATCACACCTGGCTAATTTTTTGTATTTTAGTAGAGACGGGGTTTCACCATGTTGGCCAGGATAGTCTCGATCTCCTGACCTTGTGATCTGCCCGCCTCAGTCTCCCAAAGTGCTGGGATTACAGGCGGGAGCCACCGTGCCCGGCCTGTGACTGTTTTTAAACAGGTGTCCTTGTTATAATACTAAAAAGCCTTTGGGACTTTTATTTTCTGTTTCGGTGGAAGGGCCTGGCAACATCACAAAAGGATGACACTAGGCTGGGCCTGGTGGCGCGTGCCTGGAATCCCAGCACTTTGGGAGGCCAAGGCAGGTGGATCACCTGAGGTCATGAGTTCGAGTCCAGCCTGGCCAACATGGTGAAACCCCGTCTCTACTAAAAATACAAAAATTAGCTGGCTGCAGTGGTGCATGCCTGTAATCCCAGCTACTTGGGAGGCTGAGGCAAGAGGATTGTTTGAACCTGGGAGGTGGAGGTTGCAGTGAGCTGAGATCATGA